>NC_000002.12:203247193-203550224 GCF_000001405.40 Homo sapiens | reverse complement strand
GTTCTAGTCCTCATGGGGTTTATAATTTATTTGGAGTAACCTCAAACCATAAAAAGTGGACATAAGGGCCAGGCACAGTGGCTCATGCCTGTAATCCCAGTACTTTGGGAGGTCGAGGCGGATGGATCACGTCGTCAGGAGTTCGAGACCAGCCTGACCAACATGGTGAAACCCTGTCTCTACTAAAAATACAAAAATTAGCCGGGCGTGGTGGTGCGTGCCTGTAATCCTAGCTACTCAGGAGGCTGAGGCAGGAGAATCACTTGAACCTGGGAGGCGAAGGTTACAGTGAGCTGAGATCATGCCACTGTACTCCAGCCTGGGTGACAGAGCAAGACTCCGTCTCAAAAACAAAAAAACAAAAAGACAAAAAGACATAGGTGTGGAATGTGGAATGCATGATATAGACCTTACATATTATAAACATTATGAAAGGGAATTCTGTGGCTGATTTGGGGAATGTTTCATGGATGTGTACTGGGAGTGGCTGGGAAGGTTGGATAGGATTTGGATGGGCAGGGAGGGGGAAATGAAGATAGTCCAGACAAGGAGACTAAGAAGAGCAAAGCCACAAAAACAAACTCCATGAACTGAGTAAGAAAAGATGAGGTCAGCTGAGTGGAGGCAAGAGAAGGAGGGGGTTATGACCAGCTTTGAAGCCAGTCAGAGGAGCTAATTGGAAACTGTTACAAGAAACAAGGAATTGTTGCAGGCTTAAAAACATTCCTATTTTAATCCTGACTCTTGTTGCAAATGATACAAACAGCCAGTTTTGGCAGAAAAGGGAATCTATTTGTTTATATATCCAAACCTAGGGAAGAAGGGAAATAGAATTGGTCCTCCGACAACCTGAACCAAGGATGCAAATACCGATAGGATTCTCTCTCTCTCTGTTTTCCTCATCTTTGCTTTGCTTTCATGTTTTCTATGACATTAGCGCCATAGTCACCAACATTTTCTGGTTTGCATTTTCCTGAGAGTCTCATCATAGAATTTTTTTCCTAATTCCAGCTGAAAGAGAGAGAGAGAGAAGGAGGAGGAGGAGAAGGAGGAGGAGGAGGAGAGAGGAAAGGGGAGGAGAGGGGAGGGGAGGGAAGAAGGAAGGAGGGAGGGAGGAAGGAAGGAAGGAAGGAAGGAAGGAAGGAAGGAAGGAAGGAAGGAAGGAATGTGGGAATGCCTTTGGTTACCTTAGTGTGGATCACATGGTCTCCTCTACAACCAGGGTAAAGAAAGAGGTACTTTGATTGCCAGCATCCCTAAGAACTACAGGGTTGAGTTAGGGGCTGGGTTGGGAGGAGCAGTTCCAAAAGAAATGTGCTGTCTCCAGAAGAAAAAAGAGCAGGGCAGAGGAAATAGCAGATGTCCCCTATAGTAACATTTATTGAATTGTTTTTTGTTGTTGATGCTCTCTATAAATACAAAAGTAATGCAAGATCATTTTGAAAACGAAATATTGCTCAAACACAAAGAAGTAAAAATTAAAATCATCTAAAGTTATTAACCTAGAAATCATCAACCCATTAGTATTTGGTATACTTTCTTTCAGTTTCTTTTTTCATGTATACTGTGCATTGGTGTATGTCTATGTATGGGAGTGATAAAGTAATGCCCCACCCCACAAAAGATATCCATATTCTAATTCCTGGAACCTGTGAATGTGGGTTTGTTTTTCATGGCAAAAGAGATTTTGCAGTTGTAATTAAGTTAAGAATCTTGAGTTGGAAAGATTATCCTGAATTGATTGGAGGGCCCAGTGTAATTGCTACGGTCTTTATAAGAGGGAGGCAGGGGGGCAGCCAGGTAGCTCACGTCTGTAATCCCAGCACTTTGGGAGGCCGAGGTAGGCAGATCACGAGGTCAGGCGTTCAAGACTAGCCTGGCCAACATGGTGAAACCCCGTCTCTACTAAAAATACAAAAATTAGCTGGGCGTGGTGGCAGGTGCCTGTAATCCCAGCTACTCAGGAGGCTGAGGCAGGAGAATCACTTGAACCCAGGAGGCAGAGGTTGCAGTGAGCCAAGACCGCACCATTGCACTCCAGCCTGGGCAACAGAGTGACTCCATCTCAAAAAAAAAAAAAAAAGAGGGAGACAGGGGAGTCAGAGTCAGACAGAAATTGGAAGATACTATGCTACTGGCTTTGAAGATTGAAGATGAAGCCCTAAGCCAAAGAATACAGACAAACTCTAGAAGCTAGAAAAGGCAAAGAAAGGAATTTTCCCCTAGAGCTTCTAGAAGAAATGAAGTTCTGTTGACACCTGAATTTTAGACCACTGAGACTGATTTTGGACTTCTGACCTCCAGAACTGTAAGATAATAACTATTGTTTCAAGCAACTGAGTTTACGGCAGTTTGTTACAGAAGCAATAGGAAATTAATACAATAAATATATATTCACCTTTATGGGCTTGAGTTTTTTGTTTTCAACAATATCAGACTCCTACTGTACAGGGTGTTTGCTGATGTGTATTTTTCAAAATAAAAACATTGTACATCTTTTTTGTTGTTTTTTAAACAGAAAAATGGTGCAAAAGTGGTCCCAGTAGTGCCAGATTGGTTAGGACTGTTTCAAAGGGAGGAGAGGTTTACAGGAAACCAGCCCACAGGCTTCTGCAAACCCCTGGTATGAGATGATGAAGGTTTCAAGAGAGGTGGTGGCAGACAGAACAGTGAGGAAGAGACAATCTAGGGATATTTGAAAGGCATGACTGATGGGACTCGGTGACAGCACTTAGGTGATGTCATGTTCTTTGGCATAGCCTTGCCTCAAAGTGCATAACTGAACAAAAGTTCTAGTGATCAGCTATGCATCTGTTTACTTTGTTTTTCCATGATATATTTTTCAAATGGCCTTTCTCAAATAGTTCAAAGAATCATACAAACATGATCATGAGGCACTTATCACTCCTCTAAATGAATTATAAAGGAAAAATGTGTTAAATGCTAAACGTATAATATTCGGAGAACCTAAAAATGCTTTTCATTAAATAACAGGTCTTTGAAACTTCCATAAAAGCACATTTTGCTTATATGTTACATATATACAGGTTGAACATAAAATCTGGAAACCTAGATAATATTTCATTTTTTTTACAGATTGAACCTCCATGATTACTTCTTCTGGGGTATACTAAAGATAGTATACTTGGCCAGGTGTGGTGGCTCACGCCTGTAATCCCAGCACTTTGGAAGGCCAAGGCGGGCGGATCACCTGAGGTCAGGAGTTCGAGACCAGCCTGACCAACATGGAGAAACCCTGTCTCTACTAAAAATACAAAATTAGCCGGGCGTGGTGGCACATGCCTGTAATCCCAGCTATTTGGGTGGCTGAGGCAGGAGAATCACTTGAACCTGGGAGGCAGAGGTTGCGGTGAGCCAAGATCACACCATTGCACTCTAGCCTGGGCAACAAGAGCGAAATTCCATCTCAAAAAAAAAATTATGAATAAAAAAAATTTGCACATTTATTCAATGAAAATCTCAGACACAAATCATCTGAAGCAAAGAATCTCTGATGAATATGCAGGGGGTGATGAAAAGACTGCATTAATGAGCCACATTCATTGCAATTTTGTACAGTGCATTTACTTATTGTTAATAAGGAACAACACTTTAAACATATGTAATGTCATTGAACACATCATATATCAATAAACCATTTATTATATAGAATATATATGTATATGTGTACCTGTATTTCCAGTCTTTATGGCCACCATCTATGTGTATTTACCTCTTCATTCTTGACTTTTCACCTTGGAAACACACCCTTCAATTCAACAATATTTATTGGGTAACTGTTACAGGCTGAATTGTGTCCCCCCAAAATTTGTTTGCCAAAGCCCTTACCCCTAGTACCTCAGAATGTGACTGTATTTGGAGATACAGCCTTTAAAGGAGTAATTAAGTTAAAATGGGGTAGGTGGGGTAAGCTCAAATCCAGTACTATTGGCATTCTTTTAAGAAGAGATTAGGATACAGAGACACTAGACACATGACTGCATAGAGGGATGATCATGTGAAGACACAGGGAGAAGACGGCCACCTGCATGCCAAGAAGAGAGGCCTCAGAAGAAACCAAGCCTGCCAACAGCTTATCTCGGACTTCCAGCATCCAGAACTGGGAGAAAGTAAATTTCTGTTGTGTAAGCAACTGAGTCTGTGTCTTTTTGTTATAGCAGCCCTAGGAAACTAACCCAGTGATGTCTTAGACACTGTGATAGAAGGCAGAGACTGGATATTCAGTGATTGAAAAGACACAATTCTTAGCCTTGAGGACAACCCAGTTCTTTATTTCCAGCAAGCTAAACAACAGATCCACTTGGATGTTCCACCATTACTTCAAATACAACTTGTCCAAAACTGAACTCACATGCCTTTCAGCTGTCCTTATGGTTAGCAGACACTTCCCTGTGGCTTCCCCATCATTCAGCACAGTGCCTTGAGCTCGACAAGCACTTGGTATCTATCTGTTGATTCAGTGATGCTGTCAGTCCTCTGCTTTCAGTATTCTTCTCTGTCACCCAGGCTGGAGTGCAGTGGCGCGATCTTGGCTCACTGCAAGCTCTGCCTCCCGGGTTCACGCCATTCTCCTGCCTCAGCCTCCCTAGTAGCTGGGACTACAGGCGCCCGCCACCGCGCCTGGGTAATTTTTTTTTTTTTTTTTTTTTTTGTATTTTTCAGTAGAGACGGGGTTTCGCCGTATTAGCCAGGATGGTCTCGATCTCCTGACCTCGTGATCTGCCCACCTCGGCCTCCCAAAGTGCTGGGATTACAGGCGTGAGCCACCACGCCCGGCCGGACTTTTCTTCTTCTCACCCTTGTCCAATCTGTCCAATCTTCTTACCCTTGTCCAATCTGTCACCTGTGTCTGTCAGTTTTTCCAAATGTAATTCAATTTCCCTGCTTTCTCATTTCTCATCATTTCATGCCTGCATTAATACAACCAGCCTTCTGATTGTTTTCCTTATCCGATCTATCTTCAAAATGTTGCCAGACTTCTGCTGGGCACAGTGGCTCACGCCTCTAATCCCAGCACTTTGGGAGGCCGAGACGGGCGGATCACCTGAGGTCAGGAGTTTGAGACCAGCCTGGCTAACATGGTGAAACCCCGTTTCTACTAAAAATACAAAAAATTCGCCAGGTGTGGTGGCGCACCTGTAATCCCAGCTACTGAGGCTGAGGCAGGAGAATCGCTTGAACCTGGGAGGCAGAGGTTGCAGTGAGCCAAGATTGCGCCATTGCACTCCAGCTTGGGCAACAAGAACGAAAACCTGTCTAAAAAAAAAAAAAATGTTGTCAGACTTTTCTTAACCATATCTCTCATCATCCTTTTCTTGACAAATACTGCTGAACTTTTCTGTGTACAAGACAACATGCAAGGTGCTTAAGAAAATATATGTCTGAGTAAGTCACAGTCTTTGCCCTTTGAAGAACTCATGGTTTTTCGGAGGAGTCAGACGCATGCACGAAACGTTCTAATACCAATGTGCAAAGTTTTTTGAGAACACATAGGATGTAGCAAATAGCTTTATCTAGGGGAACTGGGAATGAAAGAGGAGACAGCTGAACTGTAGTTAGTAGGAGCAGACCAAACAGAGAAGGAAAAAAGGACATTCTAGACAGAGGGAATGAAGTCATTGCAAGGGTGTGGAGTTGGGAAAATGACTGGCACATTTAAAAATGGACTCTACTGCATTGGTTATTAGACCTCTTCAGCTCTAATAAAACAATTTTTCCCAGTGTTTACTGAAAAAACAAACAAACAAAAAAGATGGAAGTTCAGGTTCTGCCATTCTTTCCCACTGCAGGCATTTTTGAGATGGGTGTAATATTTTTGGTTTATTATTAGGTACTAAACACAAGTCATTCACTCACTCTAATATGTATAGCTACTACTACTAGTAGCAGTTTAGTTATCACCTTGGAAAGCTGGCTTAATAATTGCACTCTAACGTGTGTGTAATCAGATAATTGCTGAGTTCTGGTTGGTTGAATTCATTTGTGGTCTGACTGGTACGGACGTCAGAACATTCACAAGGATTCAGGTTATTGTGATAACTGCTCTTGCATAATAGTTTGTATTAGTTCTAAGTAAATACCTGGAAATGTCCAGTTTTATAGATTTTGCAGATAAAAAGCCTCCCCAAAAGGACTACTTTTTTTTTTTTTTTTTTGAGATGGAGTCTTGCTGTGTCGCTCAGGTTACAGTACAGTGGTGCGATCTTGGCTCACTGCAACCTCTGCCACCCAGGTTCACGCGATTCTCCTGCCTCGGCTTCCTGAGTAGCTGGGACTACAGGTGGCCTCACCATGCCCAGTTAATTTTTTTGCGTTTTTAGTAGAGATGAGGTTTCAGCAATGTTGGCCGGGCTGATCTTGAGCTCCTGACCTCAGGTGATGCACCTGCCTCGGCCTCCCAAAGTGCTGGGATTACAGGCGTGAACCACCGTGCCTGGCCCAAAAGGGCTACTCTTTAGAAAAAAACAACTAAAATAATTGTTTTATTAGGTGTAGGTATGTCATACTCTGTTTACTACGTATTTATATTATGTAGGGTATTTAAATCTCACATGCAAGAAGCAGAAATATACTTAAAGGCAAGGATCAAGTGTTCTGCAGTTGTTAATGTTTGACTGGGAGGAATGAGATGTCTCTGATTTGGGCCATATGAGGCCCTTGATTCACCCCTGTATTACTACCCCTAACTCTGTTTCTCCTCTTGGCATTCAGATTCTAAGTGTCAGCTAAGTATCATTTTTTCCATGAAGTTATCTTAACCTGCTTTAACGTCTGTTGAATTCCCTCTTCCCTTAACTCCTACTGTACTTACAGTCTGTATCAGAGCTTAATATTTAGTTGTTCTCTGGTTATTTCATATGTTCTTGTCTCGTGAGTAAAATTTCTTGAATGTAGAGATCCCCTTTTAAAGTAAAATCAGCCAGGCACGGTGGCTCAAGCCTGTAATCCCAGCATTTTGGGAGGCCGAGGTGGGTGGATCACGAGGTCGGGAGATCGAGACCATCCTGGCTAACACGGTGAAACCCCGTGTCTACTAAAAATACAAAAAGATTAGCCAGGCGTGGTGGCGGGCGCCTGTAGTCCCAGCTACTCGGGAGGCTGAGGCAGGAGAATGGAGTGAACCCAGGAGGTGGAGCTTGCAGTGAGCCGAAATCGCGCCACTGCCCTCCAGCCTGGGCAACAGAGAGAAACTCCATCTCAAAAAATAAATAAATAAATAAAATAAAGTAAAATCAACTATTTTTAAATAATATACATTTTATATTGTTGTTTTCCTCAACATTTTAAGAGATTTATCTTCATAAATATCGACAGTGCAATTCATTTAATTGTCAATTAAAGAATACAAATTTGTTGTTAAAAGATAAAGTAGGAAAAGAAAGTACCACAATCATACCACTCTGCAATAAACACTTTGTCTTCTTGCATTTCCTTCTAGGTTTTTCCCATATGTTTTCTCATGGGTTCATATTGTACATAATGTTTGTAACTTTTTAATCAACATATTGTGAACATCTTTTCATTATCAAAAAAAATCTACAAATCATCATTTTCTTTCTTTCTTTCTTTTTTTTTTGAGGCAGAGTCTCACTCTGTCATCCAGGCTGGAGTGCAGTGGTGCAATCTTGGCTCACTGCAATCTCTGCCTCCCAGGCTCAAGCAATTCTCCCACCTCAGCCTCCCAAGTAGCTGGGATTACAGGTGCACGCCACCACACCCAGCTAATTTTTGTATTTTTAGTAGAGACGGGGTTTCACCATGTTGGCCAGTCTGATCTTGAACACCTGACCTCAGGTGATCTGCCCACCTTGGCTTCCCAAAGTGCTGGGATTACAGGTGTGAGCCACCATGCTCAGCCTTCATTTTCTGTCCTTTTTTTTTTTTTTTTAAGACAGAGTCTTGCTCTGTCACCAAGCTGGAGTGCAGTGGCATGATCTTAGCTCACTGCAGCCTCTTCCTCCCTGGTTCAAACCATTCCCCTGCCTCAGCCTCCTGAGTAGCTGGGACTACAGGCATGCACCACTACGCCTGGCTAATTTTTTGTATTTTTAGTAGAGATGAGTTTCACCATGTTGGTCAGGATGGCCTCGATCTCCTGACCTGGTGATTCGCCGGCCTCGGCCTTCCAAAATGCTGGGATTACAGGCGTGAGCCACCGCACCCAGCCACAGCCTTCATTTTCTTAAACAACCTCCCATGGCTAGACATTTAGGGGCTTTCCAAATATTTGTCATCATCCCACAATATCCCAGCTAATGTTTTGTTCTTACTCCTTTGAATATCTGTTGCCAAACTGCCCTATAGAAAAAGGTTGCAATGATTTATATTCCCACTTGCAGGTGTGAGAGTGCCTATTTCTTCCCATCCTTGTCAACGATGGGTGGAATGATTTTTAAAAATCAGAGACTATTTCATGTATTTCTCTAGAGATTCTAGACACAGCTGGAGACGCAGTGAATATTAAATAAATAAATGCAATTAATTTGATAAATGGATTAATAATAGTGTTTTTGCACTGGGCGCGGTGGCTCACACCTGTAATCCCAACACTTTGGGAGGCCAAGGCAGGCAGATCACGAAGTCAAGAGATTGAGACCATCCTGTCCAACATAGTGAAACCCCGTTTCTACTAAAAATACAAAAAAATGGCTGGGTATGGTGGTGTGTGCCTGTAGTCCCAGCTACTTGGGAGGCTGAGGCAGAAGAATCACTTGAACCCAGGAAGCAGAGGTTGCAGTGAGCTGAGATCGTGCCACTGCACTCCAGCCTGGTGACAGAGCGAGACTCTGTCTCAAAAATAATAATAGGCGCAGTGGCTCACGCCTGTAATCCCAACACTTTGGGAGGCCTTGGCGGGCAGATCATGAGGTCAGGAGATCGAGACCATCCTGGCTAACATGGTGAAACCCCGTCTCTACTAAAAATACAAAAAATTAGCTGGGCGTGGTGGCACGCGCCTGTAATCCCAGCTACTCTGGAGGCTGAGACAGGAGAATGGCGTGAACCTGGGAGGCAGAGCTTGCAGTGAGCCTAGATACCACCACTGCACACCAGCCTGGGTGACAGAGTGAGACTCCGTCTCAAAAAAAAAACACACAAAAAAAAACAAATAAATAAGATAAATAATAATAATAATAGTGTTTTCTCCATGACGTATAGCTACTGAAGTTTTAAAGTAAGTAATTACTGGCTGGGCTCAGTGACTCACACCTGTAATCCCAGCACTTTGGGAGGCCCAGGTGGGTGGAACATCTGAGGTCAGGAGTTCAAGACCAGCCTGGCCAACATGGTAAAACCCCATCTCTACTAAAAATACAAAAACTAGCTGGGCATGGTAATGCACACCTGCTGTCCCAGCTACTTGGGAGGCTGAGGCAGGAAAATCGCTTGAACTTGGGAGACAGAGGTGGCAGTGACCTGAGATTGTGCCACTGCACTCCAACCTGGGCAACAGAGTGAGACTCTGTCTCCAAAACAAATAAAAAATAAAGTAATTAATTACTCATTCACTCAACATATTTACACCGCATATGATTGTCTTGATCTGCCTACTAAAAATGAATATAGCATTCAGAAATGAAACAAATACTTTATAAAGTGCGAAACATAAATTAAAATGCTGATAACTTGTTTCAAAGATAATATCTATAGAAGCTACTCTTAAAATTTGTCCCAGAGTCCTAAGAGGTCTCCTGAAAAAAAATATTGTCTCATTTTTCTAAGAATAGGCAGTACTAAAATTCCTCCTTTGAGAATTAAGAATATGAATTTAGGATAAGAAAACTCTCTCATCCATTAGCTATTAGAGTTTTCAGAATCATGGGAATTGTGCCAGAGAGGAAGTCAAAATCTGGTGTGGATTTTCATAGTACCAGACATTTCCTTCCATGTGCAGGTGGAATAAAATCAACACTAAAATTTGGCCAGGCGCGGTGGCTCACGCCTGTAATCCCAGCACTTTGGGAGGCCAAGGTGGGTGGATCACGAGGTCAGGAGATCGAGACCATCCTGGCTAACACGGTGAAACACCGTCTCTACTGAAAATACCACAAAAAATTAGCCAGGCGTGGTGGCGGACGCCTGTAGTCCCAGCTACTCGGGAGGCTGAGGGAGGAGAATGGCGTGAACCCGGGAGGCAGAGCTTGCAGTGAGCCGAGTTTGTGCCACTGCACTCCAGCCTGGGCAACAGAGTGAGACTCCGTCTCAAAAAAACAAAATAAAACAAAACAAAAAAACACTAATATTTTTGGGGAGAGTTTTAATGTTTCTATCAATTCCTGAAAGTTTATTTTATTTAAAGCTACTTCAGGGATAGGACGACTAGATGAATATTCTATTTAGTTAGGCAATTTAATTTTATAAGTCTCCTGTTCAATTATCAGAAAGATCATATGAAGGTGATAATCGGTCCCACTTCTCCAATGTACAAATCTTTTTATCTTATGTAAAATATTAACCATTAAAAATTAGCATATCTTTAAAAATGACTGATTGGAAACATCATTTAAAACGATATATTCCATAATTTTTTATTCCTCTCCCCATGATTGGTGGAAGGTGCTGGAATTGAGTTTGTAACTCATAAAGCAGTATGTACTGGAAAGAGAATGTGACTGGGGTCAGAAGATACTGGACCTTAGTCCAGTATCTTCTAGTAATAGCTGTTTAACTTTAGACAAGTCACTTCATGCCTTAAGCTACAGCTTCCTTTACTATAAACCAAAAATCTGGTTTAGGTCAGCATTTCCCAAAGTATGTGCTGTGGAACACATGTCTTGTAAGATGTTCCATTGGAAAAAGGGTTTCATGGTTGAATACATTTGGAAAGCGCTTGTATATAATATCTACCTCAGAAATTCCCAGTGCACATTAAAATATTAAAACCACCAGAAATCTCTCTAGTTTAGAAACCCATTGAACTGTCTGGCATTCTCATTTGATTAAAGGAACTTAAAATTTTGAGGGGGAATCACATCTACTAAAATCCTGTGGGACTAGAGTTCCAAAGAACACTTGGGGAAATGATGGACTAAGATGCCTGGATTTATGGTACTATTCTTTCTCATACAGGTATTCAGCCAGTTCCCTGAAACCTGCTCTTTTCCCACGCTCTTTATTTCAGAGGTCACCACCATTCAGTCACTCTTCTAAACCAGAATCCTGAGAGTCATTCTAAATGTCTCTGTTGCATTCACTCCCTCATATCCAGTTATATATTCTGTAGATTCTACCTGTTTAATATATCTCCCATCTAGTCCCTCCTCGCCATTTTATGACCTCTTGATTTTATTGAGACCTGCAGCACACATCTCATTAGGATTCAGGTTGTTGCCATCACCTCCTAATTTTCTCCTGCTCCAGTCTGGTCTTCTTGGTCTCCAAAACACAAACTCAGTTGTTCTGGAGCTAAAATACTTCAAATATTTTATTATTTACTACATTTCCCAGAGTATCAAATTCAAATTCCTTAGTTTAACAAGAGCCCCTTCATGAATGAAGCCCTTCCTACCCTTTCCTCCAACCTCTTTGACTCTTCTCTATGCCTGTTCTGACAAAATGGAATTACTTACTAATACGGTTTGTCTCTGTGTCCCCACCCAAATCTCATCTTATAGCTCCCATAATTTCCACCTGCTGTAGGAGGGACCCAGTGGGAGATAGTTGAATCATGGGGGTGGGTCTTTCCCGTGCTGTTCTCATAATAGTGAATAAGTCTCATGAGATCTGATGGTTTTAAAAATGGGAGTTTCCCTGCACAAGCTCTCTTTTTGCCTGCTGCCATCCATGTAAGATGTGACTTGCTCCTCATCACCTTCTGCCATGATTGTGAGTCCTCCCCAGCCATGTGGAACTGTAAGTCCATTAAACCTCTTTTTCTTCCCAGTCTCAGGTATGTGTTTATCAGCAGCATGAAAACGGACTAATACACTTACGGTGCCTCTAAAGCATGGTGATGCTTGGTGCTTCCACACACCTGCAGAGATATTGTTTTCTTCGTTTGGAATGCTTGTTCCCTCCTTCTTCTGGTTAGCTCCTCCCTATCATTTAACATTCAGTTCAAGAATCTCCCCATCAGGAAGGCTTTCCTGATCTGGTAATGGACTTCCAGTCTAACAATGACTTCCTTACCTGCTTTACCCACTAGACTGTATGCTTTTTGTAGGCAGGAAGCATCATGCCACGTCTTTCTTGTCTTTGTATTCCTGGGCCTTAATTGTAGCTTAATAAACTCTGATTGAATGAACGAATGATTTAATGGTTTAAAGAAACTGATGAGAACACTCTTTTCTCAATGACTGAAAGTGACCTTTTTTCTCTTTTAATTAACCTTGATCTTAGGCTAAGCACTTGGAGAAGAGTTGGCTAAGACCTATGTAAAAGGCACTCAATGGTCTATTTTTTTTTTTTTTCTGAGATGGAGTCTCACTCTTGTCACCCAGGTTGGAGTGCAATGGCAGGATCTTGGCTCACTGCAAGCTCCACTCCCAAGTTCAAGTGATTCTCCTGCCTCAGCCTCCTGAGTAGCTGGGATTACAGGCACCCGCCACCATGCTCAGCTCATTTTTGTATTTTTAGTAGAGATGGGATTTCACCATGTTGGCCAGGCTAGTCTCCAACTCCTGACCTCAGGTGATCCGCCCACCTCAGCCTCCCAAAGTGCTGGGATTACAGGTGCGAGCCACCACTCCTGGCTTCAATCGTCTATTTTTTTAAGGAGGTTTAAATGAATCATCTTCCTTGTAAGGTATCACACAGCCTAGTACATTTAATGACAATAGGATTCATTAAGTTTGGCACCCAGGTGTGTCTAATGTCAACAAACTTGGTCACAAGGGAAATGAGGTGAAAGACTAGATACATTTGTATAAAATTATCACTTATGAAAAATTTTAAAGCATTTATTAATTTATAAATACTTATTGTGCAAGATACTATGCTAGATATTGTGGGAGATACAAGGATGAATAAAGTGTTGTATTATATTCACTTTTGGAGGATAACTTCTTGAAATAATTAGGTGGCAAATGATGATTCCCACAAGAAAGGAAGAGAAGTCTAAAAGAAGTTGGTCAGCAGGATCATCTTCATTTATAAGAGATAGTATTATTCTTTTATTATTTTTATTTTTTATTATACTTTAAGTTCTAGGGTACATGTGCACAACGTGCAGCTTTGTTACATATGTATACATGTGCCATGTTGGTGTGCTGCACCCATTAACTCATCATTTACATTAGGTATATCTCCTAATGCTATCCCTCCCCCCTCTCCATCCCCCCAACAGGCCCCTGTGTGATATATTCCCTGCTTTGTGTCCAAGTGTTCTCATTGTTCAAGTCCCACCTATGAGTGAGATCATGTGGTGTTTGGTTTTCTGTCCTTGCGATAGTTTGCTGAGAATGATGGTTTCCAGCTTCATCCATGTCCCTACAAAGGACATTAACTCAACCTTTTTTATGGCTGCATAGTATTCCGTGGTGTATATGTGCCACATTTTCTTAATCCAGTCAAGAGATAGTATTATTCTATACAAGAATATTGACATACCTACTGAACTTAAAATACAAAAGGGCAGTTATGTTTCAAAAGTACAGATATCTCAAGTGTGAAAGGCAGCCAGTATCTGTATTGTATGGTTCTAAATACCAATTTGAAACAGATTGTGTACCAGTTTGGAACAGATTGTACAAAAAAGACTGAAACCACTTGAAAGTCCTCAAGAATATCAGGAAGTAAGAATGTAATTAACCAAACCAGGATTTGGCCCCAGGACAGAGAAATGAACACTCTCATTCTTAGAGAGGGAGCTAGGATTTCAGGAATGTACAGTCAATGCTTTGTGAAAATTTAAATAAATTCTTAGCAAGCAGATGGGAAGACATGAAAAAGCAATGTTCATTGCAACCAATTTCAGGTCACACTCCCAATTTCTCAATTGTTTTAATGCTGTCAACAAACTTGCTTTGCATGTAGCCAAGCAAACATAACTTAGTTCCATTTGTTCCTTTCTTTGATCAACTTTAGGTGAAGGTCAAAATAAGGACATACTTAAAATCTAAAAGTCTGCCGAAGTCAAGCCTGCATCTAAAGAGGCAGCAGCTGAGCTTAGCGATAAGGAAAAATGCCGACACCTTACTACTACACAATTCCGATGGGGTGGGGGGACAGAAATTAAGGAGGCAGGATTAACAGATTTCGAAGTTTAAAAAGTAAAGGTCATCGAAATGTCCCGTTCCTAAGTTTCCCAATACATTCCATGAAACTGCAGAGACTTTTTGGCCAAAATGGGATTTCCTAAAGAAGGGCCTCACAGATCTCAACGACAATGGTCCTGTAAGTGACCGAGCCAACCCCGGATGCGTTTCTGGAGTCTCTGAATACACGGACAGCGTATAAAGGTGGATGCGTACAGCTCCCTGACAGAACTGCTGGAGGCTGCTGTGCCTCCCAGGGCGCTAGGACAGAGGCTGCTGGGCCGGCTTCCTATGAAAGGCGAGCAGGGGGTGGGGCAGCACTGGGATTTTCCTCCCCACTCATTCATTCTCTGATTCACTCGTTCCTGTAGGCGGCTCACAGGGACTTGCGGAGGAAAGGCGAGGCACGAGCGGAGCCGCGGTTGAGTGCGGCCGGGCGCGGCCGGGCGCCTGAAGGGAGGGCGGAGGGCCGGCGCGGGGCGCGGGCTAGGGAAGGGCGGCGGGCGCGGCGGCCTGCGCCGGAAGTGAGTGGTTGGCGGCGGGCGGGGGCGGCGCGCGGTCCCGCGCGAGTCGGCCCTACAGTCGGCAGTCCGGCCCTCAACCCCGCCTTCTGCGTCTCGGCTGGACGCGAGCACACTCGGCTCCGCCGCCGCCGCCGCCGCCGCGGGGCGCTGCGGCCGCCCCGCCCCCGCTCCCGCCGCCGCCCGCCAGTCAGTCAGTCAGTCAGTCAGTCAGTCAGTCAGTCAGTCACTGAGCGCGCGGCGCGGGAGCTGCTGGCAGTCGCTGCGTCTCTGGCGAGGGAGCGCCGCGCCTGGGGAGGAGGCGGAGGCAGCGGCTGGAGGAGCGCGAGCGGCGGTTTCCTTGCCCGGGGCCGCGGGAAGGCCGACCGACTGCCGCGGTGAGTGGTTAGCCTCGCCCTCGGGGCCAGGGGGTAGGGAGCCGGCTGGGCGCGGGGCCGTGAGGCGCTCCTGCCGCTCCCGCCTCCATTTTCCCGGCGCCCGGCCCCGCCATCCGGGTGCGGTACGGTCGGCGGCAGCCTGGGGCGGGGTCGTTGCCAGGTTGGGGATCGGGCCGGGGCTGGCTGGACCGCTCCCGGCTGGTGGATGGAGGTCGGTGGGGCCTGGACTGCACCCTGCGCCCCTGGGGACCGCGACGGAGGGAGACAATGAGATAAGGGGCCGCCTGGGAGGGTGCGGTTAGGCTTCTCCGACCCAGCACCGGGGGCTGGTGGCCCGGGACCGCAGGGAGGAAAGGACTTTCCCCCGCCCAGCTGCAGAAACCAGCTACTGGATGTCGGGTTGCTTGGGTTTCGATGCCCCCATCTTTCATAGATGAGTTCAGTGCAGAGATTTTGAAAGGCGGGGCTCCTTCTGTGTCTTCTTTCTAATTAAACAGGATAAGTAATTGCTTCATTGCTTTTTAACCGCGTCTCCTCTTGCGGTCTGTATTATACATTCCCGCCGGAAATCCAAACTGCAATTCATGGGGGGGGGGGGGGGGTGGACGGAGGGAGGGGGCAGTGTGATAGTATTAGGATGCCTTCGTGTTAAGACAGGTTGAAAGATGTGGTTTTCTTAAGGCAGTGACTTAGGGTGTCCCCACTGTGTGAGCTGGAAACCGCATAAACCTTATTGCTTACAAGCTCGAAGACATGGTTTAATATGAAATAAGAGCCTTGAGGGAGGGTGTAAGTGTTACATGTGTCTTGCGTGTGTGCATTTCTTAAATTCTTTGGGAAGATCCGTTGGGGAAATCCGGGAGAATGGAAAAGTTCTTCACTCAATCTTCCAATAAGGGTTGATGTTGTCTGCAGCATTTCTCAGGGAAATGTGGAGAGCTGCTTATGTAGGTAAAGTCCACCGTTAAGGAACAGTAAAGGTAACGGGTTAGGGATGAGGCGTGATCGGATTATTAAAGAGTCAGTCCATGGGGATATTAAATTCAGCAAACATTTATGGAATACCTACTCTGTCAGTTAGGCTGGGTGACACCAGGTGAACAAGCATGGGGTGGTGGAAAGAGCTCTTCGGAGTGGGGGAAACCGTACGCCCTGGAATTGGCTTGCAATGTGAGTTGGATAAGCTATTGAACTCTGCAGTACGTTCCCTATCAGTAAAATGGGAATAACACCACCTGTTTACCTCCCCAGATGTTTTTCATGTAGATTAAATGAGATAATGTATGCAAAATGCGTAGCACCTTGCCTGGCATAGAGGTGTTTAACAGCACCTTAAATTCCTTTCCTCCTCGGGGTGGTTTTTTTGGGGGTGCGGTGCGGGGGGTTAGTGAATGTAGGTAAGTGTAATACAGTGAACTATATAGTAAAATGTTGAGGTATAGAATAGGAGAGCGAAGAAGAGAGATTAATTCTAAATTGAGGGAGGAATGCATGGAAGCCTCGGCATTTAAGTGAAACCTTTAAGGATGAGTAGGATTTCAGCAGATTCAGATGGGGAGGAGGACATTTCACATGGTGGTGCTATCCTTTGAGAGCCGAATTGAGGGGGAGGACCTTTGGGGGAGGGGCAAAATAGAGACGCTCAATAGCTTTTAACTCTTGTTGAGTCTGACCTTCAAAGATTGTCTCCGTTATTTTGCTTTTTGTGTGGTGAATTTCCCAGAAACCAGATGCAGCCCTACTCAAGTAAGTACAAAAAGCTTAATTCATGATTTTTTGGGTTAGACATTTTGTATAATTTAGATTGCTGTCTCCTGTTTGAATGTAATAAAGAATTATTTGTAGATGTTGCCTTATGATAAACGTTAGCTTTATTTGGTAGAAGCAGCAGCTTATTTTTCAGACTCAGAGGTCTCACTAAGATTATAGAGTATGTGACTGGGTGAAAGGAGTGGAGTAGTGGGCACTATTGGGTGTGTTTTCACAAATATTTAACTCTTTATTTTCCAAAGAGGTGTTTTTAACCATTGTCTTTGAGGATGATTATGTCTTTTGGTTTTGCTGCCCTTTGGTGCTCACCCCATAAATACTTACTAGATTGGCATCGTGGATAACTGTCACACTATTCACAGATTCTTGGTTACACATTGTAGAATCTCATGGCTTTGGTTGCCTTGGTTTGGAAGTAATTGAATGTCAACATTAGTATTGTTAATCCCAAACACTTAATTTTAGGAAAATTAATATTAGTGAAGCAAGATGTGACCTCAGGCAGATAACTTATCTTGGACTCTTAATTCCTTTACCTATAAAATGAGAAGTTTGGATTAGATCACTGCTTCTTAAACTGTTTCACTGAACTTGAGAATTTCAGAGATTCTGCAGATGTTTGACTTTAATCTCAATAAAAATGTATTTTAAACTTATAATAATAAAAAGTGGCCACTGTATGACGTACACTGTTTTAAACACTTTATATGTGATAATTTATTTAATTCTCGCCATAACCCTATGAAATAGAGTCTATTATTTGAGAAAATAGGCACAGACAATAAGTTGCCCAAAGACTGCAGAGCTATAGTGGCAGAGCTGGATTTGAAACCGGGCAGCCTAATTCTTAAGCTTGTATTCTTAACCATGTTTTTACACTGCCACTAAAGCAACACACACATATACTCTTTGAAAGAAATGTGGTAAAGTATGCATAACATACAAATTACCATTTTAACTATTTTTAAGTGTACAGTTCAGTGGCTTAAGTACATTATTGTGCCATCATCACCACCATCTCCAGAAATTTTTTATCATCCCAAACTGAAATTCTTCCCATTAAACAGTAATTCTACAAGCCACAGTGCGCTATGATCATGCACACTGGGTGACAGAGTGAGACCCTGTTCAAAAACAAAACAGTAACTATCCACTTCCCTCCCTCTACCCTACCCTCCTAGTAACAACTTTTCTACTTTTGACTCACACAATATTGATTCTTGTGTCTGGCTTATGTTACTTAACACACTGTCTTCAAGATCATCCATGTAGGATGTATCATAATTCCATTCCTTTTTCAGACTGATTAATATTCCGTTGTATGTATATACCACATTTATGGATATTTGGGTTGTTTCCACCTTTGGGGTACTGTGAATAATGCTGCCTTGAGTATTGGTATACAACTGTTTGAATCCCTCCTTTCGGTTCTTTTTTCAGTATTTCTATACACCCAGAAATGGGATTGCTAGATTGTATGCTAATTCTATATTTAATTTTTGAGGAACTGCCATATTGCATTCCACAGCAGCTGCACCATTTTACATTCCCACTAGCAATGCACAAAGGTTCCAGTTTCTCTGTATCTTGCCAACACTTCTTTTCTAGTGTTTTTTCTTTTTATGTTTTTGATAATAGCTATTCTAATGGGCGTGGTGTGGTATTTCATTGTGGTTTTGATTTGAATTTTCCTAATGATTAGGGATGTTGAGCATCTTTTCGTATGCTTATTGTCCATTTGTATATCTGAGGAGAAATGTCTATCCAAGTCCTTGACTCATTTTTAAAGTAGGTTGTTTTTTGGTGAGTTGTAGGAGTTCTTTGTACACTCTGGATATTAATCCCTTATCAAATATATGATTTGCAAACATTTTCTCCCATTTTATGGGTTATCTTTTCACTGTCTTGATAGTATCCTTTTGCACAAATTTTTTTTTTTATACTTCAAGTTCTGATGTACATATGCACAACGTGCAGGTTTGTTACATAGGTATACGTGTGCCATGTTTGTTTGCTGCCCCCATTGACTCGTCATTTACATTAGATATTTCTCCTAGTGCTATCCCTCCCCCAGCCCCCCACTCCCCAAACACAAAAGTTTTAAATTTTGAGGAAGTCCAATTTATTTTTTCTTCTGTCTGTGCTTTTGGTGTTATATCCAAGAGGCTGTAGCCAAATCCAATGTCATGAAGGTTTTCCCTGTTTTCTTTTAGGAGTTTTATAGTTTCAACTCTTATGTTTAGGTCTTTGATCCATTTGGGATTAATTTTTGCAAATGTGTTAGGTAAGGGTCCAACTTCATTCTTTTGCATATCCAGTTTTCCCAGCACCATTTGTTGAAAGGACTGTCCTTTCCCCATTGAATGGTTCTGGCACTCATACTCATTCATATATACACATGTGTATATTTATATGTATGCATGTGTGTATATAATTTTTTTTTTTTTTTGAGATGGAGTCTTACTCTGTTGCCCAGGCTGGAGTGCAATGGCACAATCTCAGCTCACTGCAACCTCTGCCTCCCAGGCTCAAGCGATTCTCCTGCCTCAGCCTCCCGAGTAGCTGGGATTACAGGCATGCACCACCGTGCCCAGCTCATTTTTGTATTTTTAGTAGAGACAGAGTTTCATCATGTTGCCCAGGCTGATCTTGAACTCCTGACCTCAGGTGATCTACCTACCTCGGCTTCCCAAAGTGCTGGGATTACAGGCGTGAGCCATCACGCTTGGCCTAAATTTTTTTTAACACATTGAAGACCATAGTGCTACATGGTTATACGTGGCTAATTTTGGGGGTGCGATGGGGCAGAAATTCCTAAGAATAAAGCTTTTCCTTTTATTGTTTAAAACATTTGGATCAGTGTATTTGAAGAGTATCCTGAAGACTGTAGATGGGACTGTTAAGAGCTGCAACTGCTTACCTGGGTGAAATCAAAACAAAGCATACAAAAATAAATGGATTGTTTAACATCTCTAACCCTTAGTTTATCTCTTTATTTGAGTTTACAATAAATTAACATAATGTATTTGAACATAAAATAGCAATGCTTTTGCCAGCTTTATATATTTGAGAGGCTGTGTAAAATTTCATCTGGATGAGTTTTGTTGTGAAATAGTTTTTAAAACTCCAGACTGTATGATCTCTAAAGCTTTTTCATATGCTCTTCTTGCTATTAAGGTATTTTTCATGCTTTAAGGCAGATGTCTTAAACTATATCACTTATGTCTTATAAATTGGCTTTTTGAAAAGTATATATGTATTTGCTCTTAATAAAATGCATACTGTTTTTCTGCTCTAAGCAGAGCTAGGCATAATAGAGAAATCTAAGATAGGTATTCTGTTCTCCACAATAGAGAGGATGCCAGTTTAGGTATAAAATACGAGGAATCAGTAGAAGATGACACTGAAGACGCAGGGACCACAAAGAAGCAGAAGGGTCTTTGAGTTGAAAATGGGTGAACAGATAAAGTTTACAAAAGGAGGAACAAGTCATCCCTTTAGATGAGAAGAAAAACAAGATCAGGAAGCCAAGGATTTACCATTATGTTAGACTATTAAAATTTAAGCCCCATGGTGAAGAATGGTGATAGCTAGCAAAAATTGGACTGTAAACATATTCAGTAGGCCCAGTATTATTGTAGAATCTTAAGTCAATTTTGCAATGGTATTTAAAACTTTGGCCGGGTGCAGTGGCTCATGCCTGTAATCCCAGCACTTTGGGAAGCCAAGGTGGGTGGATTGCCTGAGGTGGGGAGTTTGACACCAGCCTGACCAACATAGAGAAACCCCATCTCTACTAAAAATACAAAAAATTAGTCGGGCGTGGTGGCGCATGCCTGTAATCCCAGCTACTCAGGAGGCTGAGGCAGGAGAATTGCTTGAATCTGGGAGGTGGAGGTTGCGGTGAGCCGAGATGGCGCCATTGCACTCCAGCCTAGGCAACGAGAGCAAAACTCTGTCTCAAAACAAAACCAATAAAAAACTTGGATGCTTTTGGAAATTACTTTTAGAAGGATTTTACTGAGTTTGATAAGTGAAGAAAAGTATTAGGTTAAATCAGTAGAGCAGGCCAGGTGCGGTGGCTCATGCCTATAATCCTAGTATTTTGGGAGGCTGAGGCAGGTGGATCGCTTGAGCCCAGTTTGGGACCAGCCTGAACATGGCAAAACCCTGTCTCTACAAAATATACAAAAATTAGGCAGGCATGGTGATGTGTGCCTGTAGTTGCAGTTAACTCGGGAGGCTGAGATTGGGAGCATCACCTGAGCCTGGGAGGTCAAGGCTGCAATGACAGAGTGAGACCCTGTCTCAAAAAAAAAAAAAAAAAAAAAAAAATATATATATATATATATATATATATAGCAAAACAACCAGTAATATGACTTGAAAATATATTCTTTATATATCCCAAATTTTGCATGTTTCCCAAATATAATTTGTTCTAATTTTCCAATAATGTTTACTTTATAAAGGATAATTATTTCTTGGCTCATTTGGTTTATTTCATATTGTAACAAATGACATTGGAAACTGGTAAAGGAAATCAGTGATCCTACTTATCTGTGAATAGTGTACTTAATAAGCAGTAATGGTTCAAAATTTTTTTACCCTAAGTTTTTAGAATAAACATATACAGTTTAAGGCAGCAACAATGAATATGATACGTTATATTTGAAAAATCTTGGTTATAGTACTCATTAACACAGAAATTTCCAAATCTGGCTCTTGAATCTGTTTATTATGTTACTGGTTTTTAATGCTTCTCTTAGCTGACAAGGCAGCTCATGTAGGAACATATATCCAAAAAGAAGAAGTGCCTCTTCGGCTGTACTTTCTATTAGGAGATACTGTTAAGTTTGTATCCATCAATTATGCAGATTGGGCTAGTACAAAGTTTGTTCTCCCTATTTGTCAATCAGCTATTCTTGCAAATCAGTGTGAGGATTTGTATTTATAAAGTTTTAATAAATGGATTCAAAATCCACCAAAACTGTGTTTGGAAGGCATTTAAAAAGTTAGAAATGGCTTCTCTGTTCTTAGAGTGTGTAGATATGAGTATTTTAAGATGACACATTTTTTTTTTTTAGAATACAGCTATTTTCTTACTAAGTTTTAAAATGTCTCATTTACCTTTAAGGTACAGATGCATTAACCATGTTTCTGTTTTTAGAAACTATGTCTAGGTAGCATACTGCCACAGCACAGCCACTTACAACAGAAATTCAGCAAATTTAGAACTCTACTCTTTTTATAAAAGATAAATGCTTACTTCATCTTTAAATTGCACAATTTTTTAAATGATTTGCCATGAGACAAACCTGTTTGGTACAAAATACCATGATCACTCCTTAACAACATCAATAACAACATCCGTTAACACTTGGCTCTGTTCTTGCTTCAGTTTCTCTTTTATTCTGCTTTGCCCTTGGACTTAAACCTTACCCTCTCCTCCACCTTTGTTTCATTGAGGTCAAAGCAGCTGCTTCATGAAGGATTATATAATACAGTTTTCTATACTTTTTTTTTTTTTTTTTTTTTTTGAGATGGAGTTTCACTGTTGTTGCCCAGGCTGGAGTGCAATGGCTCAATCTTGGCTCACCACAACCTTCGCCTCCCGGGTTCAAGCGATTCTCCTGCCTCAGTCTCCCGAGCAGCTGGGAATACAGGCATGCGCCAACACGCCCGGCTAATTTTTTGTATTTTTAGTAGAGACGGGGTTACTCTGTGTTGGTCAGGCTGGTCTCGAACTCCTGACCTCAGGTGATCCGCCCACCTCAGCCTCCCAAAGTGCTGGGGTTACAGGCATGAGCTACCACGGCCAGCACATAAAACGTTTTTATTGAGGAAATCATTTACTGTTGAGAATATGTCTTCTCTGGAATACCAGTCTCTCGTAGAAGCTTACAAAAGGGTAGATCCTTTATTATTGAAAAAGAATCAATGTATTAAAGATAGTAATTACTATCACTCTAGCCTCACAATACCTACAATTATTTAATACCAGAATACTTATGTTACTTTGTATGGTGTGTGATTCTCTGACAGGTGGCCACGGTGAAGACGCCAGTGTCTGTATGTTAAGGATAAATATGTATTATATATAAAATACATGTGTGTATTAAGATAAGGATTAAATAAAAATAGAACTTCTAATAAGATGTTCGTATACCCCAGTGAATCATCACTCATACATCCTGGGGTATAAATGGAGGTAACCATTTTGGAAACTACTATACAGTCTTACTGAAGTATTGTTAGGCCAAGCACGGTGGCTCACGCCTGTAATCCCAGCACTTTGGGAGGCCAAGGTGGGCGGATCACCTGAGGTCAGGAGTTCTAGACCAGCCTGGCCAATGTGGCAAAACCCTGTCTCTACTAAAAACACAAAAATTAGCTGGGTGTGGTGGCATGTGCCTGTAATCCCAGCTACTCAGGAGGCTGAGGCAGGAGAATTGCTTGAACCTGGGAGGGAGAGGTTGCAGGAGCTGAGATCGCACCATTGCACTCCAGCCTGGGTGACAGAGCGAGACTCTGTCTCAAAAAAAAAAAAGAAAAAGAAAAATTGTTAATAATGAGCCTTTCATATTAAGTTCCACTTCATAGTGTATTGTATTTTTTTTTTTTTTTTTTTTTTGAGACAGAGTTTCGCTCCTATCTCACTGCAGTAGGCTCACTGCAACCTCTGCCTTCTGGGTTCAAGTGATTCTCCTGCCTCAGCCTCCCAAGTAGCTGGGATTACAGGTGCCCATCACCACACCCGGCTAATTTTTGTATTTTTGGTAGAGATGGGGTTTTACCATGTTGGCCAGGCTGGCCTTGAACTCCTGACCTCAGGTGATCTGCCTGCCTTGGCCTCGCAAAGTGCTGGGATTACAGGCCTGAGCCATCTCGCCTGGCCAGTGTATAGTATTCTTATATGAAGTCATCTTAAAGCACTTGGGACAAGACATTCTGGTTCTAATACTAATTGGAAAGTAATGTTTGTGGAAGAAAGTAGATAATTTCAGCAAAGTGAAATCATTCCACATTATATCAGAAATCATAATATCACTTTGTACCCCATAAATGTATATACCTATAATTTTTCAACACATACAGTAATAAAACATTTTTTTAAAAAACGTTAGCAAATTGAGACTTTAATAAAATTTATTCTTCAATACAGTCGAAATTATAGGCTTATTTCAGAAGCCTAAATTTGAATTTTGCATTATCCTTTTAGGAATTATTCAAGGTGAATTTAAAAGTACCCTTAATTAAAAATAAAAAATTAAGTATTTAACTTAGTAATTGAGTAGCATTTTATAGACTTACAGTTTTTTCATGTCCATAGTATTTTTTTTCGGAACACCTCCAGCAAGGTATACAACATTTTCCATTACCCTGCTCTTTATCTTTTCCTTCTCTCTGTTTTCTTTGCCTATCCCCAAAGCAACTGCAGTCATAGTTGCTTCAGCACAGGTAAGTTTTGCCTGTTTTATAACTTTGTATTAATTAAATCATAACCATGCTTTTGTCTCCAGCTTCTTGCATTCAGCATGTGCATTTTTTGTTTTGTTTTTCTGAGACAGAGTCTCACTCTGTTGCCCAGGCTGGAGTGCAGTGGCCCAATCTCAGCTCACTGCAAACTCCGCCTCTCAGGTTCAAGCAATTCTTCCACCTCAGCCTCCCAAGTAACTGGGATTACAGGTGTGCATCACCGTGCCTGGCTTATTTTTATTTTTTTGTATTTGTAGTAGAGATGGGGTTTTACCATGTTGGCCAGGCTGTCAGCATGTTTTTAGATTCATCCATGTTGTTGCTTATATCAGTAGTTCCTTTTTAGTGGTAATATTCAATTGTATGAATATGTTAATATGGCCAGGCATGGTGGCTCACACCTGTAATCCCAGCACTTTGGGAGGCCAAGGGGGTGGTGGATTGCCTGAGGTCAGCAGTTCAAGACCAGCCTGACCAACATGGTGAAACCCCATCTCTACTAAAAATACAAAAATTGGCATGGTGGTGGGCGCCTGTAATCCCAGCTACTCTGGAAACTGACACAGGAGAATCGCTTGAACCCAGGAGGCGGAGGCTGCAGTGAGCCAAGATTGTGCCATTGCACTCCAGCCTGGGCGACAGAGCGAGACTCCGTCTCAAAAAAACAAAAAAGAAGATGTTAATATACCAGATTTCTTATCCATTTTCCTGTTGGTGGGCAACTGGGCTGCTTCTAGTTTGGGACTATTCTGAAGAAAATGGTTATGAACATTTTTGCACAAGTCTTTTTATGGACAGATGTTTCATTTATCTTGGATAAAGGAGTGGGATTGCTAGGCCATTTAGATAGATGTTCCTCCTTTTAAAAACTTTGTATTGAAGAACAATACATAATCAGAAAATTGCATATATCAGAAGTGAATTCTAATTCTAATTCTGCTATGAAGTCTTTTAGGTTGCTTGTTTCTTTAAAAAATTTTTTATTGCCTTACTGAGGTATAATTTCTATATAATAAACTGCACATATTAAAGTGTACAATTTGGTAAGTTTTAATACACCCATGAAATCATCACTGTAATCAAAACTGAACATTTCCATCATCTCCCAAAGTTTCCTCATACCTCTTTGTAATTTGTCCCCCTCTACCCCTGTCTTACGGCAATCTGTCACTATGGATTGGTTTGCATTTTCTAGAATTTTATATAAATGGAATCATACAGTGTCTTGTTCCCTTCCCCTCCTAACCCACCCAAGTCTGGCTTGTTTTCATGCAGAATAATAATTTTTAGATTCTTCGATCTTGTTGCTTGGATTAGTTCCTTTTTATTGCTAAAGTATTCCATTATGCATATATGCCACATTTCGTTTTTCCAGGCACCTTTGATAGAAATTTAGGCTGTTTCCAATTGTGGACAGGTTTTCATTTCTTGAGGATGAATACCTATGAGGACGTGTTGGGTTATAGGGTAGGTGTATTTTTAACTTTAATTTTTAAAGTGGGCAAATTTTTCCAAAGTTGTATCATTTTATATCCAACAGCATAATATGACACTTGGTGTATATCCTAAGACTTGGTATTGTCAGTCTTTCTCATTCTAGCCATTTTAATGGGTATGTAATGATATAACCGTAGCTTTAATTCACCTTTCGCTGATTATTATTGATGTTGAGCAATGTAATGTTCTTAGTCATTTGGGAAGTGACAGCAAGTCTTTGCCCATTTAAAAAATAAGATTGTATATATTTTTTAAATTTAGTTTAACAATTATTTACTCGATACAAGTTCTTTATTGGATATATTTGCAAATATTTTCTCTTAGTCTGTAACTTAGCTTGTCTTTTTTATTTTTTACTTTTGAGACAGAGTCTCGCTCTGTTGCCCAGGCTGGAGTACAGTGGCGTGATCTCGGCTCACTGCAACTTCCACCTCCCAGGTTCAAGGGATTCTCCTGCCCCAGCCTCCCGAGTAGCTGGGACTACAGGCGCATGCCACCACACCCAGCTAACTTTGTATTTTTAGTAGAGATGGGGTTTCACCATGTTAGCCAGGATGGTCTCGGTCTCCTGACCTGGTGATCCACCTGCCTCGGCCTCCCAAAGTGCTGGGATTACAGGCCTGAGCCACTGCTCCTGGCCGTGTATTTTTTTAATGGTGTTTTTCAAAGAGCAGAAGTTTTTATATTGGGCTTCATCAAAATTACCAATTTTTCCTTTTATGGTTAGTGTCGTTTGTGCCCTAATAAATTTTTGCCTACACCAAAGTTCAGAAAGTATATTTCCATATTTTCTCCTTGGAGTTTATAATTTTAGCTTTTACATTTTAGTCTACAATCCATTTTGAATTAATTTTTGTTTATGAGTGATATCGAGCCCTCTGCCCCATTTATATCTAGTTGTGCCAGTGTCATTTGTTAAAAACACTTTCCTCATTGCCTACCTCAGTTCTGACGTGGTTTTTTTTTTTTTTTGAGACAGAGTCTCGCTCTTTCACCCAGGCCAGAGTGCAGTGGCACAATCTCAGCTCACTGCAAGCTCCGCCCCCCGTATTCACGCCATTCTCCTGCCTCAGCCTCCCGAGTAGCTGGGACTACAGGCGCCCGCCACCACGCCCAGCTAATTTTTTGTATTTTTAATAGAGACGGGGTTTAACCGTGTTAACCAGGATGGTCTTGATCTCCTGACCCCATGATCCGCCCGCCTCGGCCTCCCAAAGTGCTGGGATTACAGGCGTGAGCCACCGCCCCTGACCTCTGGCATCCTTACTGAAAATTGTTTGACATTTTATGTGTGGGTCTATTCCTGGACTTTCCATTCTGTTACATTGATGTGATTCTCTATCCTTTTGCCAGTACTACATTGTCTTGATTATTTAGCTGGATAGTGAGTCTTGAAATCAGGTAAAATTCATTCCTCCCCTACTCTTTTCAAGGTTCTTTTCTTTTTCTTTTTTTTTTTTTTTTTTTTTGAGACAGAGTCTTGCTCTGTTGCCCAGGCTAGAGTGCAGTAACGTGATCTCAGCTCACTGCAATCTTCCAGGTTCAAGCGATTCTCCCACCTCAGCCTCCCGAGTAGCTGGGATTACAGGTGCCCGCCACCATGCTCGGCTAATTTTTGTAGTTTTAGTAGAGATGAGGTTTCACGATGTTGGCCAGGCTGGTCTCGAACTCCTGACCTCAGGTGATCCGCCTGCCTCAGCCTTCCAAACTGCTGGGATTACAGGTGTGAGCCACTGCACCCAACCCTTTTCAAGGTTCTTTTGGCTAGTCTAGGTCATTTGCTTTTCCATATAAATTTTAGAATACTCTTGTCAGTTTCTGTAAAAAAATGCCCACTGGGACATTGGTTGTAATTACATTGAATACCTAGTTCATTTTGGGGGAGAATAGGCATTGATAATATTGCATCTTCTAATCTATTAAGATGGCATATCTGTCCGTTTATTTAGAGCTTACACAGCAATGTTTATATTTTTCAGTTGCCTTACAATGTATTACATAAACACTGCATGCTGTCCTATTTCATTTCCTACAGCTACATCATTATTTACACATAGCTTTATTTTTATGATATAAATCGAGATTTGGTATGGAGATTTTTCCATATGATAACATCTAATTCATAACAGGACCATCTACTCTGATGTGACAATGCTAGAAATACAGGAGACTAAAACAGATATCTTTTGTTATGCAAAAGTAGAAGTTTAAAGCTGTATAGTTTATTGGCACAATTCTTTTGGCTTGTATGGTTTTGGATATTAATATTTAAAGAGGCCAATCTTTAAAGATAGTCTGATACTTTTAGAATCAGATGTAAAGTAGAATCTTGTCAGGTGAGTTGGTGTGTAAGTTTTTACCCAGTGATGATTTTGAGTTTGCATTTTGTAGTTTCCTTTTTTCTTTCTTTCACTAATAATATTAATGGAAATATGCAACACAGATAAATGTATAAAAAAGAAAATAAGACTTAATCCTACTATCCAGAAATGACTACAGTTAAAATTTTTGGTATATTCTCCTCATATGTGTGTGTACATTTTATAGTTCATTGTTGCATGCACAATTTAGTTATTTAAATGTATATCATTAACTTAGAACATCTGCCTTATAATAATATAATGTGTGGGGGGGTGTTCTCTTTATGCTTCCATGTTGTTTAAAGTTACTGTACAATAAGCATATGTTACATTTTTATTTCGAATATTTTTTAAAAATAAAATTTGTTTTTAATTTTGAAACATTTTAACCAAAGTATAAAACATGATAGACATCTACATATTCACCACCAGTAGTAGCCAATTGTTACACTTTGCTCCAAATAATTTCCTTTAAAGAGGTGTAATGTATACAATGAAAATCTTCCTCCAGGTAATTTGTGGTGTTCCCGCCATGTTTTAGTCCATTTAATACATACGTATGTATCCATAAAATTTTACTTAATATTCTTCTGTGCTTTTGAATTTTATATAAACAATATATATTTATATTTTTCAAAAATCTGCATTTTTGGCTGGGTGCAGTGGCTCATGCCTGTAATCCCAGCACTTTGGGAGGCCAAGGTGGGCAGATCACCTGAGGTCAGGAGTTCGAGACCAGCCTGGCCAACATGGTGAAACCCCGTCTGTACTAAAAATACAAAAATTAGCTGGGTATGGTGGCACCTACCTGTAATTCCAGCTACTCGGGAGGCTGAAGCAGGAGAATCACTTGAACCTAGGAGGCAGAGGTTACAGTGAGCCAAGATTGTGTCACTGCACTCCAGGCTGGGCAACAGAGCAAGACTCCGTCTCAAAAACAAAACAAAAACCCCAAAACCTGCGTATTTTACTGATCATATGATTGACGTGATTTATGCTGATTCATAGATCCAGTTCATTCTTTTTATCAGAATGAGCCGATTTTTCCATTCCCCTTTTGGGGGACAGTTAGATAGTTAGGATGCCCCAGTGAACATTATTTTACATTTCTCCTGGTGCTCCAGTTGGACACTTAGAAGTGGTATTGCTGGTTCACAAGATATGTGTTTTTCAAATGGCTCTCCAAAGTGATGAGGAATATATGTCCTACCAGAATGTTCCTATTGTTCCACATCCTCACCAGCCCCTGGTTTTATCACACTATTTTTGCCAACTTTATGAGTCTGATGGTTTCTTTTTTTTAACCTTCTTTAGTATGTTTCTAGAAGTATGGTTATTAGAAATAAGGAGTTCTGTAGTTTTTTTTTTTTCCTTTTTGAGACAGAGCTTCACTCTTGTTGCCCAGGCTGGAGTGCAATGGCATGATCTCAGCTCACTGCATCCTCCACCTCCTGGGTTCAGGCGATTCTCCTGCCTCAGCCTCCTGAGTAGCTCGAACTACAGGCAAGTACCACCATGCCCAGCTAATTTTTTATTTTTAGTAGAAACGGGGTTTCACCATGTTGGCCAGGCTGGTTTCGATCTCCTGACCTCAGGTGATCCACCCGCCTCGGCCTCCCAAAGGGCTGGGATTACAGACATGAGCCACCATGCCTGGCGTGGTTTTTTTTTTTGAGGCAGGGGCTCCCTTTGTCACCCAGGCTGGAGTACAGTAGTATGATCACAGCTTACTGCAGCTTTGATTTCCCAGGCTCCAGTGATCCTCCCACCTCAGCCTCCCAAGTTGCTGAGACCACAGGTGGTTGCCACCAGGCCTGGGTAATTATTTTTTTTTCTTTTGGTACAGATAGTTTTCCACCATGTTTCTCAGGCTGGTCTCGAACTCTTGAGCTCAAGCCATCCACCCACCTTAGCCTCCCAAAGTGCTAGGATTACAGGTGTGAGCCACTGTGCCTGGCCTCTGTGGTATATTTTTTAATCCGTGGAAACTATTATTTCAAGTGTCATTAAGAAATTCCAGTGACAAAGCTTTTAAAAGAATTTTGACTAAAAGCACTGTTTCTGTTTATTCACTCACTGTAAGGTTAAAAGTGCTTTCTCTATAGGAAAATGTTACCTATTGTGGCTGTATGAGTGTTTGATACTGGAGAATTGCCTGAAATGCATTAGCTCCCATGTTGTGACATCTGTGTAGATAACTTAGATGATTATTTGTCCAACAGGACCCATGGCTGCTTTTTTTTCCTGTTAGTTTTTTTGTTGGGGAACATATTTAATTTTTGGTAATCATGGATACTTGAGTAAAAATATCATGGTTGGGTTTTTATTTTATTTATTTCCTTTTATTATCTTATTATTATCTTGTTATTTCCAGTATGATATTGAAAAAGAGTGGTCAGAGTGGACATCCTTATCTTGTTCCTGATCTTAGTGGGAAAGCTTCAAGTTTCTAACCATTAAGTGTTATGTTAATTGTGGGGTTTTTTTGTAGATTTTATTTATCAAGTTGAGGAAGTTCCCCTTTATTTCTAGCCTACTGAGAATTTATGAATGAGTACTGGATTTTGTCAAATGCTTTTTCTACATCTATTGATATGATCATGTGATTAAAAAAAATTTTTTTAGCCTGTTGATGTAATGGATTGTATTAATTGATTTTCAAATGTTAAGCTAGCCTTGCATACTTGAGATAAATCTTACTTGGTCATGGTGTATAATTATTTTTATACATTGTTGGGTTCAATTTGTTAATATGTTGTTGAGGATTTTTGCATCTATGTTCATGAGATAATGGTTTATAGTTTTCTTTTCCTATAATGTCTTTCTCTGGTTTTGGTATTAGGATTATGCTGGCTCATGAGTTACTATGTATTATTCCCTCTGCTTCTATCTTCGAGAAGAGATTGTAGAGAATTGGTATAATTTCTTCACTAAATGTTTGGTAGAATTCACAATGAACCCATCTGGGCCTTGTGCTTTCTATTTTGGAATTATTAATTATTGATGGAGTTTCTTTAGTAGGTACAGGCCTATTCAGATTGTCTATTCTTGTTTGAGTTTTGACAAATTGTGTCTAACAAGGAATTGGTTCATCTCATCTGAGTTATCAAATTTATAGGCATGGAGTTTGTTCATAGTATCCTTTTTTTCTTTCTTTAAAGAGACAGGATTTTGTTCTGTTGCCCATGCTAGAGTGCAGTGGTGGGATCATAGCTCACTGTAACCTTGAACTGGGCTCAAATGATCCTCCTACCTTAGCTTCCCAAGTAACTAGGACTACAGGCACATGCTATCATACTCAGCTAATTTTTAAATTTTTTTGTGGAGAAGGGGGTCCTGCTATGTTGCTCAGGCTGGTGTTGAACTCCTGGCCTCAAGCAATCCTCCCGCTTGGCCTCTCAAAGCACTAGGATTGTAGTTGTGAGCCACCACACCTGGCCTATAGTAGTTTTTTGTTTTTTTTTTGTTTTTTTGTTTTTTTTGTTTGGAGATGGTGTCTCACTCTGTTGCCCAGGCTGGAGTGCAGTGGTGCGATCTCGGCTCACTACAACCTCCACCTCCTACATTCAAGCAATTCTCATGCCTCAGGCTCCCAAGTAGCTGGAATTCCAGGTGCCTGCCACCACACCTGGCTAATTTTTGTATTGTTTTAGTAGAGATGGGGTTTCACCATGTTGGCCAGGCTGGTCTCAAACTCCCGACCTCAAGTGATCTGCCAACCTTGTCCTTTCAAAGTGCTGGGACTACAAGTGTGCACCACTGTGCCCAGCCTTATAGTATTCTTTTATTTTCCTTTTAATGTCTGTAAGATCTGTAGTGGTGTCCCCTCTTTGATTTCTGATATTGGTAATTTGTGTTCTCTTTTTTTTCTTAGTTAAGCTACCTAGAAGCTTATCAATTTTATTGATTTTTTAAATTTAATTTTATTAAGAACCAGCTTTGGTTTTGATTTTTCTCCTTGATTTCCCATCTTTGGTTTCATTGATTTCTGCTCAGATTCTTATTATTTCTTCTGTTTATTTAGGATTTAATTTGCTCTTCTTGTTCTAGATTTCTAAGGTAGAAACTTAGATTGTTGATTTTAGGTCCTCTTTTCTAATGCAGACATTCAATGCTATAAATGTCCCTCTAAGCATTGCTTTTGTTGCATCCCACAAACTTGGTAAATTGTGTTTTCATTTTCATTTTATTTAAAATATTTTTAAAATTTCTTTTGAGATTTCTTCTTTGACCCAGGTGTTATTTAAGAGGTTGTTGTGTAATCTCATGTATTTTGATATTTTTTTCAATTATGTTTGTGACTGATTTCTAGTTTAGTTACATTGTGCTCTGAGAGCAGACATTATATATGGTTTCTATTATGTTACATTTGTTAATGGTGTGTTTTATGGTCCAGAATGTGATCTGTCTTGGAGTATATTCAGTGTGAGCTTGAGAAGAATATGTATTCTGTTCTTGGATGAATTAGCGCATAGATGTCAGTTATATCCAGGTGATTGATGGTGTTATTGAGTTCAACTATATCTTTACTGATTTTTTGCCTGCTGAATCTGCCCATTTCTGATAGAGAGGTATTCAAGTCTCCAGCTATGATAGTGGATTCATTTCTTTCTTTTCTGTCTTTTTTTTTTTTTTTTTTTTTTTTGCCTCTCATAGTTTGATGCTCTGTTGTTAGGCACATATGCATTCAGGATGTAATGTCATCTTGGAGACTCGACCCTTTATCATTATGTAATACCCTTCTTTATCCCTAATAACTTTCCTTGCTTTAAAGTCCACTGTGAAATTAAGTTAGCTCCTCCTGCTTTCTTTTGATTAGTGTTAGGATGGCATATTTTTCTCTGTTGGTTTACTTTTCATCTATTTGTGTCTATATTAAAGTGGGTTTCTTGTAGACAACAGAGTTGGGTCTTGTCTTTTGATCCACTTTGACAAAAACTTTTTCTTTCTTTCTTTATTTTTTTTTTTTGAGACGGAGTCTTTCACTCTGTCACCCAGGCTGGAGTGCAGTGACGCGATGTCGGCTCACTGCAAGCTCTGCCTCCCGGGTTCACACCATTCTCCTGCCTCAGCCTCCCGAGTAGCTGGAACTACAGGCGCCCACCACCACGCCCAGCTAATTTTTTTGTATTTTTAGTAGAGACGGGGTGTCACCGTGTTAGCCAGGATGGTCTCGATCTCCTGACGTCATGATCCGCCTGCCTTGGCCTCCCAAAGTGCTGGGATTACAGTCATGAGTCACTGCGCCTGGCCTTTTTTCTTTTTCTTTTTTTGAGACATAGTCTCACTCTGTTGTCTGGGCTGGAGTGCAGTGGTGCTATCTCAGCTCACTGAAACCTCTGCTTCCCAGGTTCAAGCCTCCCAAGTAGCTGGGATTACAGATGCACACCATCAAACCTGGCTAATTTTTGTATTTTCAGTAGAGACGGGGTTTCACCATGTTGGCCAGGCCGGTCTCAAACTCCTGGCCTGAACTGATCTGCCCGCCTTGGCCTCCCAAAATCTGGGATTACAGGCGTGAGCCATCACGCCCCGCCAACAAAAATCTCTTTCAATTGATACATTTAGACTGTTGATGTTCACAGTGGTTATTAATATAATTGGATTAATATCTGCCATATTTATTACCATTTGCTATTTCTTGACCTTGTTTTTTTATTCCATTTTGTATTCTACTCTTTTTCTGCCTTTTAATTGAGCATTTTATATGATTCAGTTTTCTCTCCTTTCTTAGTGTATCAGTTGTATTTCTCTTACTTTTTTTTAGCGGTCACCCAAGACTTTGCAATTTACATATACAACTAATTGAAATCCACTTTCAGATAATAGTGTACCACTTCATGGGTGTAATGTGAGTACCTTATAACAAAATATGAATTCCTCTCTCCTGTCTTTTGAACCATTGCTGTAATTCACTTATATGTAAGCATACATAAGCATATATATATTATCTATACATAAGCTTACGTAATCACGTATATTGTTGCCATTATTTTGAACAAACTATTATCTTTAGATCAATTAAGAAGAGTAAAAGTTATACCTTCACTGATTTCTTCTTTGATGCTCTTCCTTTATGCCAGTTTGAGTGTCTTAACTATATCATTTTCCTTATTTCTAATGTACTTCTTTTAATATTTCTTGCAAAGCACTTCTACTGGCAACAAATTCCTCCAACTATTGTTTGTCTGAGAAAGTATTTCTCCTTCACTTTTGAAGGGTGATTTTGCCAGGTACAGAATTCTAGTTTGGTTGGTTTCTCTCAACACTTTAAATGTTTCTCTCCACTCTCTTGCTTGCATGGTTTCTGAGAAGTTGGATATAATTTATATGTTTGTTCCTCTGTAGGTAAGTTGATGGAACTACTCAGTGTTTGAGTTGGGATTCCAACTCAAGTGGTCTAATAACCAGACAGCCCCGTTCTTAACAGAATGAAGTTCATTTTCTTCAACTGGCAATGCATACCAAACAGTGATACAATAAAAGACACCAGCTTAGCCATTTCTGCCAATTTAGCCGAATGTCATTTTAGCATATTGTGGATATGAGGCCATTCATGTGAACCTTTTAGCTATGATGAAAAACAGGGCACTAAACTTGACACTGCCTGACCATTATTAGTTCTAGCCAATGTGGCAAGATTAGAATCGCTGTTATTTTGAAAATCCCCTTCTCTTTTTACACAGTATACCGTCAAACAGAACTTGCAATGGTTATGCATTGTTAATGGTTTCTTTATTGTACATTAGTTAAATTACAGATTTTTAAAGTTTTGCTTAAATTTTATTGAGAGGTTAACACAAAAGATAATTATAAGTAGCCTATAAAATATTTTTAATATATTATCTGAGACTGTGAATGTCAGTTTCTTCATTATAATGGATGGAGATGATACCCTCTACTTTCCTACTTTTCAAAACTGGAGTATTGTACCCCTAGGTCCCCTCAAAGTGTATGTACACATGCACACAGGGTTGGGGATTGGGAGGGAGAGATTGGGAATGCAAAACCACATAATAAATATGGCAGCATTATTCTGAAGCTTTAGTTTTACTTAGTTTTAAACACTTTTTCTATTCTAATTGGTATTATATGAAGCAGAATGTGGAATTGATGTGGATTTTCAAGATTGTTAAATGAAAAACAAATTTGGCCAGGTGCGGTGGCTCATGCCTGTAAGCCTAGCACTTTGGGAGGCTGAGGCGGGTGGATCATGAGGTCAGGAGATTGAGACCATCCTGGCTAACACGGTGAAACCTCGTCTCTACTAAAAATACAAAAAATTAGCTGCACGTGGTGGTGGGCGCCTGTAATTCCAGCTACTCGGGAGGCTGAGGCAGGAGAATGGCATGAACCCGGGAGGCAGAGCTTGCAGTGAGCCGAGATCACGCCACTGCACTCCAGCCTGGGCGACACAGCGAGACTCCGTCTTAAAAAAACAAAAAAACCCCACAAATTTTAGATGTGCGACATGCTGCCCACCCTGGGGGGATACTGCTCATTGTCTCACTGGTAGCCACCCTCTAAGCTTCCTGGAATCCATATTTTGTTGTACACTAAGTTGAATTTTATTCTCTCATAACCATGACCATATTAACTATTTAAACAAATGAATACACAGAGAGTAAAAACAAAAACAAAAACAAAAAAACCCTAAAAGTATTAAATTAGAAGTCAAAGCACCTCAGACAATTTCTAAACTCCTGAGACTTCATTTGAACTAGGGCAGAGCAGATAGCTGTGGCTGTCTTTGGACTGTGAAGGTGGGAAAGCTGGCTCCCTAAACTGCTCCCTCCCCTTAAGTAATAGAGTAAAGAGTAGCTGGCAGCAGATACCTTACTCCGGAATTAAGATTGGAGAGAGGGCCAGGTGTGGTGGCTCATGCCTGCAATCCCAGCACTTTGGGAGGCTGAGGCAGGTGATCACTTGAGGCCAGGAGTTTGAGACCAGCCTGCCCAACATGATGAAACCCTGTCTCTATTAAAAATACAAAAATTAGCTGGGTGTGGTGGTGTGCCTGTAATCCCAGCCACTCTGGAGGCTCAGGCAGGAGAATCACTTGAACCCGGGAGGTGGAGGCTGCAGTGAGCTGAGATCACACCACTGCACTCCAGCCTGGGCGACAGAGAGAGTCTCTGTATAATTTTTTTGATTTTTTTTTTTTTTTCTTGAGACTGAGTCTTGCTCTGTCTCCTGGGCTGTAGTGCAGTGGCGTGATCTCGGCTCACTGCAACCTCTACCTCCCAGGCTTAAGCAATTCTCCTGCCTCAGCCTCCCGAGTAGCTGGTATTATAGGCGCCTGCCACCACACCTGGCTAATTTTTGTATTTTTAGTAGAGACGGGGTTTCACCATGTTGGCCAGCTGGTCTCGAACTCCTGACCTCAAGTGATCTGCCCACCTCAGTCTCCCAAAGTGCTGGCATTATAGGTGTGAGCCACCGCGCCTGGCCTTTTTTTTTTTTTTTTTTTTTGAAATAGAGTCTCGGGCGGGGCATAATGTGGTGGATTGTAGTCCCAGCTACCTGGGAGGCTGAGGCAGGAGAATGGCATGAACCTGGGAGGTGGAGCTTGCAGTCTGCCGAGATCACACCACTGCACTTCAGCCTGGCCGACAGAGCGAGACTCTATCTCAAAAAAAAAAAAAAAAAAAAAGATTGAGAGAAAAGACTGATAAATAGGAAGAAATTGAGAGTGAAGTCAGTAATTAAATAGTAGAAATTCAGACAAAAATAGAATGGGGTTGGAGGAGTGGAGGAAATCTTTGGTATCAACTAGTTCATCTATTCCCCCCCCCATTTTTCTGCAGATTAAGAAAGTGAGGGCTAAGGATTTAAATGATTTAACTCAAAGTTCTAGCTAGTTAGTGGCAGAATTAAGACAAGAATTTCAAGTCTCCTGATTCCTTGTTTAGTCCTAGATAACTAGGGAGATCTGGCAAACTGTTTATTAAACTAACGTTTTCAATTGTGTAAGATAATGAAAGTCTGTTTTTACTCATTCACACTTAGGACATAAACATGAAAGATTTACCTATTTGAGATTTCTTATGGACCAGAATTTGTGTTAAAATGTTAAGGGATGGCCGGGCGCGGTGGCTCATGCCTGTAATCCCAGCACTTTGGGAGACCAAGGTGGGCGGATCACCAGGTCAGGAGATCCAGACCATCCTGGCTAACACAGTGAACCCTGTCTCTACTAAAAAATAACAAAAAATTAGCCAGGCATGGTGGCATGTGCCTGTAATCCCAGCTACTTGGGAGGCTGAGGCAAGGAGAATCGCTTGAACCTGGGAGGCGGAGGTGGCAGTGAGCTAAGATGGCACCACTGTACTCCAGCCTGGATGACAGAGCAAGACTCTGTCTCAAAAAAAAAAAAAAAAAAAGGTAAGGGATGTTTAGCATATGTTGTTTAAATACCCAACAAACTCATTCCAAAAATTTCAATAAGTTTTTTAGACTATTCTTGTCACCCAAGGCAATTTTTGACTGTTAAATTCTATCTTACTTCCATTTGTGTCTCATTAATGTCAGGAATAATGATCCATCTCTGGTTGGATTTCTTACTCCTGGTGGAATAAAATGTTGAGGCATACAAACATGGAGGGAGAATTTGTTTGTTTTTTGTTTTTTGGGTTTTTTTTTTTTTTTTGAGACAGAGTCTCACTCTGTCACCCAGGCTGGAGTGCAGTGGCACAATCTTGGTGTGCACCACCACACCCAGCTAATTTTTGTATTTTTAGTAGAGACAGGGTTTCGTCATGTTGGCCAGGCTGGGCTCCAACTTCTGACCTCAAGTGGTCCGCCTGCCTGGGCCTCCCAAAGTGTTGAGATTATAGGTGTGAGCCACCACCACCCCTGGCCCATATTCTGCTTAATTCTTTTTTGTTTTTTTTGGAACGGAGTCTCACTCTGTCACCAGGCTGGAGTGCATTGGTGCGATCTCGGCTCTCTGCAACCTCTGCCTCCTGAGTTCAAGCGATTCTCCTGCCTCAGCCTCCCGAGTAGCTGGGACTATAGGGGAACACCACCACACCCAGCTAATTTTTTTTGTATTTTCAGTAGAGACAGGGTTTTACCATATTGGCCAGGATGATCTCAATCTCTTGACCTTGTGATCCTCCCACCTCTGCCTCCCAAAGTGCTGGGATTACAGGCATGAGCCACCGTGCCTGGCCGATTCTTAAAGTCTCTTTTAGCGACTGTGTGGATTTTGGTTTTTCATATATAGGAATTGGGAGTAGCTTTTTAAAGGGATACTGAAAGAGAACTCACAGGTTAAAATGGGGAGACAGCAAAGACATGGGAAATGGAAATGTAAAGAAGGTAGAGAATTTTGGAATGAAACCCTGGAAGGGAAGAGGAAGGGAGATTAAAGAAATTGAGAGGACAAACATTGTGACAAATGTACCGATAATTATACTTTGAATAGATTCTTTGTTAAAACTAGTTTGAGTTGGGTTTCTGTCAGGTGCAAGAACCCTTACTAATAGTCATTTGTTAATTTTTACCAGAGAGTCATTAACGCAGCTATTGAATCAAATCATATGCCTTGAAATAACCTTATAGAAATACTATTAAAATACTCTTCTGAAGCTAAAGTGCATTGCAGAATTTTCTGATTTTTCCTAACCATTCTTCTATTGATAGGGAAATTAATTTTGGAATGTGTTGGTTTCTTTTGATTAATATTTCTTTAAACTAGAACCAGATAAATTGGCCACTTTTTTTTTTTTTTAAAGAAATGTACCTTTAGCTTTGAGTCATCTTAAATTAGAAATACTTGGCAGAAAAAAGTCGAAATTTGCATCAAGAAAGAATATATTTCTGTGGTAGTTGCTCTGGGGTGAAAAATGAGAACCATATGGTTTCTCTCTTTCCAGAGCTTGCAATCTAGTTGGGTGTGGAGGGTGATAAGGCAAGTGCACCAGTAACCACCACATAATACAAAGCTGATTAGCTATAAATGCCATAGAGGTACAGAGTTCATGGGCTTCTCAGAGGAAGTGGCATCTAACTCCTCTCTTGTTTAACTAGCACACACTTAAACTTTTAGTTTTTTTTAAATTGAGATATACATAATATTTACTCTTTTTTTAAATTTATTTTTTAATACAGACAGAGTCTCGCTATGTTGCCCAGTCTGGTTTCGAACTCCTGGGCTCAAGCAATCCTCCTGCCTCACCCTCCCAAACATTTACTCTTTTAAAGTGTACACTCAGTGAGTTTTATTACATTCACAAGGTCATGCAACCTTCACCACTATCTTAATTCCAGAATAAACTTAAAAAATTCTAGTGTTTTTAGCTGAGGTGTGCTGTCACAGTTCCCAGACCTCACCACTCCCTATTGGTTTATATCTAACTACCACCACCAGTATGTATATTGGCTGCCTGACCCCTGCAGGTATTTGAGTTTGCATCCCAGGTTTGAGAGTTTGTTTTTGTAGTTTCAGTGACCCTGGAAGAAAATGTCTTAATTGCCTGGGGGATGCCACCCTGGAGAATACTCTCTGCTCTCCTGCAGAGCATCCTTTTTCCCATTTCTATTCTCTTAATCCTCTGGCTTCTTTATGAATGGTCCCTACCTCTACTACAGCCTTTGGTAAGGGATTACTTCCTATTACCCTCAAGAACCTCAAGAGGACTTTTTTTTTTTTTTTTTTTTTTTTTGAGATGGAGTTTTGCTCTATCACCCAGGCTGCAGTGCAGTGGCATGATCTCAGCTCACTGCAACCTCTGCCTCCCAGGTTCAAGCAATTTTCCTACGTTAGCCTCCTGAGCAGCTGGGATTACAGGCAGGCGCCGACAGTATTAAATGTATCTTTTATCAGTAATGAGTGGTAAAATGTCTTTCCTAGGAATTTTACATTTATGAGATAGAAACAGAAAGCAGACATCTTGAAGCTTTTTTGGTTGTATGTATTAGGCCATTCTCATATTACTATAAAGAAATACCTGAGACTGTATAATTTATAAGTAAAAGAGGTTTAATTGGCTCATGGTTCTGCAGGCTATACAGGAAGCATGATGCTGGCATCTGCTCTGCTTCTGGGGAGACCTCAGAAAGCTTATACAATCATGGTAGAAGGTGAAGGGGGAACAAGGCAGGTGACATGGCCGGAGCAGGGGCAAGAGTAGGGGGGAGGTGCCACACACTTTTAAATGACCACATCTCACAAGAACTCACTATTGAGAGGACAGCACCAAGGGGATGGTATTAAACTATTCATGAGAAACCACCTCCATGATCCAATCACCTCACACCAGGCCCCACCTCCAACATTAGGGATTACATTTGACATGAGATTTGCAGGGATACCCATCCAAACTATATCAGTGGGGGATATTTGATCAACTTTAGTAATACCTCCTATCTGGATGTTGGGAAGAGGTCAGGAAATATGTTAATGAATAATGCAAAATAGAAGTGATTTACTGTTTTACTCCTTTTGTTCTGACAGTAACAAAAGTAACACAGTTTTAATAATCAAAACATCTTTAAAAATACCCATCTTGAAGTCTGTATTTACTGTAAGCATTTCAATTTAATTAAATACTAACTTTGGATTTGGAACCGAATTCTGATTTTTTTCTGACCTACTTGTGATGTTAACGAACTTTTTAAAAAATTACTTATTTTTTTAGGGCCGGGTGTGGTGGCTCACGCCTGTAATCCAGGCACTTTGGGAGGCCAAGGTGGTTGGATCCCTTGAGGCCAGGGGTTTGAGAACAACATGGCAAAATCTCATCTCTATAAAAATACAAAAATTAGTCAGGTGTGGTGGTGTGCACCTGTAATCCCAGCTACTCAGGAGGCTGAGGCACAAGAATCACTTGAACCTGGGAGGCAGAGGTTGCAGTGAGCCAAGATCGTGTCACCACACTCCAGCCTGAGTGACAGAGCGACTCTCTCTTAAAAAAAAAAAAAAAAAAAAAAAATTATTTTTTAAATGACTCTTTTTGCATCTGTGAAAGGATGTCTGATGAATAAATATCTTTCTAAGATGCTAAATTTTTATAAATAAGCTAAAAAGGTTAACTGAGTAAGCAAGGCAAATATACTTTAGGAAAGGGAGCATATGCATACATAATAAAAACCATATATTGGAGAAATACACAATTATTTTTCAGTGTCCTTAGACTAAACGTATTAATTTAGTAAAAGTGTTTTATAGCTTGTCTTTTTTTCCTTTTCCTTAAATTTATTTCTGAAATTTAGATGATCTATTTGTTAACACACTGTTTTCCTAATTATAGCTTTCTGAGGGTAAAGACTTTTTTCTTTTTATCTCTCCTCCTTCATCTCTCTCTTTCTTAATTTATTTTGATATACTGTTGACACTTGAACAACACAGGTTTGCACTGTGTGGGTCTGCTTGTATGCAGATTTTTTTTCAGCCAAACATGGATCATTGTGGTGATGTGAAACCTACGTATATGGAGGGTTTACTGGACTTGAGTATGCATGATTTGGGTATAGGTGGAGGTCCTGGAACCAGTCCCCCTGGTGCCAAGGGAAAACTGTAATTTCAAACCTACAGAAAAGTTGTAAGAAGAATATAAACAACCTCAAGGCCAGGCGTGGTGGCTCACGCCTGTAATTCCAACACTTTGGGAGGCCGAGGCAGGCGGATCACCTGAGGTTGGGAGTTCGAGACCAGCCTGACCAACATGGAGAAACCCTGTCTCTACTAAAAATACAAAATTAGCCAGGCATGGTGGTGCATGCCTGTAACCCCAGTGTATATTTCTTTCTTTCTTCCTTTTTTTTTTTTTTTTTTTTTGAGACAGAGTCTTGCTCTGTTGCCCAGGCTGGAGTGCAGTGGCGCTATCTCAGCTCACTATACAAGCTCTGCCTCCCGGGTTTACGCCATTCTCCTGCCTCAGCCTCCCAAGTAGCTGGGACTACAGGCACCCACCACCACATGTGGCTAATTTTTTTGTATTTTTTTTTTTAAGTAGGGATGGGGTTTCACTGTGTTAGCCAGGATGGTCTTGATCTCCTGACCTGGTGATCCGCCCGCCTCAGCCTCCCAAAGTGCTGGGATTACAGGCATGAGCCACCGTGCCCGGCCCCAGTGTATATTTCTTAAGATCAAAGATGTTCTCTTACGTCACTGCAATACTGTTATCAAAATCAGGAAATGTAACATTGATTCAATACTGTGATCTAATCCAGTCATATTTTGTCAACTGTTCCAACATTGTCCTTATGGCTATGTTTAGATATTTTCCCTGGGTCTAAGATCCAGTCCAGGTTCAAGCATTGTATTTAGTTGTCATGTCTCTTTAAGTTCCATTGAATATGGAACATTTCCTTAGCCTTTCTTTGTTTCTTGGCCATCACATTATTGAAAAGTGTTGGCCAATTATTTTGTAAAATGTCTCTTATGATTTGATTCAGGTACTGCATTTTTTGCAGGAATAACTACAGTGATGTTGTATCCTTCCCAATGCATTATAACTGGAACCCTCTGATGTTGGTTTGCCTTTGTAGTGATGATATTTTGGTCACTTGGTTAAGGTTGTCTTCTGAGTAATTTGTGGGGAGATATTTTGAGAATATATGTCATCAAATTTTCACCTACTAGTTTTAGCCTCTATTGATGATTCTTGCCTTGATTTTTTAAAACTTAGCAACTTGGTTTTTAAATTACTTTTAAAATAAATACTTTATAATTATAACAGTGGTTGCAAAATGGTGATTTTTTTTTGTCATTTCATCTACATTAAGTAGTTGGCATTCTACAGTAAGTAAGAGCTTTCTTCTTTACTGTGTATATTTTATTTAATTCAATATGGATTTTGTGGCCAGGCACGGTGGCACACACCTGTAATCCCAGCACTTTGGGAGGCCGAGGTGGGCGTATCACCTGAGGTCAGGAGTTCAAGACCAGCCTGGTCAACATGGTGAAACCCTGTCTCTACTAAAAATAAAAAAATTAGCCGGGTGTGGTGGCAGGCGCCTGTAATCCCAGCTACTTGGGAGTCTGGGGCAGGAGAATCGCTTGAACCTGGGAGGTGGAGGTTGCAATGAGTTGAGATTGTGCCATTGCACTCCAGCCTGGGCAACCCAGAGTGAAAGTTCATCTCAAAAAAAAAAAAAATATATATATATATATATCTATATATATATATATATATATATAGATATAGATAGATATATAGATATAGATATATATATAGATATATAGATATAGATATATATATAGATATATATATCTAGATATATATAGATATATATATAGATATATATATATATAGATATATATCTATATATGGATTTTAGTCAGTGGATTATAATTTGTTTCTATCATAATTTATTTCAGTATTTAACTTTTCACAGATTAGACCCCTGATCTGGGCCTTCAGGCTGGTTCCTGTGTCCATTTGACATGTGCCTATCATTAATTGAGGACTTTTTGCCACTAGATGATGTTCTAGAGGCTCATCTTGTTTTTTGTTTTTTGTTTTTTGTTTTTTTTTGAGACGGAGTCTCGCTCTGTTGCCCAGGCTGGAGTGTGCAGTGGCACGATCTCTGCTCACTGCAAGATCTCATCTTGTTTTTTTTCCCTGCCCTGCCCTGGAATTACTACTCCAGGTGTCTGTTACTTTTTGTGTAGAGTGTATACAGTATTTTGAAACCAAAAACTGGGAACCAAGTGTGCTAATTAATTACCTGGTGTCATTGCCACCAGGCTTTTTCAGTGGACATACCTACAAACACATAATACACACATCTCTGTCTTTATTTCTGCCCATCTTTTTGTCTGTTTGAAACCTTGAGTTTATTTATACTGATAATTCAATACCTAATCCAAATGACTTCCAAGCTATAGGCTACGTCTATTTGTTACCCCCTTTCCTCTCAAAGCATGGGTTGCCTCTGGGATTGGATTTCTTGCCAGTGCGTTTGGCCATCTGGTAGGGGAATAGGTAGGACAAAAGTGAAGAAAAATACTGCTGCCTCCCTCGTGAGGCTTTCCATAGTTTCAAGACCGTTTTCTCTAAGAGGAATGAAGTTGCAGCTTCTACTTCTAGTTGAGGCTGGAGTGGACATGCACAACATCAGCTGTCTGCAAAAATAACTAAATAGCTACACTATGTAGTATAACAGCAAAAGGTCTGAAGTGTGGAGCAGCCGTGTGTGTGTGTGCGTGCGCGCGCGTGTGTGTATAGTAACTATTCATTTGCTAGGGCTGCAGTAACAAATTACTACACGCTGAGTGGCTTAAAGCAACAGAAATTTACTGTCTCACAGCTCTTGAAATTGAGAATCTGGAATATAAACAACACAATCAATTATTTGTTGTTTTTCAGTTTTTATAGTTTTTTATCTACTCTGTGGTTTCAGATAATGCTTTATGGCATATTGTGTAATAGTTAATTATAAGATAATCAGAACTTTTTATATATAGGGATGTTAGGGGTTTCTTTGTAGAGCGTTGAACTAAATTGTATTTTTCCACTTTAGTGATATGGTTTGGCTGTGTCCCCACCCAAATCTCAACTTCAGTTGTATCTCTCAGAATTCCTCTGTGTTGTGGGAGGGACCCGGGGGGGGTAATTTAATCATGGCGGCCAGTCTTTCTTGTGCTAGTCTTGTGATAGTGAATAAGTCTCATGAGATTTGATGGGTTTATCAGGGGTTTCCACTTTTGCTTCTTCCACATTTTCTCTTGCCACCGCCATGTAAGAAGTGCCTTTTGCCTCCCACCATGATTCTGAGGCCTCCCCAGCCATGTGGAACTGTGAGTCCAATTAAACCTCTTTTTCTTCCCAATCTCAGGTTTGTCTTCATCAGCAGCCTGAAAATGGACTAATGCAGTAAATTGGTACCAGTAGAGTGTGGCGTTGCTGAAAAGATACCCAAAAACGTAGAAGTGTCTTTGGAACTGGGTAACAGGCAGAGGCTGGAACAGTTTGGAGGGCTCAGAAGAAGACAGGAAAATGTAGGAAAGTGTGAAACTGTCTGGAGACTTGTTGAATGGCTTTGACAAAAATGCTGATAGTGATATGAACAATAAGATCCAAGCTGAGGTGGTCTCAGATGGAGATGAGGAACTTGTTGGGAACTGGAGCAAAGGTGACTCTCATTATGTTTTAGCAAAGACACTGGCGGCATTTTGCCCCTGCGCTAGAGATTTGTAGAACTTTGAAATTGAGAGAGATGATTTAGGGTATCTGATGGAAGAAATTTCAAAGCAGCAAACCATTCAAAAGGTGACTTGGGTGCTATTAAAAGCATTCTGTTTTAAAGGAGAAACAGCATAAAAGTTCAGGAAATTTTCTGCCTGATGATGCAGTAGAAAAGACAAACTTTTTTTTTTTTTTTAGGAGAAATTCAATCCAGCTGCAGAAATTTGCATAAATAGCAAGGAGCCTAATGTTAATCCCCAAGACCAGGGAAAATGTCTCCAGGCCATGTCAGAGACCGTCAGGTCAGCCCCCTCCCATCACAGGGCCCAGAGGCCCAGGAGGAAAAAGTGGTTTCGTGGGCCGGGCCCAGGATCCCTGTGCTGTGTGCAGCCTAGGGACTTGGTGCCCTGTGTCCCAGCCACTCCAGCTGTGGCTGAAAGGGGCCAACATAGAGCTCAGGCTGTGGCTTCAGAGGGTGGAAGCCCCAAGCCTTGGCAGCTTCCATGTGGTGTTGAGCCTGCGGGTGCACAGAAGTCAAGAACTGAGGTTTAGAAACTTCGGCCTAGATTTCAGAAGATGTATAGAAACACCTGGATGCCTAGGCAAAAGTTTGCTGCAGGGGTGGGGCTCTCATGGAGAACCTCTCCTGGGACAGTGCGGAAGGGAAATGTGGGGTTGGGGCCCCCACACAGAGTCCCCACTGGGGCACTGCCTAGTGGAGCTGTGAGAAGAGGGCTATTGTCCTCCAGACCCCAGAATGGTAGATCTACAGACAGCTTGCACTGTGCACTTGGAAAAGCCTCAGACACTCAATGCCAGCCCGTGAAAGCAGCCAGGAGGGAGGCTGTACCCTGCAAAGCCACAGGGGCAGAGCTGCCCAAGACCATGGGAACCCACCTTTTGCATCAGCGTGACCAGGATGTGAGACCTGGAGCCAAAGGAGATCATTTTGGAGCTTTAAAATTTGGCTGCCCCACTGGCTTTTGGACTTTCATGGGCCCTGTAACCCCTTTGTTTTGGCCAAGTTCTCCCATTTGGAACGGCTGTATTTACCCAATACCTGTACCCCCATTGTATCTGGGAAGTAACTAGCTTGCTTTTGATTTTATAGGCTCATAGGCAGAAGGGACTTGCCTTGTCTCAGATGGGACTTTGGACTGTGGACTTTCAGGTTAATACTGAAATTAGTTAAGACTTTGGGAGACTGTTGGGAAGGCATGATTGGTTTTGAAATGTGAGGACATGAGATTTGGAGGGGCCAAATGATATGGTTTGGCTGTGTCCCCACCCAAATCTCAACTTGAATTGTATCTCCCAGAATTCCTATGTGTTGTGGGAGGGGCCCAGGGGGAGATAATTGAATCTTGGGGGCCAGTCTTTCTTGTGCTAATCTTGTGATAGTGAATAAGTTCATGAGATCTGATGGGTTTATCATGGGTTTCCACTTTTGCTTCTTCACATTTTGTCTTGCCACTGCCATGATTCTGAGGCCCTCCCAGCCATGTGGAACTGTACGTCCAGTTAAACCTCTTTCTTCCCAGTCTCTGGTATGTCTTTATCAGCAGCATGAAAACAGACTAATACAGATGGGGAGTTCCTGTTTGCGGTTTAATAGATTAAGAATATCCAATATTATGAAAATCTAATGTAAATAAAGGAATGCTTATTCTCATTAAAATTGGTTCATATTTTCATTTTTTTGTTTGTTTGTTTGTTTGTTTTTGAGACAGAGTCTCGCTCTGTCACCCAGCCTGGAATGCAATGGCGGGATCTTGGCTCACTGCAACCTCTACCTCCTGGATTCAAGTGATTCTCCTGCCTCAGCCTCCCGAGTAGCTGGGATTACAGGTGCCTGCCAGCCACTACATCCAGCTAATTTTTGTATTTTTAGTAGAGATAGGGTTTCACCTTGTTAGGCTGGTCTCGAACTCCTGACCTAAGGTGATCCGCCTGCCTCGGCCTCCCAAAGTGCTGGGATTACAGGTGTGAGCCACTGTGCCCGGCCTGGTTCACCTTTCTGTAAAAGGAATTCTTTTTTTTTTTTTTTGGGACGGAGTCTCACTCTGTTGCCTAGGCTGGAGTGCAGTGGCGAGATCTCGGCTCACTGCAAGCTCCACCTCCAGGGTTCACGCCATTCTTCTGCCTCAGCCTCCCGAGTAGCTAGGACTACAGGCACCTGCCACCACACCCGGCTAATTTTTGTATTTTTAGTAGAGGCGGGGTTTCACCGTGTTAGCCAGGATGGTCTCAATCTCCTGACCTCGTGATCCGCCCGCCTCGGCCTCCCAAATTCTTTTTCTAAGGGGTTCATTTAAGTGCCTGATAAATAAAACATTAATAAAATTGCCTTTGAATTTGATTTATAACTCTTAGGCAATACAATCTCTACCAACTGTTAAAATAGTTCTAGTTTGTTTTTATGCTTCATTATGTGATCTTAAATTACTTCACAGTTAATGTAGATGATAGTGAAGAGGATGTGTTAGTTACATCCTGGGTTGTCAGAAATGAAGGCTTAAATCAAAGAGATGGCATAAGGGTGTAAATCATCTTTCCTAGTACTTCTCTGTCCTCTGGGTAAAGAAGAATTTACCGTGACTGGCCCAAGAATAGCATACCTCTCTGTTAGGAAGGTTTGGTTCCATCTGGCAGTTTTACAAAACTGAGTTCCAGGTGTCAGCTCACTCTGAGGACCAGGCCATCCATGCAAGTTCCCTGGTAGCTAGTTAATTCAGGCTTGCTTCTATGAAGCTTCTGAATAGCATAGCACATTGCTTCCTTCTTAGTCCCTTTCAACACATAGGAGACTGTAGCTTCCTTTAAATTTGCTTCATGCACTGGTCTACAAAAGGAACTTTGTTGCTAGAGAATTTGTTAATCAAGATATCTTATATCTGTCGTCCCAGCTACTCAGGGAGGCTGAGGCAGGAGGACTGCTTGAGCCCAGAAGGTCAAGGCTGCAGGGAGCCCTGTTCTCCCACAGTTAGTATTAATGTTCTTTGAAGTTACAGAATTTGTATTTGTTTTTTTGCCTTTTTTTTTTTTTTTTTTCATAATGCTTAGCTTGATGCTTTGTAGGCAGAGTATTTTCGAAGGTTTGGATCCTAAGTAGAACCTTTCTGTAGGCCCTTTCTATTGAGGGTCACTAATCTACAGAGGAAACTTCAGTGATGGATATATAAAAAGCAACTTTTAACTTTTTTTTTTAACTCATCTACTTTATAAATTAAGAGCAAAAGTTATAAAATTATGTTTATTTTTTTAAGAGATGAGGTCTCGCCATGTGGCCCAGGCAGGTCTCAAACTCCTGGGCTCAAGCAGTCTGCCCGCCTTGGCCTCCCAAAGTTGCTAGGATTACTGGCGTGAGCCACCATACCTGACCATGCAAATTCATTTTTAAAACTTCCCAGACGGTTTATTAAATTCCCAGTTTCCATTTGGGCAATTTATAAATAACAGCACTTCATTCACAGCAGAACTAAAGGTCTTGTTTTAAAATAGTGTAGTTGTAGGTAATGAGAGAAAGAAACCAAGCATACCAGGCACTGCCCCATCTGATAAGTAATTAATCCCCTACAGTTATCTTTCCATTTTACATTATGAGTGTCCTACTTCTTTCCTTTCCTTTCCCTTCTCTGCTCTGACTTCCTCTCTCCTCCTTTTGATGAGTCCTCTTCCTCTTTTTGTGCCTTACTAAATTTAACATTTTTTTTCTTATTGTTTCTCTAGTCTGATTTACGTTTCCTTCCTCTTGCTTTTATTTTGCAACAGTTGTAACTTGCACAGTTGGGGTACTCCTTGAACATGGAAGTCTTCACCTCCCTCCTGCCCCTTTCTCTAGTGCATGTTTTTCTTTAGAATTATTTTTAAGGTTAGAACAGCATAGGAGGTGTTTCTAAAACCATTTTTGTGAGAAAGCTACTGAAACATAACTGGAAATAAAGAACTAAAATTTATCTGTAAATGAATAACTGTGAGAGGAAGCATGAGACTATGGTAATGGAAGAGGAATAATTGGGGTGTGTTAATGATGGATCCTCATGGTACCTGATTTCCTTATGGTTTTAAGGAGTACTCATTCTAGTACTTATTTAAGGAGTCCACATTTACCTTTAACCAAATTGTGGTTACACAAAATGGCATTACTTACTGTCTTGCAAGAGCTCCCAGTAATTATTAAACAACATAGTTGTTTATATTTTGTTAAACTTAAGTGAGTATAAGCAATACCCTGGGTAACTTGTTGAAAATATTCCATCCTCTTGACATTAGTATTCAGTAGATCTTGAGTGGGCCATTTTAAAACTGACTTTAAAAGATGCACCCCAGGTAATTTTGATGCAGGTCATCAACAAACCACAATTGGAATAACATTGCCCTACAGGATAAAGTCCAAAGTTTTTGGTATGGCTTAGGATTTTGCCGCTTCCTCCTCTCTAGCCTCATTTTCCATGAGTCTGTACCACCCATCCTATGCTTCAGAAATGCTAAGTCACTTTGAGTTCTAACATGTTGTTCTCACGTCTTTATACCCTTGTATATGTTGGTTCCTCTGCCTAAAACACCCTTCTCCTTTCTCTTACATATTCACTCTTCAGGTCTCCACTGAAGCATCACCACTTTCCTATCTTCTCAAACTGAGTTAAACTACGCTCACTTAACATACCTCTTTTATAGCACTTAACAGAGTGTTTCATCATTGTTGGTTTCCTTTTCTGTTCCCTACTAGATTATATGTTCCTTGAGGACAGAGGTTGTCATGTTCATCTCTGTTCCTCCAGTGTCTGGCATGGTGAATGTTCAATGAAATCAAAGCTTCTCTTGTGTCTTTGGAACATTGAGCACTCTAGACCCATGGAAATGGCTCTGATAGCACTCTGCTGTCCTGTATCTGAGCATGTTCATGTGGTTTTAAGTTTAGAGGGCTGACCCAAGATGGTGCCCAGCCTATAAGAAAATGTCTGGGGGCACCTCATTTGATGTGTATGGTTAGTGGAAATTAAGCTGTATTGGGGAATTGGAGAATAAGGTTCATCAACATCAGCATTTAGAGAATGGAGAGTGGTTTTAGAGTGTGAATTCTTTAAGAAATGTTGTAGGACCTAAGTTTTTTTTGGAAAGTCTCTGAGTAAGTTTCTTAAGTTTTTTTTTTCTTTGAGATGGAGTTCACTCGTCACTCAGGCTGGAGAGCAATGGCACGATCTTGGCTCACTGCAGCCTCTGCCTCCTGGGTTCCAGCGATTCTCCTGCCTCAGCCTCTCAAGTAGCTGGGATTACAGGCGCCCGCCACCATGCCCAGCTAATTTTTGTAGAGACGGGGTTTCACTATCTTGGCCATGCTAGTCTTGAACTCCTGACCTCAGGTGATCCATCCGCCTTGGCCTCCCAAAGTGCTGGGATTACAGGTGTGAGCCACTGCACCCGGCCAGTTTTTTTTTTTTTGTTGCTGTTAAACTAATCCACATAGGGACAAATTGAAAATAGGACAAAATTGGCAAAAGTAACTTAAGTAGTTAACGTTCAATAGATACTTTCAAAATTTCTGTTAATTTTATGTTTCTCTGTCATTGCTGTCATGTTCTCTAGCGATATTTTCCTTAAGTCGGCAGTAGTAGTCTAGATCAAAACAAAACTATAAATGAAAATTTTTAAAGGGATTTTTAAAATAGCCTGTTTGAACAGTAGGAAAAAAACTCAGTTTAAAACACGCTAGCTTTGGATGCAGAGTCTGTACAGTCATGTGTCATTTAATGATGAAGATACTTCCTGAGAAATGCTTCATTAAGCACTTGTTGGGCCAGCATAATAAATTGTACTTACACAAACCCAGGTGGTATAGTCTACTCCACACCTAGGCTGTAGAGTATAGCCTGTTACTCCTAGGCTACAACCTGTACAGCATGTTACTGTACTGAACACTATAGACAATTGTAATACAATGGTATCTAAACCTAGAAAAGGTACAGTAAAAATACTTATGGGACCACCGTATAAGCAGTCTGTCATTGATCTGAACATCATTATGAGCACATGACTGTAGTTCTCTTTGGCTCCATTGTAATTTAAATTATTCCTTTAATTTGAACTATTTTATATTTATCTTACAATGTTATTTTCGTGTTGTTTTATTTTTCCCAGTATGGCATTTTTTTTATGGGCAGTTACACTCTGTTCTCAGAAGTCCAGGATTTAAACCTTTCTTAAAATCATTTTTAAAAATTTGAACTCTTGGTTTAAATGATATCTAATGTGGAAGCCCTATCTGTAAGATGCCTGAAATCGGAGGTGTTGTTTGAAACAGCAGACCTGGAGTGCTGTCCTCTAAGCCCTTCTCCAAGAACGGAGCTTGCCACCCTTTCTGATTAGCTTTCCTCATTTATAAAATGGGAATGATATAATACCTGCCTATCACAATGGTTCGTGGAGGCTTATGACTAATGTTCTCTCCCTGTTCTCTTTGATTATAACTTCCTCTTAGTGTGTGTTACGATGTTCATACATCACAGATTTTCCTGATGATGAGTCACCTAAATATCATGTGACCACATTTTTACTATGGAGAATATAGTCACCATAAACCCAGTGCCTTGCGTATTATTGCCTAAAATACTCATTAAAGTTACTAAAGCTGCTGTTTCTGCCAATAGTGACATAATGGTATCTGTTGGACAACAGTGCTGCAGGCCCAGTTGTTTTAAATGTACTTAAGAGATATAAAATGTAATTAAGAATAAGTATTACTCTCTCAAAACAGAATTCCTCCTAGGATATTTTCTGGGTTATTCCAATGTGTTTAGTTTGAAAGATTAGGAAGTAAAAGCAAGTATATTCCAGATTATATTACTTATTAACCTTCTTTATGAAAACTGGCTATTACTGCTCCTGAGTGTTCTCAAACTAGCACCTATTTGAGTAATTAAGTCATCTGGTCAGATGAGGTTTTTCTTTTCAGTAACATTTTATGTTTTTCCTGGGTAGATCACTTAATGAACTCTGATACCAAGTTTCTGTTGAGATTGACCTATCAATTATATAGTAATGAATAAAATCTTAGAAATAATATTGTTACAAATTGTAAAAACCAAATCTTCTTAAGAATCACATTTATGAATTGGGAAATTGGTAGATCCATTTTTCACTTGCCAGGGTAGAATGACCTGATTTATATATGATTAGAGTGATAAAAGATTAAGAAATGGAAATTATCAGTTTCTATTAGAGATATATTTATTAGAGATATTGGTTAGCTGTGGTTCTTCCCAGTATTAGGAGAATTAGAAAATTATTTCCCTTAAGTAATTAAATGAGATATGATATGATTTTCAGCATCTGAAAACTAAATTCAGTTTAATTTTGTAACATTATTTGACCCTTTCTGCAAAATTTTATATAGTGAAATAAGATTGAAAATTTAACTTGATGATACCATGTCAGATAATTAGATTCCTTACATTTTCTCCTAACCTTTAAGGATCCCAGATATAATTTTGTGGATTGCTGCTTTGAAGATACCAGTCCATGTGTGCTGCTGCAATAAAATTCCTGAGACTGGGTAATATATAAAGAACAGAAATTAATTTTCTTACTATTCTGGAGGCTGGGAAGTACATTATTAAAACACTGGCATTTGGTGTCTGGTGAGGGCTTGTTGCTGGCTTCCTCCACAGGGAGGCACGAGATGTGCTCTTGCATAGCAGAAGAGTGGAAGAACAAAGTACTCCAGTGCTTCATGAAATCTCTTTTATAAAATCCTTAATACCATTAATAAAGAAGGAGCCTTTATGGCCCAATCACTTCTTTAAGGCCCCACCCCTTAATACTATCACATTGGCAACACTTGAGTTTTGGAAGGGACACATTAACACCATGGCATATGTATATCAAGTTAGTAAAGATTAGGCATATCTTTTTTAATGGAATGCCCATACACCATATATAATCTTGGAGGAATTGCTTAAACCAGCTGACAGGCTATATTCCAAATATTGCCTAGATCTACCATAACAAAATTCGTGTTTTAGAAATGTGAGTCAAGAGTATTTAATGTAACATATGGTGATGATGTTCATTGTGTCCCTGGGACAGAAGTTGAAGGAAAAGGGATTGTGGTCAAATAACTTAGGAATATGCTGGTTTTTCTAACAAATAAAATTTTATCAGATTTTAGTCAGTAACTATGATATTAAGAAACATAAAATACCTACCATAACTTTGTAAACCAGGGTTTATAATCTGCTAACTTGAAGAAAAAAAACATTTAATTTGTTTCAAGTTCATACTAACATGCCTGCCTGATTTTAATTTTAATTTTGGAATATGCTGGCTGGTTTAAGCAAAGCTAGTGTTTATTTGAAGATTTTCCAGGGCCTTTAATATTGAAATATTTATATTTATCAGATTAATCAGTCATTGATCTTACATTGTTTTATGTAATTTTTCTTCCCATCTTCTCAAAATAATGTGCAAGTTCCATGTCAGATATCACACTATTTTATTTATTTATTTTTTGAGACGGAGTTTCACTCTTGTTGCCCACACTGGAGTGCAGTGGCATGTTCTCGGCTCTCTGCAACCTCTGTCTCCCAGGGTCAAGTGATTCTCCTGGCTCAGCCTCCCAGGTAGCTGGGATTACAGACATGCACCACCACGCCCTGCCAATTTTGTATTTTTAGTAGAGACGGGGTTTTGCCATGTTGGCCAGGCTGGTTTCAAACCCCTGACCACAGGTTGATCCACCCGCCTCGGCCTCCCAAAGTGCTGGAATTACAGGCGTGAGCCACCACGCCCAGCCACACTATTTTATTAATGGGAAGAAGGAAGATAATTTCTTCTTTCAAGGGACTTATATTTGAAAAGTCACCACATAACAGGATTTGGATCTGGATTTAGAAGTTTTCAATTCTGTTTCCTTTTTGGGTTTTGTTGGAACTGATGAGGAAGTAAGGTAGAGAAAGAAGACAAATGGGATAGAAAGTGAGGGTAGGAGGGTAGAATAGAAAGAAACAAAACTAGATTAAGATTTTTGTTTTGTCAAATTTTCTCTTAAATACTTGTTGGACTAAGGTTTTGCAGGGTACCTATTGGTATCTAAACAGATTTTTACAGAATAAACAGGACAATAATTTGCTCCATTAAAGTCTTCTGAAATGGCTTCTTTGTGGTGTTTGGGTGTCCTAGGATCTAGTAGTGGAGAGAACTGTACTACTGTTATGTCCTCTGCTGATTGAAAGGGGTGCTCTGTTAATTTTTTTAGTAATGCGATTCTGGTCATAATTTGATACTGTTGGCTTTTCTTTTACAGTTTCCTAAAAAATTTGAAACTTTATTCTTTGTTTCTACTCACTTGTGAACACTGTCTCCATTAATGACTTAAGATTTTCTTTTAGAATGTAATTTCTAGTTTTGAAGATTTGACTTCAGAGGCATATAATATATATCAGAGCATATATGGCATAATTTTTCAAGTTAAACCTGTAACTTACTATTCATTCTACACAAATGTCTGTATTTCAGATGGAGCAGCTATCAGATGAAGAAATTGATCATGGTGCTGAAGAAGACAGTGACAAGGAAGATCAGGACCTGGACAAAATGTTTGGAGCCTGGCTTGGAGAACTAGACAAACTCACTCAGGTGAGTAGTGCTTGAAAAACTGGTTGAGGATTTGAAGTCACCATTGTGTTAAAAGTTTAATGTGCAGAAGAGGATATGGATATAAGTTAAATTTTAAAGTATTGCCAGAAAGGAAGAAATGTTCGAAGTATTGACAAGTAAATGAAGTCATTCTAGAACAGAAGATATTAAGAATCTATGGTTATTTTAAGGATGTTAAAAAAAATACTTGTGAGAGAGGCTCTGTTCATCTAGAGGGGTTACTTAATATATGTTTCATAAATATGAGATAATTAGCTAAAAACTTTTAAAGCCTGAAATTCAAAAGTCTAAATTTTAGAAAACCCTGTTACCTTAGTAAATTTGAATACATTTTCAACATAAATAATTTCCTTCCACGTAAATATTTTCTGTTTTTCTTTTTTTTTTTCTTTTTTTTTTTTTTGAGACGGAGTCTTGCTCTTGTCATCCAGGCTGGAGTGCAGTGGCGCAATCTTGGCTCACCGCAAGCTCCGTCTCCGGGGTTCACGCCATTCTCCTGCCTCAGCCTCCCGAGTAGCTGGGACTACAGGCGCCCGCCACCACGCCCGGCTAATTTTTTGTATTTTTTAGTAGAGACGGGGTTTCACTGTGTTAGCCAGGATGGTCTCGATCTCCTGACCTCGTGATCTGCCCACCTCAGCCTCCCAAAGTGCTGGGATTACAGGCGTGAGCCACCATGCCTGGCCCCATGTAAATATTTTCTATGACATGATTGTAGAATACTGACAAAACCTAATTCTGGGCTGCATTTTAAAACAGTGGCAAAATCTTTTCATTTTGCTTTATTCGATCTTGGGTTTTTAAAGAAGGTGACCTTGTCCTCTAAACCAGCACACTTTTTAGAATAAAAGGGTACTGTTATTATTGCCCCAGTAATACATTATATTCACTGTGTGAAGATGGTTATGTTTATTAAATAAATTTAACTTCATGGCAATGAGAACATTAGAACAAAACTTATTTACTCATAAATAATGTCTTTGGAAAGAACATTTGTGTAAAATTGCGTAGGTATGAGATTCCTTAACTAAAGGAAAAGCAAAGTGGGCAAGGTGGAAGCTTAAATTACTAGCAGCTTATTTCTGCAGCAATCTAGAATTCAAAGTGATAAACTCTTCGTGTAATTCTTGCTAGATCATTTTGAAAGGCAGACATCTTTGTGACCATAATCTGTTAATACTGTATTTTGGGGGGATTTTTTTTTTTCTTTTTTCTTTTTTTTTTTTTTTTTTTTTTTTTTTGAGATAGAGTCTCACTCCTGTCGCCCAGGCTGGAGTGCAGTGGTGTGATCTCAGCTCAGTGCAACCACCGCCTCCCGGGTTCAAGCAATTCTCCTGTCTCAGCCTCCCAGGTAGCTGGGATTACAGGCATGCGCCACCATGCCCAGCTGGTTTTGTATTTTTATTAGAGACAGAGTTTCACCATGTTAGCCAAGCTGATCTTGAACTCCTGACCTAGGTAATCCACCTGCCTCGGCCTCTCAAACTGCTGGGATTACAGGTGGGAGCCACCACACCTGGCCAGGGGAGAATGTTTTCAACTCCTACTAGGATTTCATAGGTATCATTCCCTTCATCTCTAATCAGAAGAAGTGACATTTTTTGTCAGAGATGTCTTATGTCTGTAACTGCCAAATTCTTTCTGTTTTAATTCTTAATTTATAAAAAGGGTGATTTAAGCATAGAGATTATCACTAGGCTATGCAGTCCTGCTCTGGGAGAGAGAGGAAGCAAAGAAGAGCAAATAGAAAATGATAATGCATGGAGAAAAGTATGCAAGGGCCAGCTGACATGTGGGGTGTTCTTGACCATGTGGTTTTATTGTCCATGCTTGGGAGGAGGGGCCCAAAAGAGAAAAGGCAGGTAGATATTGGTCCAGCTGCTCTGGGTGAACTAGGAACTACATGATGCTGCCCTGAAAATGGTGTTTCTACTGGTTTGATACCTTGTACTTTCCCCTGTATTTTAAGTTGCCTGACATAAAAGTGTGAAGAGCCACTAATGACGTGACTGTTCTTTTCATTATATAAATCTGTCTTTAGAGAGAAAAAAAGATTAAAACTGTGGCATAGTGTGACTCACTGCTAATATGTTGCTTTGTAACACTTGGGACATTTTCAAGAGATGTTTGACTTTACAAAGTTTGTGGCTAAAACCTCAAGTTTCTTGTTTATTTCATTACTTTAGTTCATTACAGTGTTATCTGTACACCTGTATCACGTACTCAGTGGTATGGTATTTTCAACTTAGAATTAAAACAAGTTTAAGTTTTAGGTAGTTGGTCAATCTTCTAAAATAGTTTGTAAAGTTTTTTATGTATGTGCATTTTTCTGGAAGAGGGTTCATAGCTTTTATAAAATTCTCAGCAACCCCTTTAAAAAGGTTAAGAGTTCGTGTCTGGGCAACAGAGCATGACCTTGTCTCAAAAAAAAAAAAAAAGATAGCATTATAAACACATAGAGTATCCAGCATTCTTTTAAAATTTGAAGCTTGTTCAGTGCTTACTGTAGATATAAATTAAAGTTTTAAAACACTAATCCTTATATTTTGTGAATCTATTAAACAATAACTACTGACCCTTTCTCTGAATTTCTCTGTTGTAAATATCTTTTTTCCTTGCTCTAGAAAGGTTAGAGAGGAAGAGTATCATTTAAACTTACAAGTGTAACTTACAAGTCACCCTACCCAAAGTATACAGTATGATTCAAGATTTGTCACAGGCAGTGTAGCTGGGTTGCAATTTGCCCTCCTTTTGATAGAACTGGAGAAGGACAAGAATATTTCATCATTGTTTGAACTTGTAATCACTTTCCATTAAAATTAGTGAGTCTTGGGTCTTAATAATTTTAAATCCAGAACTGTCCGTTATCTTCAGAGTACTTCATATAGCAAAGATCGAGGCTTTCCTGGACCTAAACCAAATCCCTTTGAGGAAAGAAAGAACAGAACTCTCTGTGCGGTTTCTTTTTTTTTTTTTTTTGAGATTGAGTCTCGCTCTGTCGCCCAGGCTGGAGTGCAGTGGCGTGATCTCGGCTCACTGCAACCTCTGCCTCTCAGGCTTAAGCGATTCTCCTGCCTCAGCCTGCCAAGTAGCTGGGATTACAGGCGCCCGCCACTGTGCCCAGCTAATTTTTGTACTTTTAGTAGAGATGGGGTTTCGCCCCGTTGGCCAAGTTGGTCTCGAACTTCTGACCTCAGTTGATCCGCCTGCCTCTGCCTGCCAAAGTGCTGGGATTACAAAGTGAGCCATCACACCTATTTCTTAGCTTACCATGTCCATATTCACTTACCTCACTTATTTTATAGTGCATGTATATAAAATGAAGTCAGTCACTATACTTAATATATTTGAAAAGATATTTACTCTGAACTATGACAATCTCAAGTGCCTTTAAAAGTAAGCATAGGCCAGATATGGTGGCTCACGCCTGTAATCTCAACACTTAGGGAGATGGAGGTGGGCAGATCACTTGAGGCCAGAAGTTTGCAACCAGCCTGGCCAACATGGTGACACCCTGTCTCTACTAAAAATACAAAAATTAGCCGGGCATGGTGGCACATGCCTATGGTCCCAACTACTCGGGAGGATCCCTTGAACCCGGGAGGCGGAGGTTGCAGTGAGCCAAGCTTGTGGCACGGCACTTAAGCCTGGGTGACAGGACGAGACTTCATCTCCAAAAAAAAAAGTAAGCATATATCTAAAGATTGAAATAAGTATAACCAAAATAATAATGTCAAATACAATTATACTTTTCCTTAAGTCTATTACTTAGGAGAACTTTGGTTTAATTAATTATAGTGTGGCAGTTCACTTAATCATAAAACAAACTTCATCTTTTTTTATATTATTGAAACCTGAATTTAATATGACTATTAAACTTTCTTTTTATAAAGAGTTTGGATTCTGACAAGCCCATGGAACCAGTAAAAAGATCTCCTCTTCGCCAGGAAACAAACATGGCCAACTTTTCTTACCGCTTCTCCATATACAACTTGAATGGTAAGATGTAATTGGAAATAAAATGTAAAATAGTATGCTAAGTCACACAATGTAGGAGCAGTACAACTGCAATTCCCAATATAAAAACTCGATATAAAAGCTACATGCATAACTCGACCAAGTTCTTAAATTTCTTTTTTCTTTTCTTTTTTCTTTTTTTTTTTTTTTTGAGACAGAGTTTCGCTTTTGTCGCCCAGGCTGGAGTTCAGTGGCACAGTCTCGGCTCACTGCAACCTCTGCCTCCCAGGTTCAAGCGATTCTCCTGCCCCAGCCTCCCGAGTAGCTGGGATTACAGGCATGCACAACCACACTTGGCTAATTTTGTATTTTTTAAGTAGAGATAGGGTTTCACCACGTTGGCCAGGCTGGTCTCGAACTCCTGACCTCAGGTGATCCACCTGCCTCAGCCTCCCAAAGTGCTGGGATTACAGTCGTGAGCCACTGCGTCCAGCCCTTAAATTTCTTGATTTGTGTATTTTATTAATATTACTAATTGAAAATATCACAGAGAAAAGCAAACTAGAACATAACTAAAAGATAGTTGGTTTTATTAATAATTGACAAAGTACATACCCAGGTGGAACCCCACAGCAAACTTAATTGCATTGTTTTCTCACCGGATTAAAGTCCAGTGAAGTTACTTCTTAGTAATTTTTAAAGCAGCCACTGTGGCCTTTATCTGTTGTATTCCACCTAGTCAAGTTTATAATATTGACCTGTCAGTCTGTAATTTTTTAGACTTTTGACTTCTCTTTTTATGCCCTCAGCTCTTTCAGTATTGACATCTCTACCAAAGCATTGATCATATTAACAATATATTGAAGCCTGTGGTAAAAAGTTGCACAGAGGAATGTGGTTAAAACCATGGAACAGTATAAGATTTTTGTAGTGTTTTTGTCTTTGAACTCATAATTTATTCTCCTCTGATTATTACAAGCCTTAAAAGAGGAGGACTGTGTACTTCTAAAAATTTATCTTGGAATTTAAAACAAAAACCAGAAATACTTAATTTTATTTGCTTTAGGCCCAACAAAATATATTCTTTTGCTTCATCACCTGCATTTATTAACTGATTTATAATAGAATGTATAAATTCTGGAAACATTATGTGTTGTTCATTGCAGAAGCTCTGAATCAGGGAGAGACTGTGGATCTGGATGCCTTGATGGCTGATCTTTGCTCTATAGAGCAGGAGCTCAGCAGCATTGGTTCAGGAAACAGTAAGCGTCAAATCACAGAAACGAAAGCTACTCAGAAATTGCCTGTTAGCCGACATACATTGAAACATGGCACCTTGAAAGGATTATCTTCTTCATCTAATAGGATAGCTAAACCTTCCCATGCCAGCTACTCCTTGGACGACGTCACTGCACAGTTAGAACAGGCCTCTTTGAGTATGGATGAGGCTGCTCAGCAATCTGTACTAGAAGATACTAAACCCTTAGTAACTAATCAGCACAGAAGAACCGCGTCAGCAGGCACAGTGAGTGATGCTGAAGTACACTCTATTAGTAATTCCTCCCATTCCAGCATCACTTCCGCAGCCTCCAGCATGGACTCTTTGGATATTGATAAAGTAACACGCCCTCAAGAGCTGGATTTGACACATCAAGGGCAGCCAATTACTGAGGTAAATAAATGGAACTTTTTCCCTGGTATTTTGTTATTAAAATAAAGGAGAAATTATATTAAAATAATTTTAATTAACTTCTTAAATTCTTCTACATTTATAATTTGTCAAAGATACTTCTGAGATAGGTTTCAAGAGTACAGAAGGAATATATTATCAGATATGGTAGTGGCACAAAGATGATTTAGAAGAAATTTAGTTTCTTTTTTATTCTCGTGACTATAGTATTTGGAAGTTCTTGAATGGCATTTTTTATTGTAATATGAGTCATTTCACGTGATTTGAAAAATTAAAATGATTCACAAAACCATTTAGTTATTTAATGTATGTTGATTTAAAGTAAAACTTAAGAAAAACACTCATATCACCATTGTGGTCCTCCAAGATTCTAGTTTACAGGGTTAACTCCATTTCATTATCTTTTTTTTTTTCTCCTTTTTTTTTCTTTGAGATGGAGTTTGTACTCTTGTACAACTCATGCCCAGGCTGGAGTGCAGTGGCGTGATCTCAGCTCGCTGCAACCTCCACCTCCCAGGTTCAAGTGATTCTCCTGCCTCAGACTCCCAAGTGTAGCTGGGATTACAGGCGCTCACCACCATGCCCAGCTAATTTTCATATTTTTAGTAGAGATGGGATTTCACCATGTTGGCCAGGCTGGTCTCGAACTCCTGACCTCAGGTGATCCAACCGCCTTGGCCTCCCAAAGTACTGGGATTACAGGCGTGAGCCACTGTGCCCGGCCCTCCATTTCATTATTGAAGAGTCAGTATGGTATATTGGAAAGGGCCACCAGGTATGGAATCAGGAAACTTGATTCTGAGTTTTCCTTGCCACTCACTACCCATGGGACCTTAAGTGAGTTATTCTCTTAAACATCAATTTCTCACAAGTAAAATGGAGTTCATAGTACTATATCTGCCTTCCTGATAGGGTGGTTCAGAGAACAAAAGTTGTTCATAAACAGGTTTTTTTTTTTTTTTTTTTTTTTTTTTTTTAATAGACGGAGTCTCATTCTGTCGCCCAGGCTGGAGTGCAGTGGCATGATCTTGGCTCACTGCAACCTTGCCTCCCGGGTTAAGTGATTCTCCTGCCTCAGCCTCCTGAGTAGCTGGGATTACAGGCGTGTGCCACCATGCCTGGCTAATTTTTGTATTTTTGGTAGAGACGGGGTTTCACCATGCTGGCCAGGCTGGTCTCAAACTCCTGACCTTGTGATCCGCCCACTTCCCAAAGTGCTGGGGTTACAGGTGTGAGCCACTGCGCCCAGCCAGAGTTCGTAATACTATATCTGCCTTCCTGATAGGGTGGTTCAGAGAACCGTAAGTTATTCATGAACAGATTTTTAAAAGATGGAATTTTTTTCAGCATGTGACTGGATAAGATAGGGAATAGATTTGCGGTAACAAGTTCAACAAAAGCTGAGTTTGGTGAAAGAGAATTCTTTATTGAGTTGTTTTCATCAAAGAGATGGTAATTCTGTCATAGGGTAGCAGCAAGAAAGAAGAAAAATGGGGCAAAGTTAAGTCAACCTTTCCAATAAGCTTGTGTTGACAATATTCTAATATGGGATAAAAGAATCTATTTATGAATAATCAGTACTAAAGTAAAATCTTGAATTTTAACTATTACTTGACATCATTGATTTTTTTTTCGTAACTTATTTAATTCTTTGGATTAATTTCCATCAGTAGGTAACTCTTGGTACCCACCCATGTGCGTAGCTTTGTTTTTGGTACTGTGGAGCACAAAAGGAGTATGAATCATGGTGGTTTGGAGATAAACTTGAGTTATTTCAAAGAAAGCGAATCTTATCAATCTGAAGAATAAACTTTCATTTATTTAAAATGAAACTTATCTAAGTGGTATATATTCTATAGAGAACTTGAAAACTGATTTCTAGGCCGGACGTGGTGGCTCACACCTGTAATCCCAACACTTTGGGAGGCCGAGGCGGGCGGATCACCTGAGGTCAGGAGTTTGAGACCACCCTGGCCAACATGGTGAAACCCTGTCTCTACTAAAAATACAAAAAAAAATTAGTTGGATGTGGTGGCGCATGCCTGTAATCCCAGCTGCTCGGGAGGGTGAGGTAGGAGAATCGCTTGAACCAGGGAGTCGGAGGTTGCAGTGAGCCAAGATCGTGCCACTGCACTCCAGCCTGGCAACAGCAAGACTCCGTCTACAAAAAAAAAAGGAAAAAAAAAACTGATTTCTATTTTGTGATACCTGGGAATTATATTTAGCCACCAGCTACTTAATATGTATCATTTCATGTCCTTTAGATTTACCTGCTAGGATATGAGCAATATTTTATTAGGGATGTGCTTTCTTGGCCATTCTTTGTTTTGTATGTTGATATTCCTTCCAATCAGTTTACAGTATTTTGAGTTGGATTAAGATGCGTGAGGGACAAGTTATAAACTAATCATTAAGGATCTTCTAATACCGTATGCATGTCTTTCTGTCTGTAAAATGTGCTCATTATAAAAGTTCATACAGTATAGGGGCAAATTGAAGTAAAACGTGAAAAGTTCCTCTCTCCCAGCAAGCGCACTTCAAATGGTATCTAGTGGTATCCATGGGTATCACTGTGAATACTGCAAAGATACCAGTGCTCAATGGTATAATGTTTAATATAAGAGTTTAATGTAAGGTTTGGTGAGTAAACCAGGACTATAGCAGGGAAAGGAGTTAAAAAGCCTTATCTAGCTAGCCTGTTCTTTTGCCTCACCTAGGAGTATAGAAAGGTGGTTTAACAAACCCGGAACTTGCTTCCATTTGCTTTTTTCCTAGGTCTAGTCTGTTCTGATTCAAATAAAGTAAACTGAGGCAAGCTTAATATATCCTGAACTCATGTATCAAATTGTCTTTAAGTGCAAATACAGTTTTAAAAATATTTTAGTTTTTCATGCATGGCGTTAAATAGTTCTATGAGATATGTTACGGAAAACTATCCTCTACTCACATACACATCATATTCTGCTTCCAGAGGTAAGCAATTTTTGCTCATTTAGCTGATTCTTAGGGACTTTACCTCTTTATCATTAAGTCTACATACACATTGCCATTTCTTGATTTTCTTTTTAGTGGTATGTATTACCTATTGACTTCTCACTCTACTCCAGAAGATGGAGGGTATAGCTGTCTATATACAGCTTCTTCTCACTTCTCCCTTCCTGTTTTTCCATTCTCCAAATATATTTTGATTGAGCTCATATTCAGTGTTTATATTAAAATGACTATATACTTGAAATTTACTGCTAACCTCCATATACTCTTGTGACTACATCCCCTTTCTGGAATATCATTTTACTTTTACTGGAATGAATATATGTTTAAAAATATTTAATTTTCTATATGGTGATCACTGTTTCAACTTCAGACTTTCTCCCAGTTGATTAAATCTCTCTGGTTCAAGCCAAATTAGCGTTCCATTAATTGCATCTTCTTAAAATTCTATTTATTTCTTTTCTTTCTTTTTTTTTTTTTTGTAGTCTTCAGGATTATCCTTAGGTTTTTTTTCCTAGGCTGGTGAGCTTCTCTGGAGAAGATTCTTCCAGTCTTCTATGCTGGCTGCCAGTGTTTTAGTAGCCCATTTGGGAAAGAAGGGTTGGAACATGAGGATGGTCCCCATTGTTCCAGTCTATGAACTTTCATCAAATCCTTCTAGGTCAGGGTTTCTCAGCTATCAGCACTATTGACATTTGGGCTAGATAGTTTTGTGAGTGGCTGTCCCATGCACTGTAGGATGTTTAGCAGCATCCCTGGCCTGTACACACTAGATGTCAGTAGTACACATTTACCTTCTTCAGTTGTGACAACTAAAAACGTCCGTAGACATTGTTACATGTTGCTTGTAGGACAAAATCCACCCCCAATTGAGAATCACCACTGCTCTAGGTAGAGAGGGTTAACAGTAGGCCTGAGTCCTTTTCTTCGTGGAAAATGACCTTGGGTTTTCCTTCTCCTGGCATTCTTTTCCTGGACACATACTGGATTAAGAATTAAATATAGAATATCTCCAGGTAATATTGTTTATTGTGAAACTGACCCCTGTTGGTGAGTGTATATGGACCAGGAAGACTGTCCATGAATGAATAAATTAGCCTATGAAAAGACATAGACCTTGACTTCGTGGTGTGCAGTGTAACTCTTTTTTTTTTTTTTTTTTTTGAGACAGAGTCTCACTCTGTTGTCCAGGCTGTAATGCAGTGGCGCAATCTCAGCTCACTGCAACCTCCGCCTCCCAGGTTCACATGGTTCTCATGCCTCAGCCTCCCGAGTAGCAGGGATTACAAGCACATGCCACCACGCCTGGCTAATTTTTGTATTTCTTTTTTTTAGTGGAGACAGGGTTTCGCCATGTTGGCCAGGCTGGTCTCGAACTCCTGACCTCAAGTGATCCACCTGCCTCGGCCTCCCAAAGTGCTGGGATTACACTGTGGGAGCCACTGCACCTGGCCAGCAGTGTAACTCTTATAAATGAGCATGAACGTGTTCTTTAAGGGGCCCTGGAACTTAACCTCATTGGCTGTTAAAAGGTACTGCTGGTTCCCATGGAGCATGAAGTTTCCCTAAGCCAGGGTGTTTTCTGCACTTACCATGTGGTCTCTTTCCCTTACAATGAGCTATTTATGGGCCCAAAAAGGGCCTGTGGTGAGCTGTATGGACTCCCTCAGAAGATGGCATGTCTCTTTTTATTTATTCAGAACTGAGTGAATCTGGCTTCAAGCTATGGTCTGTTGGGTCTTGTCAGCGAATGTTAATCTGTACCTGAGACCACTGCTGGTGGGTGAGTGAGTAAAAGAGGGAATCTGAGAATTAGCTGCTTTCTTAAATGTGTTTTCAACCATTCTTCCTGCTTTTAGTCGCACCATCACCTGTCTACTCTTGCTTCTGAGGACTTCTGAGGTTACACGATATAAATTGAGTGCTCCTCTGCTTTTCTCCAGTGCTGGCCCAGCATTCAGCTTCTCTTGGATTTGCTAAATTGGTTACCACTCAGCCATATGCTTTTTTTCCACATCTTCCCACCCCCATTTTAATCCCTGTAAAACAATGCTTCACAACTTGGGCTACTTTGTCCTGCTGGGTATATGCAACATTTTTGGTTGTCCATCAAGGGCGTGTGCTACTACTGGCATCTAGTGGGTAGAGGCCAGAGGTGCTGCTAAACATCCTACAGTGCACAGGACAGCCCACATGAAGGATAATTATCTGGCCCAAAATAGAGCCAAGGTTGAGAAACCACATTTTAAATCGTGTGGCACCTGTTAGTCACGATCAGCAAGGTGGCAGTTATAGTACGTTGTATGAAGTCCTTCTGTTGAAAGTTTCTAATAAAGATCAAGAAAGTACCAGCATCAAATCTTCTTAGATTTAAGGAAATATAGGTATCTTTGGCCAGTCCCTCTCTCCTGAACTCCAGGTGCATATATTCCATCTCTAATCAATATCTCTATTTGGATGTCTAATTGTGTATTATATTTCTCCAGAGAGATAGAACCAATAGGATATGAGTGGGGATTTATTATGGAAATTAGCCCACACCATTATGAAGGCTGAGAAGTCATGTGACAGGCTGTCTGCAAGCTGGAGACCCTAGGATGGTGGTAGTGTGACTTAGTCCAAGTCAAAAAGCCTCGGAACCAGGAAAGCCCATGGTATAATTATCAGTCCTAGGCTGAAGGCCTGGGTACCCAAGGGAGGCTGCTGGTATAAGGCCTGCAGTACAAAGACTGGAGAGCCTGGAGTTCTGATATCCAAGAGTAGGAGCAGAGTGTCCCACCTCTAGGAAGGATAGGGAGGAAATCACCTTTTCTCTGCCTTTTTTGTTCTATCTGGGGCCCTCAGTCAATTGGATAGTGCCTACCCACAATGAGGATGGATCTTCCCCACTCAGTCCTGGTTCACACACCATCTCCTCTGGAAACACTCTCACAGACATACCCAGATGCTTTACCAGTTCTCTAGGTATTCCTTAATCCAATGAAGTTGATACCTAAAATTAACCATCATAAATAGATTGCTCAAATTTAACTGGTCTAAACCTAAAGTCCTGCTCTTTCTCTTCAAACTTATTTCTCCCACTGTCTTCTCTATCTCAAATAATGGATATTCCATCCGTCTAGTTCATCAAGCAAACTCCTTGGAGTCTTTATCTACTTATTTTCTTTCTACCTCCCTTTCAATCCAGCAGCAAATTCTGTTGGCCTTATCTTCAGAATATGTCTAGAATGTGATCACTTCTCACCGCCTTCACTGCCACCAAGCCAATATCATCTTGATTTAGATTTTTGAATAGGCTTCCTTCTGGTCTTTCTGCATTCACCTTTCTCCCTTAACAGTCTATCATCCACACTGCAGCCAGAGTGATCCTTTTGAAAGATAAGTCAGATCATCTCTTTTCAAACCTAAAGGCTTTGCATCTCATGGTATAGCCCAAACCCCTATAATGCCTATAAAGCCTTGCCTGATCTGCTTTCCCATTACCACCTATTTTTCTTCCTTCTGTCCCTTACCCCACTAGCCATACTGTCCCATACTTGTTCTCAGCCAGTAGCCAGAGCCTGCCTCTTAGCCTTTGCACTTATTCAACCCTGCCCAGACGCCTTTCCCCAGTCTTCTGTGTAACATTCTCCTAGCTACCTTCTGGAATTTGCTCAAATGTCACTTTCTTATTGAGGCGTTCTTTGATTATGCTATTTAAAAATGGAGCTCCCCTTACTCTGCCATATTATTACCTTTTTTTTGTTTTGTTTTGTTTTGTTTTGTTTTTTTTGAGACAGATTCTCGTTCTGTCACCCAGGCTGGAGTGCAGTGGTGCCATCTTGGCTCACTGTAACCTCTGCTCCCTGGGTTCAGTGGATCCTCCTGCCTCAGTTTCCTGAGTAGCTGGGTCCTCAGGCATACAATATCATGCCCATTTAATTTGGAATTTGGAATTTTATACATGACAGTGTATTTTTAAAATGAAAATACTTTGTAAAGCTATTAGTTTATAGCAAATTCAAAGGATTTTTTTCATCATAATATACACAATCATCAAGTTTTCTTAAGATTCAGCAAAACCTTTTGCTAAATTTAAAGGAATAGGTAAGGTTGGCACAGTGACTCACGCCTGTAATCCCGGCACTTTGGGAGGCCAAGGCAGGCGGATCACCTGAGGTCATGAGTATCAGACCATCCTGGCTAACATGGTGAAACCCCATCTCTACTAAAAATACATAAATTAGCCAGGCATGGTGGCGGGCACCTGTAATCCCAGCTACTTGGGAGGCTGAGGCAGGAGAATCACTTGAACCTGGGCGGCAGAGGTTGCAGTGAGCTGAGATGATGCCACTGTACTCCAGCCTGGGCGACAGCAAGACTCCGTTTCAAAAAGTAAAATAAAATAAAATAAAGGAATAGGTATCAGATGAAAAAAGAGGCTGAAGATTTAGTGAAATCCAGGGGAAAAGCCTAATTCACACAAACATATTTCAAATAAACCCCCCCAATAATCACTGGCACATATGCCTTGACTCTTATTGTTGGTGTTTCTTGGAAATCTGTGTGTGTGTGTGTTTTTTTTTTCTGCAGAAGTAAAAAGCATCTTTAGGTTTAGGTCTGTTTTTGTTTTGGGTTTGTGGAGGGCTGGTGAAGGACCTTTTTTTTAGACAATAATAGAAATATATTCATGTGGCCTGGTGCAGTGGCTCACGCCCGTAATCCTAATACTTTGGGAGGCCGAGGTGGGCGGATCGTTTGAAGTCAGAAGTTCGAGACCAGCCTGGCCAACATGGTGAAACCCCGTCTCTACTAAAAATACAAAAAAAAAAAAAAATTATCCTGGCGTGGTGGCAGACACCTGCAATTCCAGCTACTCGGGAGGCTGAGGCAGGAGAATCACTTGAATCTAGGAGGTGGAGGTTGCAGTGAGCCAAGATCATGCCACTGTACTCCATCCTGGGTGACAGAGCGAGCCTCCATCTCAAAAAAAAAATGTGTATATATATATATATATATATATATATTCATCTATTTAAAATGAATAGGGGCTATAAAACAAAAAGAAATAGTTTTAAAAACATTTACAGATTTACCGGCTATATAATATCCAGTAGAAGGAGAGTAGAATAAAGAGAAAAGGGGGCAAAATAGAAAAATTGAGTGCTTGTTCTGTTAGCCATTGTGCTTTATGTCTTAACACACATTGTGCAGAGCCCAACACCTTGTGGAGGGCATGGTTATCCCTCTTTTACAATGGAAGGAACGGAGGTAGAGAGTGACTAAATAACTTGCCCAAGGGTTTGAACCCAAACATACTGGTTGTAGAGCTCATACCACCATATCATGCTACTTCATCACAGAACTGAAGGAAAATCAAGACAAGTAGACTGGCCAGTGCTCTCAGAGCCGGACCTAGATACAGAACTAACTACATGGGCAGGAGAGAAAAAGGCAAAGAGATGTATGTAATAGCATCCCCATCTTGTGGTGTTTTTGTATTTTTTAAAAATATTTTAAGGAAAATTAAGGTAAACTCTAGCTCTAAACTAAATAAAGCTTAAATAAAATTAAGATGAGGGCTGGCAGGTTCCCACTCTTCGTAGTAATATTAATCGTTCATAATTTTTATACCAACCTTTGAAGATCAATGCTGTGAGTACCCCGATTTTACATGTGAGGAAACAGATTAAATGATAGGCCCAGAATCACCTTGCCAATAAATGGCCACGCTGGGGCTTGAACCCAGGCACTCTAGCACCAGGGTCTCCATTCTTAACCATCATGCTATACTTATTTTCAACATACTATTTGTGGAAAATGCATACGTGTGTCAGTAAAGATGATGGAAATCTATTTTATTGAAACACTAATGAGTGGTCATAAGCCTCCACTTCTTTCCAGTTGTAATCTAAAGTGTTAGCTATCACAAGGAAGTGTTTTATTTGTAACCACTACTTTGGTACAAGGCCATTTCTTTATAATGGTTTGGCTCCTGTGTTCAGATAAATGGTTTTTACTTTTTTTATTTTTTATTATTTATTTTTTGAGACAGGGTCTTGCTCTTTTGCCTAGGCTGGAGTGCAGTGGTGCAATCTCAGCTCACTGCAGCCTCCACCTCCTGGGTTCACGCAATTCTCGTGTCTCAGCCTCCCTAGTAGCTGTGACTATAGGCGCGCACCACCACACCCGGCCTGTCTTTATAATTTTTTAGAGACGGCGTTTTGCCCTGTTGGCCAGGCTGGTCTCGAGCTCCTGACCTCAAGTGATTCACCCGCCTGGGCCTCCCAAAGTGCTGGGATTACAGGCATGAGCCACTGCTCCTAGCCAGATCAATGCTTTTTAATATGTGCACTCCCACCCCAACCCCAAGGACTCTGGCTTGTAAATGGCACTTTGTTTTAACATGTTACAGATTCAGTTCAAGAAAGTAGTGATTCATAACTTACTTTGCAGAGATTTGTGGTGAGTTTTTATAAGATTGATAGAAAGTTTTTATCAAACACAAATGGCGCAACACTTTGTAATACAAATGAAAGTTTTCAAAACTGAGAAAATGTACAGCAAAATTTATACAGAGAATTGACCTTTAAATTCATTTTTTTTCCCCATGGGAGACTCACTGGACATTTTTGTTACGTATTTTGAGCACAGCTTTTAGATTTATGAACGTAGTGATAAAGAGTACGTAAATATTAGACTTGGAGCAGATAATATTTTTTGGTAAGAAAATAAGTACTTTATGGAAATAGACCTCATATTAAAAAGCTATATTATTCTATAATCCCTTTTTATTCATGTTAATGTAACCTAAATTTTTAATCTTTGTTTATTTACTATTTTGTATTGTTTTTGTCACTTCACATATATCCTTTTCTGGTAAGGGTACACTGAATAATAGCTATAGTATTCCGTCATACTGTTTTATATGTAACATAGGCAATCATCTCTTGTTGAATACTTCAGATTTAATTTTTTTTTTTTTTTTTTGAGTCAGTCTTGCTCTGTTGCTCAGGCTGGAATACAGTGGCGCCATCTCGGCTCACTGAAACCTCTGGCCTCAGGGTTCAAGCAATTCTTCTGCCTCAGCTTCCGGAGTAGCTGGGTGGGACTACAGGCACGAGTCACCACCCCTGGCTATTTTTTGTATTTTCAGTAGAAATGGAGTTTCACTATGTTGGCCAGGCTGTTCTTGAACTCCTGACCTCAAGTGATGCGCCCGCCTCAGCCTCCCAAAGGGCTGGGATTACAGGCGTGAGCCACCGTGCCCAGCCCAGATTTAGGCTTTTAGAAAGTTTAGCCAGTAAGCATTTGGAAATATAATGGACACTTGTGCAAGATTGAGTCCAGAAAGAATAGATTTTTTAAAGAAAAATTATTTTGAAATAATATACTTACAAAACCTTTAAAGAATAGTACAAAGAACTCATGAAATTCATTTGCCAGATTCAGTAATTTTTAACATTTTACCACATTATTTTTCTGTGTCTATATTTATTTTTCCTGAATCATTTGAGAGTTGGTTACGTTTATCATTCCCGTATATTCGTTAATACTTCAGTATCTGTTTCCTAAGAACAGGGTTATTGGCAGTATAGATTTGATAGGCCTCCTGTTGATGTAGTAATTGAAACAGAATATGCTTAATGAGAAAATACACAGGGAAAAACAAAAACAATCTTGGTCTGGCCAAGCATGTGGCATGCAGGCCAAGCAGAAAGTTATTCATATATTCTGTAAATATTTGAGCGCCTAGGGCACTGTGGTGGGGTGTAAGGGATAAAACTGGAATATAATACACAATGTTGGCTGGGCGCAGTGGCTCACGCCTGTAATCCCAGAACTTTTGGAGGTGGAGGTGGGCAGATCACTTGAGGTCAGGAGTTCAAGGCCAGCCTCACCATCATGGTGACATCCCATCCCCACTAAAAGTACAAAACTAGCCAGGTGCGGTGGCGGGTGCCTGTAATCCCAGCTACTCAGGAGGCTGAGGCAGGAAAATTGCTTGAACCTGGAAGGCAGAGGTTGCAGTGAGCTGAGATCGTGCCACTGCAGTCCAGCCCGAGCGACAGAGTGAGACTCCATCTCAAAAAAGAAAAACAAAAAAAAACAAAAAATGATGTCCTTATGAAGTGATAATTTATTGTATGGAGGGATGGAGGGGAGGATATAGACAACCAAACAAGTGATTTTGGTACAGTGTGGTAGGAACTATGATGGAAAAGAGAGAAAACCTTTTTGGTTAAAAAGTTCTTGATGACAAGCCGGGCTCAGTGGCTCGTGCCTGTAATCCCAGCACTTTGGGAGGCCAAGGAGGGCGGATCACGAGGTCAGGAGATTGAGACCATCCTAGCTAACACTGTGAAACCCCGTCTCTACTAAAAATACAGAAAAATTAGCCGGGCTTGGTGGCAGGCGCCTGTAGTCCCAGCTACTCGGGAGGATGAGGCAGGAGAATGGCGTGAACCCAGGAGGTGGAGCTTGCAATGAGCTGAGATCGTGCCACTTGCACTCCAGCCTGGGCGACTGAGCAAGACTCCGTCTCAAAAAAAAAAAAAACAAAAAGTTATTGATGACTTTGAGAATGAATTACAGAATACATTATAACTCAAAGGATGAAGGCTTTAGGGAAGAAATTGCAAGAAATTAAGGGAAAAATGAGTGGCTGGGAAGTGGAGGAGGCACCTTCTAGCATGAATTAAGGGAATTTGGCAGTGGAGAGGAGAAACAGTTTAACAAGAGGAGGGTACCCAGAAGAACTGAACATTTTCCTCTTCTCCTCACCCCCAATGTACTGATTAGTTGAGTATCAGAGACTAAAGATACTTTCTCTTTAGGAGGGGGAAATGAATGGGATCTAGAACATGCTTAGCTTTGGGAGGGGAAACAAAACACATTATTCATCTAGAATTCGAGGGGAGGATAAAAATATGGGTATAATTACAAGGTACATTCTAATGATGAAGATCCTCATGATAAATGGATGTAGCTTTCTCACATGGAGGGAAGTGCAGTCATATGAAGAGAGGGAAGAGGGAAGCTAGAAGCTTGAAGAACATAGAGACTTAGAACAGGTATAACATAAGGGGAAAAATTAATAAGAGCACTGCCAAACAGTGGTTAAGGACCAGTTGAGGTTTGTTAGCATGAATTGGTATTAGACATAATGTTTCTGCACAATTATTTCATAGAACTCTACTATCCAGAAGTGGAGTGAGGTTATCCTTAAATTATCAAGGGTTAGGATCATCTGGGTCTTACCTTTATAATTTTTGCGTATAAGAGAATGAAAGGTAATTGCATGCAACTTTTCATTACTATTTTGTTTCATTACTGTTTTGTTTCACTTCATTGATCTTTTTCTCTTCCTGCATGGTAATGAGAACTGCCCGTTTCACCTCCTTTACCTATCATTTTCTTCCTTACTGCATTTTCACAGCATGCTATTTCTCTGAGATGTTCCAGCAAGCAGGCCAAGCGTCATATTGACTTCACAGAAGAACAGGCTGAGCTGACACCTGTAAGTTCTATAAACATGCCATGGCATGACTTAATGAAGAGGAATGCATTCATTAGACCTCCAAATGATGAAACCTTTTCATATAACTTCAGTTTTTCAAATAAAAATTAAACCAAACTTAATAAATTAGCAAAAACAAATAAGCAACTTTAGATATGGTACAACTGAATATTAATACTCCTGGTATGATTATGTAGGTGGTAGCATAATTGATATAGATGATTTTTGTATTAGAACCTGAAACAACATGCCTTCTTTATTCTGAAACTAAGGGCTTTTGTAAATTTCTTAAGATACTAACAAATTGAATTGTTCTTTACAGCAGAGCTACCAAATGGAATGATTCTTCTGCACTGATGCTTAACTGAAAGCCTAGTTTCTTTCTTAAAAAAATTTATTCTTTGGTCATTTTTTTTGCCATGCCATTTGCCATGGTTGGCAAATCTGGATGCTTCAGAGGTGTACTGTCCCATACGGTAGCCACTAGCCACGTGTGCCTATTAAATATTTAAAATGTGGTTAATCTGAATTGTGTGCTGTAAGGATAAAATACATACTGGACTTCAAAGACTTACTATGAAACAAAAATGTAAAAAAAATCTCGTGGCCGGGTGTGTTGGCTCATACCTGTAATCCCAGCACTTTGGGAGGCCGAGGTGGGCAGATTACTTGAGGCCAGGAGTTCAAGACCAGCCTGGCCAACATGACGAAACCCCATTTCTACTAAAAATACAAAAATTAGCCAGGCTTGGTGGCACATGCCTGTAATCCCAGCTACTCAGGAGGCTGAGGCAGAAGAATTGCTTGAACCCAAGAGGCGGAGGCTGCAGTGAGCCAAGATAACAGTGAGCCAAGATCACACCACTGTACTCCAGCCTGAGTGACGGAGCAAGACTTAAAAAAACAAAAACAACAAAATTTATTTGTATTTATTACTTGTTAAAATTTTGGATATTTTTGGTTAACTAAAATATATGAATATTTCAGTTTTTTCTTTTTATACTTTTTAAAATTAATGTGGCTAACAAAATTTTAAATTACCTTTGTGATGATTTCTAACACCATCTTTACTGTCCAAGTGAAATTTGTAAATAATATAACCTACTTACATACCTACTTTTTTATATGAATGTAATGCCCCAACACCTATGAAGGAGAAATAATGAAAAAGAAATTTATAATAAATAATATATCTGTTTTAGTATGTAAATGCTTAGCTGCCACTATTAAAAGACATAATGAAGTAGTCAAACCTTACACCTACCTATAATCAAGAACTTTGGGTTTAAGAGAAGTGAGATCAGAAGCCTTTTTTTTTTTTTTTTTATACAAGAAGTGTAGGAAAAAGAACAGAAATATGAGTGGACCCCAGAACTGAAACATGTTATAAGTGATAGCAGATAATGACATACTTGTATATACTATGAGAAAAAGGGAAATAATCTTAATTGAAGTAGGGATAATGTGCTGAGACAGTTTATAGGCAAGTAGAGAAAATGGGAGCATGTAAAATTCTTGCAAATGAGATAAGATTATTTATAATTGTAATGACAAAATAATTTCAGTGTTATAATGTGGGATGAGATGGTAGTAATAAAATCATTTGATATCTGATTTTTTTTACAGTGTAGATTTTTCATCATGCTATATATTTTATTTCTTTTTTTTTGAGACGGAGTCTCGCTCTGTCACCCAGGCTGGAGTGCAGTGGCGCGATCTTGGCTCACTGCAAGCTCCACCTCCCAGGTTCATGCCATTCTCCTGCCTCAGCCTCCCAAGTAGGTGAGACTACAGGCACCCGCCACCTCGCCCAGCTAATTTTTTGTATTTTTAATAGAGACGGGGTTTCACCATGTTAGCCAGGATGGTATTGATCTCCTGACCTTGTGATCCTCCCGCCTCGGCCTCCCAAGGTGCTGGGATTACAGGCATGAGTCACTGCGCCCGGCCATATTTTATTTCTTTAAGATGCAGTCTTGCTCTGTTGCTCAAGCTGTAGTACAGTGGTGCCATCTCGGCTCACTGCAATCTCTGCCTCCTGGGTTCAAACGATTCTCCCGCCTCAGCGTCCCAAGTAGCTGCGACTACAAGTGTGCTTCACCACACCTGGCTAATTTTTGTATTTTTAGTAGAGATGGCGTTTTGCCATGTTGGCCAGGCTGGTCTTGAACTCCTTGCCTCAGGTGATCCACCTGCCTCAGCCTCCCAAAGTGGTGGGATTACAGGCATGAGCCATCACTCCCGGCCTTCTGTGCTATGTATTTTAAATATGACAACAGTAGTATGAAATATTTTAAAACAATTTTTACTAATAACGTTAATTTCATGTTTTCACTAATTTAATATTATTTTGCTTTTAATTCTGTTCAAAGGAATTCCAAATATCTCCTATCATTTACTGGCATGTGACAGAGTGTACACTGCCAGTTGTGGTACTGGCAACTCTTACTTCAAGCTAGTTTTCCATTGGTGAAATTATTTTCCAACATTATGAACAGCTGTTTGTAAGCTCAGAACAAAAGAAAGTGCAGACTTCTTTCCATTTATTTTAGAGGGTAATAGCATCCTGGAAAATTCATTCAGTATTAAAATTATGCAAAAATACTTTTTAGATGTAAAATGAAATTAGATTCTAAGCTCAGATTGTTATAAGCAAGATTTCCCATCTCTGCGACTCTCCGTGTAAGGACATTTAACAATTGTGGAATGTGGGACTTTTGTTGTTACTGACATTGTACCATGCTTGCAAGGCATCTTGCATTTTCAACTTCCCAATAAATACCAGTAACTCTCCCTCTCCTCTTCATTGTGGCAGCCCAGAATGTCCTTAACATTTTCTGAAATTCCTGCTTGAGGACAGAGCTACCCTCTTTTGAGAACCACTGGTCTCAAATATCCCTTTGCCCTCTTTCTACCCTGCCACACTCCCTCACACTGCGACCCCAGCAGCCTCTTAATCATCCTCCAGGACTGTAGCTTTTTCAGAATTACTTTATTAAGCCGCTAATTTGGGGTTAGATACCCGTCTCCTTGCTCACCTACCACTTAACACACTGTTTTGTAGTTGCAAGTTGGTCTGCATCTCCCTATTTAGACTACATTCTGTGAGGCAAGGAATGCCCATCTTGGTCACCTTTGCATCTCTAATGCTGGCATGGTTCCACACTCAAAAGTTGGAGCCTAAAAAATGGTTGAATACATGAAGAGGAAAACAGAGAAATAAAATAAATCAATAAAATGGATTGAAAATAAGCCCTTGACTTTGTGTCTATAGTTGGTAAATAAAAGAAAATATAAGAAGGCCCTGTTTATATGAAGCTGTATGCATTTTTATTAACTCACAACATAAACCAAGACTGAAGCCTGATTGGATGCCATGCCCAAACCATAATTTTTTTTTAATTAAACGTTTAAAATATATTTCTAAACAGAATGGCCTTACTCAGTTACAGTAAGATCTCCATAGCAGAGCAACCCACAAAGACACAGCACTGATTTTTTTCCCCTGTAATCAAGGGTGAAAAATATACAACTTGTTTCTGAACCAAAACCACAATTTCTGCAGTTTAAAATGTTTCACTGATAATACGGCCCTGGTAGAAATTATGTAGTTTTAAAACTACATAATTTACTCTCCTTAGTCCTTCAGCTGTGCACCACTCTTCTCATCCCTCTTGCATCCTTCCAGTAACCAGTTTCACCCCACCCCTGCCCCTTTTTTCTGAAGAGCAAGGAATTCTAGGATCAGTGTTATGACTGGTACCAATTGGAAGAAGATACTTTATTTTTTGAGACAGGGTCTCGCTCTGTTGCCCAGGCTGGAATGCAGTGGCATAATCTTAGCTCACTGCAGCCTTAAGCTCCTGGGCTCAAGTGGTCCTCCTATCTGAGCCTCCTGAGTAGCTGGGATTACAGTTCAAGCCACCATGCCCAGTGGAGTTTGCTGCCTCGGGTTTCCACATGTTTGTTGTTTCTGCTAGTAACTAAATAGTGAATAGCTACGTAACCATCCATGCAGGATATAATTTATGATCATGTTTAACTATTGTTTGTGGTCTCATTTTTTGAATGTGGCATATTTTGGGACCACCAACCATAATGATTACCCTCTTTTTATTTTAAGCTATTTGAATATCTTAATATTTCAAAATGGACTTCTATTTCTGTGTCATTAATCAGATACAATTAAATATCATTGCCTCATACTTAACCAAATTATCAGTTTTTTGATGACTTGAAGTCTTGAGGTCATGAGTTTGAGAACTGATTAAATCTTGTGTTTTTAAGAATTAAATTTGAATTTGATGTTTGGAATTACATTTACCAAATCATAGTTTGTTTTGATGGCCTGAGGCAGATTTTATTTTTTTAAATTTGAAATATAATGATCTGAATATAGATAATCTACTCACTTGGAGATAATTTTTCTAAAAAAGTAACTTTTATAAGATAAATACAGTAAGTTTTCAAGAAAGTAATTTCTTGAAATACATGTTACATGTTTTACATAGTAATTGTGTAGCAGTACATGTTTACCCATTATATTTGAATAGCTAAAAATGAATGGGAATAAGAGCAATGAAAGTTATAGTTGCTCTTTTATTTTTAAGTGAAAGCAAGTTTATTAGAGAAGTAAAGAAACGTGGCTGGGCACAGTGGCTCACGCCTATAATCTCAGCACTTTGGGAGGCCAAGGCGGGCGGATCACCTTAGGTCAGGAGTTCAAGACCAGCCTGGCTAACATGGCGAAACTCTGTCTCTAATAAAAATACAAAATTAGCCGAGTGTGGTGGCCCATGCCTGTGATCCCAGCTACTCAGGAGGCTGAGGCAGGAGAAGCGCCTGAAGCTGGGAGGCAGAGGTTGCAGTGAGCTGAGATCACGCCACTGCCCTCCAGTCTGGGTGAGAGAGGGAGACTCTGTCTCAAAAAAATAAAAAAAAAAAAAAAGAACTAAAGAAACCAAAGAATGGCTACTCTTACAAATTGTGCTTTTTGTTCTTTGTTTTTCCCAATTCCCTCCCTCCTCCTTGGCTGTGCATTAACCTCAAACTAAATTGAATTTTCAGAAATTACTACTTACCTAGTGTCTTTATGGAGGAGCCAATCAGTCTTACCTTTAGGAGGACTACACAATCTAGTTAAATGAGGACCTAGGGATAGTTCTCTATGTTCTTGTTATTGTTTGACTTTGTTAGTGCTAATCTTGATGAATATGTCCAATTAAAAAAATTGGACCTTAGGTTTCTTTTTTTTTTTTTAAAGAATGGGTGAGAGGGGCATTTATGCTTATAAAGTTTACCTTGCATTAAAACACAGCTTTAAAAATGCAGACAATAAAATACCATATAGCAAACTTAACATAGTATAGATGTGAGCAAAGATTATATTGTCTTCTGTAACATGTTTTTAATCTTGAAGTAGTGTATTTTATCTATGACCGTGTATGTACTTTTTTTTTTTCTTGAGACAAGAGTTTCACTTGTCGCCCAGGCTAGAGTGCAATGGCACAATTTCGGCTCACTGAAACCTCTGCCTCCCAAGTTCAAGCGATTCTTCTGCAGCAGCCTGCTGAGTGGCTGGGATTACAGGCTCCTGCCAGCACACCCAGCTAATTTTTGTATTTTTAGTAGAAACGGGGTTTCACCATGTTGACCAAGCTGGTCTTAAACTCCTGACCTCAAGAGATCTGCCTGCCTTGGCCTCCCAAAGTGCTAGGGGCCATGTACTTTCTTATAGGGGGTGCTGCTCTAGTATTTGTTTGCATTAGTTTCTTTCCAAAGAATTTCCAAGAATAACTTAACCTGTATTTAGATTTATAAAATATAACAATATTTTCTATACTTTTACTCAGCTGTATTGTACATTTTTTTAAATGGTGATAAGTAACTATGTACTGTTAAATACTAATTTGGAATTTTTTCATGAGAGGCCAGTCCAAATTACATGTATATATCAAAACAACTACAATTTAAGGATAAATGAAATACAATTGTATTAACTTATCTTACAACATGTTACTGAAAAGTTAAGGGGAGAATGATAGGGACCATGCCATTTACAAATTATTTTCACGAAAACAGTTACTTGAATTAATTTAAGTGTGTGACACTTCTGAATATTTTGTTCATGTCATTCATTTGCTCTGCAAATTCTTTACTGTGCAGTATACTCCTATTTTTATTCTGATAATAATGAGTGGGTTAATAAAGTTTTACTGAAAACAGGTGTGTCCATTAGGCAAAATATTGATGGATATTTTTCGTCTTGGTGCAGCTATCATTGAATTGATCAGAAATACTTGGATAAGCTTTTAAAAATGATGTCGTCTTATTCTAACCGAAATATACTATTTAAAGCTATATAGGTCTTCATAGGCTTTAACAAGAGAAAGGGAGTTTAGTCATTGGTCTCTGACATTCATTTATTTGTGTGCTGTGCACAGCATTCATGAGCATTGGCCTAGAAGGCAGACTGGCTCTGCAGTCTGCATGTACTACCCATTTTCCCAAAGAGGGAGGGATCAGCAGGAGTCAGCTGGGACACGCCTACTGGCACGGATGATGTCTTTACCTCCCTGCTCCTTTTCTTTTTCTTTTTTTACATTTTCTTTGTGGAGATATTTCACTCAACTTAGGGAAAAGATATGAGATTAATTATAGAGAATCATTCTTGCTTTGTCTACTTTATGTTTTAAACACATAAAACCTCCACTGACTTCTGTTATTGCCTTTTTTTGTTTGTTTTTCTCTTTTCTGAACAAGCACTCCTATCTGGACAGGGAAACCTCCCTTCTTCTGAGAAACATTGCAGGAAAACCTTCTCATTTGCTGACCAAGGTGATACTTCTTCCACATGCATGTAACTATTTACTGCCTTGTAGGTAGAATATGATTTCTGTTTTTGATCATGCTCTTATATTATTATTTTCTTACTCTAGCATCTTTGTCATTAATATACTTTTTCTTTTACAGATGGTAATTATTTACTGATCTTAATGACTGTCAGGCAATATTGAGAGTACAAAATATTTTCAGTAATTTTCATTAGTTTTTAAACTTTTGTAAATGCCTAATAGTCTTCCCAAGTATGTTGCACTTTTTCTAGTTTAACACTGTTGCATTTTAAAGTCTAAAAAACATTGCTTTAATTGTAACTTTTACTGCTAATGGTTGTCCATACTCTGGGTTTCTTTAGCAAACTTTGCTTCCTAGTTCTTGTTTATATTATCACCTCCTCATTTAATTAAAACATTTACTCATATAAACAGAATCTTAGTTAATATTAACTTAGTCAAATTGAAAGAGGAAGCTGCAATTTTAATTGCCCGGTTCTCTGCCCTTGGAATGTTTTGAATCAGTCCAGCCAGATTTTCACTGGGCTGGTATTTTATATCCATTTGAAATATTTTAGCCATTGTCATCATTAACTAGGGAATAATACAGTAGGGAAGCTGAGTTGCTTTCTACCTCTTTTTAAGTCATGTTTTTATTTCATTAGCTTATTTAAATAATGTTAAATTCAAGAATATCAGACATATTTCTGAAAAATATACAGTTATGGGTAATGTCCCTAAGTTGTTGTTATTGTATCTGAGGTTTGTTTGCTTTAATTTCTTTCTAACCTTGTACATTTATGAAAGAAGATGGTAGACCAAAATGAAAATCTGCCCAAGAAGCAGCTCAAAGAAAAGACCCTTTAACAAAGTCAGCAGTGGGACCCTTTCTCTACCCTGAGTTTCTCTTTTTAAAGCAGATCTATGACTGGTGGTAGAAATTTAAAGATCAGGGAAGTGTAGAAGTCTAAGCTGGTCAGTGTAGAAGTCTAAGTCTAGCTCTTTTTCCTTTTTCCTCAGCTCTTCCCTCTTCGTTCTCTATTTACTCTTTCCCTAGAGTCCACACTTGTATCTTCAGCTAGGATCTCTATTCTAGATGGATCTGTCTCCCAAGAGCACATTTCCAAACAGCTGTTAGGCATTTCCTAGAAGATCACCAACATCTTACAAGCACCTTAAATCCCACAGGTGTTTAGCCTACTTACCTACATTATCCCTGGGCTCCATAATTTATATCTGTTGTCATCTTTTCTGTTTCTGTTTAGGATGCTGACATTCTTCTAATTACCAGGTTTAAGCCCTCTGATCATCTTTGCTACCTTTCTTCTCATTTAATGTCTCCAATTTCTAATGAAGCTTGTGTTAATCTGTAGGATTTACTGAGCTCACCCATTTGTTGCATTCCCATTACCACCATTCTACTACAGGCTCACTCTTAGCTCTTTATTATTGCCCGTCCCCCTTCCAATCCATTTTATACACAGCTCTCAGATGAAGTTTGCCATTTTACCATTTTCATTGCCAATTCAACAATATTTATTGAGCCATGAACTGCCAGGTGCTGGGATAGAACATTGCATAAAATATACCTGTTCCTCACCCTCGAGCTCACAGTCTGTTTATGAAGATAGATAATAAACAGTGACAAGCAAGCATGTAAAGAAGTTCTAAATCATGTTAAGTGCTATGAAGGAAAGAAAGGAGTAGAACATACTGGGAAAAAGATTGGGGTACATTTTATTTAGATGATGAGATCAGCGGGTTCTAGGAGGGTAATATTTAAGCTAAAGCCTGAAGGATGCAAAGAAACCAGCCTGGGGCTTAAGGGAGTGTTCCATGTACATAAGTCAAGGAAAAGAGCTTGGCATGTTTGAGAGGTTGAAAAAAGACCGTTTTGCCAGTCACCCTAGTTGAGTGAAAGTACAAGTGTCTTGATTGGGGTTTGGGGAGGTAGGCAGGAGAAGCCAGATCACTCAAGCCACACCGAGGCTTTATTTTTCTCTAACTGTAGCTGGAAACCATTGAAAAGAATAAATAACTTCATTTATCCATTCAACAAATATTTACTGAGTATCTACTATGTGCCAGACAATGTTTATGACCCTGGAGATACAGCAGTGAACAAAACAAAGTTCCTACCATAGGCAGTGTTATTCTTTGCAAGTTTTGGATAAACATGGTCAGTGGCTCATGCCTGTAATCCCAGTACTTTGGGAGGCTAAGGCAGGTGGTGGAGTTCAAGCCCAGGAGTTCAAGACCAGCCTGCCTAACATAGTGAAACCCCATCTCTACAAAAAAAATACAAAAATTAGCCTGGCGTGGTGGTGCATGCCTGTAGTCCCAGCTACTCAGGAGGCTGAGGTGGGAGAATCACCTGAGCCTGGGAGGTCGAGGCTGCAGTGAGCCATGATCACACCACTGCACTCTAGCCTGGGTGACAGAGTGAGACCCTATCCCCCTGCCAAAAAACAAAAAGTTTAAAAATAAACCACAGTCATTCCTTGGTATACATAGGGAATTGCTTCCAGGACCCAAATCAATACCAAAACCTGCACGTACACAAGTCCTGAAGTTGGTCCTGAGACCTTGGACATGAAAAGTCCTCCTGTATATAGCGAATTTTTAAAATTTTTATTATTATTTTGAGACAGAGTCTTGCTGTGTCACCCAGGCTGGAGTGCAGTGGTGCCATCTTGGCTCACTGCAACCTCCACCTCCCAGGTTCAAGGAATTCTCCTGCCTCAGCCTCCTGAGTAGCTGGGATTACAGGCATGTGCCACCACGCCCAGCTAATTTTTGTATTTTTTTTTTTTTAGTAGAGACGGGGTTTCGCTATCATGGCTAGGCTGGTCCTGAACTCCTGACCTCAGGTGATCTGCCCGCCTCAGCCTCCCAAAGTGCTGGGATTATAGGCGTGAGCCACCATGCCCAGCCTGTATAGGGAATTTTGCATCCTGAGAATACTATATTTTTTATCTGAGTTTGGTTGGGAATGCAGAGCCCTCCAGTATGGAGGGTCAAATGTATTTATAGAAAAACATTTACACATAAGGACACTAGTAGCTCAGACTCAGGTTCAAGGATCAGCTATAGTTGTTAATTATTTTGATTCTAAGCAGTGCTATTTAATGACCCTTAAGCTGTTTATATCTTTCCAAGTTCTATTTAAATCATTTTAATTTACATTGTATTGCAATATATGAATTAAACTAGATCCTGAAGGAATTCTTAACCACTGTTTAGCCCCTTAATTTCAACTGGGTTTGTTCTGAACCCACAAAGCTTAAGCTTCCCAGTTGAAGGAACAACTTAGCAACAGTAGCACTTTCTGTAAGTATTCTAATTTTTACACCATAGAGAAAGTTCTAACACTTTGTAGCCACAGTGTTGGCTTTCATTTAATCATAGGATCTTCACCTAGTTTTTGTCTTTACGTAAATTTGAGGAGGCTTGGCATTGGTGGTTATTGATAGCCACATAGGAGTTTTTCAGTAGAAAATAGATTGTCTCTTGCTCTTTTAAGAGAAGGTATGGGAGAGAAATTTAAGTTTTTACATATGTGAGGTATTTTTTACTTAAGTTTAATATAGTTGTGAAGAAAGGGACAGTCCAAGGATATGGGGCAGAAAACTTAACACCTGACTTTGGAAGCGGAACATAAGATGAATAAAGCTTTGTCTTTTGTATTAAACTTGGGCTGTAAACATTGAATGTAGATTTGCATTGCCTTTATAAATAAACTATTGGAGGTGTTCTAAGTATGTCATCTAAACGTATCAGCAAACATTTATTTTTCCTGTATTATACAACACCCCATGAGCTTAAGACAATTTCTATTTTTCCCAGGTTGTTAATAGTTAAAAGATATGGTGATTGCTTAAATACATTAGACACAAATAGCACTCTCTGAGAAAGAGCTTATTACCCACAGGAAGCATAAAAATATTAGGAGTCTTGCAATTTGACATAAACATTTTCATTTCCAGTTTTGTTCCAGGGATGATACTCAGACTCTAAAAGAGGTATCATGATCAGTTCTGTTTCTTCAAAAAGCTGCTAGCAAGGGTTATCCTTTAATAAAACTAGAGAAGTATAAACTAAAATATGCCTAGGTTGAAGTTAACCCAGCTCTTAATTTCATACAGTTTTAACATGGACCACTTTATGTAAGCATAAAGAGTAGCATTTTGAGCAAATGGAAGAGCAGCTGGGATTTGGATTTGTTAAAATAGCCCCCATCTAGCTGCTTTATAAAAATTTCTTATTGACAGTTAGGAAATCTAATTGGTTTAATGTATGTTAGTTGGTTACACGGGTCTCTTCTTTGTTTAATCCCTATGTCCGTTGTGTCAACTTTTTTTTTTTGAGACGAAGTCTTGCTGTGTCACCCAGGCTGGAGTATAGTGGTGTGATCTCTGTTTACTGCAACCTCCGTTTTCTGGTTTCAAGCAATTCTCCCTTTCTCAGCCTCCTGAGTAGCTGGGATTACAAGCGCCCACCACTGCACCCAGCTAATTTTGGTGTTTTTAGTAGAGACAGGGTTTTGCCATGTTGGCCAGCCTGGTCTTCAACTCCTTATCTGCCCGCTTGGCCTCTCAAAGTGCTGGGATTACAGGCATGGGCCACCATGCCTTGCCGGTGTTGTACATTCTATGCATATTGGCAAATATATGTGATAACATGTATCCACCATTGTTTTATCATACAGAATAGTTTCACAGCCCTTAAATCCTCCGTGCTCTGCCTATTCATTCCTCCTTCTTAACCCCTGGCAACTACTGATCTTTTTATCGTCTTTATGGTTTTGGCTTTTCCAGTGTCATGTAGTTAGAATTGTACACTAAATATCTTTCTGAGATTGGCTTCTTTCACTTAGTATTACACACTTAATGTTCCTTCATGTCTTTTCATGGCTTGAGAGCTCATTTCATTTTAGTGCTGAATAATATTCCATTGTCAGGATGCACCATAGTTTATTTATTACTTACTGGGTGACGTCTTTGTTGCTTCCAAGTTTTGGCACTCATGAATAAGGTTGCTATAAACATCCATGTGCATGTCTTTGTAGGCATCAGTTTTCAACTCATTTGGGTAAATACCAAGGAGCACAATTGCTGAATTGAATTGTATGGTAAGAGTACATTTAGTTTTGTAAAAAACTGCCAAAACTGTCTTCCAAAGTGACTGTACCATTTTATATTCCCACTAGCAATGAATGAGAGTTCCTATTGTTCCACATCCTTGGCAGCATTTGGTGGTGTTAGTGTTTTGGATTTTGGCCATTCTGATAGGTGTGTAGTGGTATCTCATTTTACTTGTAATTCCCTAATGACAAATAATGTTGAACATCTTTTTATATGCTTATTTACTAGCTGTCTTCTTTAGTGAGGTATCTTTTCAGGTCTTTTGCCTATTTTTAAAATCATGTTCATTTTTGTTTTAAAGAATTTTAAGAGCTCTCTCTCTCTTTTTTTTTATAACAGTTCTTTATCAGATACGTCTTTTGCAAATATTTTTTCTCCCAGTTTATCCCTTGTCTTCTCATTCTCTTGAATATTCCTTTTTTCTCAGAAATATGTTCAGCTTTGAGGGCATCTTGTAAACTTTTAAAATGTTAAATTTATAGATTATGTAATACCATAAAGAATTTGGCCTTTTAGAAGTTCATGTTTGGCTGGGCATGGTGGCTCATGCCTGTAATCCCAGCACTTTGGGAGGTCTAGGCAGGTAGATCACCTGAGGTCAGGAGTTTGAAACCAGTCTCGCCAACATGGCGAAACCCTGTCTCTTCTAAAAATACAAAATTAGCCGGGCATGGTGGCGGGCATCTGTAATCCCAGCTACTTGGGAGGCTGAGGCAGGAGAATCGCTTGAACCCGGGAGGTGGAGGTTGCAGTGAGCCAAGATCATGCCACTGCACTCCAGCCTGGGCAACAGAGCAAGACTCCATCATCTCAAAAAGAAAAAAGTTCATGTTTATATTCCAAATATACAAAACATTGATTCCACATATCAGTTTTTCCTCTTCAGACTTTAAATTTACTTTTCAGGAATATGAAGTGAAACCTGCAAATATACCTTGGTAAACTTTCTTTGCAATTCATGCCAATATAAGGATGCGGCAAATGAGCCATGAGGAACATAATAAGATCATTATCCCATTGAGAAAATATTCATGAAACTTCTGCCTCCTTCTTTCTCTTCCCCTAAATTTGTCAAGTAACTGATTTCATAAAAACTGCTGGAAAATGCTAGTATTGCAGATTCCTTTATAAAGTAGTGCTCTGTTCATCAAAAACGCATATAAGTTTTGGTAATTTACCTAACAATTTGTTTCTGTAAGACTCATAATTCTAAAAACTGAGAGTTTTAATGACAGTAATTTAGTTTTCTCGTTTCATAGCTTGTTTTAAAAAGAGAAAAATTTGTATCTTAAAACGTAAACATGTTTTATAATTCTGCTATTTGTTTATTTGCATAAAGGATTTTTTAAAAAAATAGGATGATTTAATCTTTTAGTCAGAGGAATATATAATAGTATAAGAATTCAGTCTCGTCTTAGCCCTCTCCATTTTAAAAATAAAGTTCTTTGTTTTCTGCCTAATTGAGTTTACAGATAGTATTTCCAGACCCTGGTTATTATGGTAATTCATTGGCTCCTTTCAATGGAAGGGATCAGCTTTCTGGCAACCAAGCCCACTGCCTTCCCTAACCACTGTTTTCTTCTCTGTTCCACAAAATAGTAAATACTAAGCTTGAAATGATGGGAGACAGCCTAGAGTATAAAATAGAAAAGTAGTTCATAAATAAGAAAGCCAACAGAATTTAGGCAGACAGAATAAATCTATGAACTGAATTGAGTTTCTCTTTTTGTTTTTTGCCCTGGAAGCTTTAGCTTTTTAATGAATAACATATGGATTGTGGTTTTCATCACAATGCAGAGAGGATAAAGTTTGGCTGATATGATGAGGATTTTTTCTTCTTAGACTTAAGGAATATTTAAGGTGGAAGTTTCCATTTTTCTTTTCTTTTTTTTTTTTTGAGATGGAGTCTCGCTCTGTTGCCCAGGCTGGAGTGCAGTGGCACAATCTTAGCTCACTGCAGCCTCTGCCTCCCAGGCTCAAGCAGTTCTCCTGCCTCAGCCTCCCAAGTAGCTGGGGTTACAGGCACACACCACCAAGAGCAGCTAATTTTTGTATTTTTTAGTTAGAGACGGGGTTTCACCAAGTTGCACAGGCTGGTCTCCAACTCCTGACCTCAAATGATCTGCCCTCCCCAGCCTCCAAAGTGCCAGGATTACAGAAATGAGCCAACACGCCCAACCAAAAAGTTTTTATTTTTCTTAGATATTTTCCAGAGTAATCAAAAGCCTAGAAATAGAAAATAATCCTTTATAAACAAAAGTTTACTTATACAAGTTTTTTAAAATTGGAGATTAATGCCACAGCATATTATGGCCTATTGCTGGAAATTACAAGTACCAGCATTAGAGTACTATATGCTAATTCAGAATAAAGCAGACAAATGGTTTAAGTATATTTTTAGTTATAATTTTTATTACTCTTTTTAATCTAAGTTTTCTGAGGTAGAAGTTACTAGAAATTTTAAGTTATTTGGAAAATCATATTTAGCATTTAAAAATATTGTCAGTAAACTAATAAAAACAAATTTTGAATTTACTGACATAAGACATTGATTACATTGTATGATTTTCCAAAGCAGAGTGAAACTTACGCAATAAGGCAGCTTCTTATATTTGTATTGGTATACTAATGAGATTGTACCTACATTTTTATTTTTTAAAGGGTTTTTATATGGTTGTAAACAGGTAGGTATTGTTTTTTGTTGTAGATATTTTTATGATAGTGGTATACTTTCAGTGTAACAGAACAGAACATTAATATTCAAAGACTTGCCCTTACTTTGGAGGGAGTGGAAATTCAGAGTTGAGGGATTCTGCAGGGAAAACAAATTGTCACCACTATACATTCATTTTTCTCCTATCCCAGAACCTGAAATTCATCTGCTTCACATTGACAGAATCAAACTTGGTAATTTACTACATCACAGAGTTCTTTTTTTCCTCTAGAATATTGGATGTAGAAATGCCTATTGTAAGACATCTTCAAGTCTGCATCTATAAAATGTTTCTTTATAATATGTCTGCTCTTTGTGAACAGTTATTTTTTAAATGTGCTCTGTGTGTAGTTATATTCTTAATGAAATTTATTGCTGGGAGCATCCTTAAGGATAAAAAAGATTTCTCAAATATTTCATCATCTTAGCATTGTTTATCTGAAATGCTTTGTGTTCACAGGAAGAACAGGCAGCAAAATTGAAAGCTGAGAAGATCAGAGTTGCCCTAGAGAAAATTAAAGAGGCACAAGTGAAAAAGGTGATATGTGGGCCTCTTCCTGGTTTGGGATTTTTTTATCAGTTTTTTGGATTTGTGAAGAATTGCCTTGTTTATGTAATGTACTTCTAAGATATGGAGAGATACAGGGGCATTTCTTCCTAGTAATATATTTTTCACATGTAGTATTTTTTGTGGGTAAAATGCATTATAAAAGGAGTAATTTTCTGGTTCTGAATTCTCCTAAAGGAGTAATCATAACATTATAACCTTATCTGTTATATTTTTAAAATGCTTTAAATTTACTTACAGGTTATTTGATGTCTGATTTTTAGCCTATATTTTTGCATAATGAAGTCATTATTTGTGTTTTAATTTATATACAAATACATTAATCCAAATTTTATTTGATATTGGATCAGTGCCTTTCCTAGAATGCCATTTTTTAGTGTTCATTTACTTTTCTTTTTACCTGTTATAGCTGGTGATCAGAGTCCACATGTCTGATGACAGTTCTAAAACAATGATGGTGGATGAGAGGCAGACAGTAAGACAAGTACTGGATAACCTGATGGACAAATCCCACTGCGGTTATAGTTTAGACTGGTCACTGGTAGAAACCGTTTCTGAATTACAAATGGGTTAGTAATATCATTGCTTTAATTGCTTTCTAATTTTTGTGTAATTTCATCAGTTTTCATGCTGATAAAAACATTTTGAGTTATCTTTATATATATATATATGTTTTTATTTTATTTTATTTTAATTTTTTGGGGGATGGAGTCTCGCTCTGTCACCTAGACTGAAGTGCAATGGCACGATCTCGGGTCACTGCAGCCTCTGCCTCCTGGGTTCAAGCAATTATCCTGCCTCAGCCTCCTGAGTAGCTGGGACTACAGGCGTGCACCACCACGCCTGGCTAATATTTTGTATTTTTTAGTAGAGATGGGGTTTCACCTGTTGGCCAGGATGGTCTTGATCTCCTGACCTTGTGATCCACCTGCCTTGGCCTCCCAAAGTGCTGGGATTACAGGCGTGAACCACCACGCCTGGCCTCATCTTTATATATTTTTTCGATAAAATTACCTTTCATAATTTGGCTTCTTTACATTATTTTTTTCTGAAGTGTTTTAAGAGTTCTTTGAATACAAGATCATTTCCAATTCACTTCAGATTTTATAATGGCTAAAACAAAGTTTTTTTAAAAGGTAACAAAATAGTTTTTTTTTTTTCAAATAAGAACTGGATAGACTGATGCATTTACTAAAAATTATTATGTTAACTTGAATTTGTACTGAAGTCTTTAAACCAGCATTTGACTCGGGAAACAAAGCACATTAACAAATTTCAAAGAATCCATATCTAGAACGTGTTCTTTAACATATGTTCAGTATACAGGACATGTTCTTTCATTTCTAATTTGGAAATTAGAAAATACATATATGTTTAAGATTAAACAACAGTCATGGATCAAAGAAGAAATCATCTTGGAAATGTTTTAAATGCCAAGAACTAAATAGGAAATACTTGATATCGAAACTTATAAGATGTAACTAATGTTTTATTTTTAAGGGTGGGATGGGAAAATGTTTAAGACTGAAGAATGGTGTCCTGCAAGTCAGAAAGCCTAGATTCTAGTCCTAGTTCTTCCATATATCAGCTGTGTGACCTTGGTTATGTCATTAACATAATTAAGGCATATTTCTTTGTTTGAAAAATTAGGGAATACCAGATAATTTTTAGGTGCTAAAATGTCGGTTAAGATTATGTGGTTCTGAGGTTAACTACTTCACAAAGTTTCATGTCTTTCATGCAACTCTAATGAATACTAACAAAATACGGATATTTTATTTTGGGACAGAGAGAATCTTTGAAGACCATGAAAACTTGGTTGAAAATCTTCTTAATTGGACAAGAGATAGCCAAAACAAGCTTATATTTATGGAGCGTATAGAAAAATATGCACTTTTCAAAAACCCACAGGTAAGACCAAACAACTTACAGAGGTCAGGATTTGTAAATATGTCTCCTATTTTATTCGATTACTGCTAAGTTAGAGTTAAAAGACTGGTAAACACCTGGTTGGAGCGATATACCTGCAAAATCCTATAGGAGCATCATCTACTACTGCTGCTGCTGCTGCTGCTGAGGTGGAAAGTCAGCTGGTGCCCACGTGTTAGGCCCTAAAGAGGTTCCCAGTCCTCCAGAACCAGATGGGGTGAGCCGTTTTGGAAGCAGAAGTATAGCTCTAGTGAGTTACCAGGTCTTTTGGCTCTGTAATCCAGAGCTGTGTTGAACCCAGCTGTTTATTTGGTGAGTTTGTCATCTCATCAAAGAAAAGTACTTCTCTACTCCAGCCATTTATCCAGTTGACACTTCTTTTGGAATTACTTTTTAAACATCCCAGTAACCTTGATTACAAATGGCTTTACATTCTAATAAACATACTTTGATTTATTTGACATCTTTCCTTATTCCAAAATAATGTTTGAGTTAATACTTCCCAATACCTAGACATTTTACAAAATTCAGTAGGTGAGGGAAAACAACTCCACAATAAAAAGTAGTAATGAAGAAAAATAGCAGCAGTGTTAAAGATATTGCATAGTTATGCTTCAAATGGCATAACCATGACACATCTTTTCTGGATGTTTTAGTGAAGAATACATATTTGGGGGTATCAACAGATCTTTTTGTAGGCAGTTATGAAAAATAATTACAGGCCAGGCGCAATGGCTCACTCCTGTAATCCCAGCACTTTGGGAGGCTGAGGTGGACTGATCACAAGGTCAGGAGATCGAGACCATCCTGGCTAACACGGTGAAACCCCGTCTCTACTAAAAATACAAAAAATTAGCCCAGCACTTTGGGAGTCTGAGGTGGATGGATCACAGGGTCAGGAGATCGAGACCATCCTGGCTAACACGGTGAAACCCTGTCTCTACTAAAAATACAAAAAATTAGCCGGGCGTGGTGTCGGGCGCCTGTAGTCCCAGCTACTTGGGAGGCTGAGGCAGGAGAATGGTGTGAATCCGGGAGTCGGAGCTTGCACTGAGCCGAGATTGTGCCACTGCACTCCAGCCTGGGTGACAGTGAGACTCCGTCTCCAAAAAAAAAAAGAGAAAAAGAAAAAGAAGTACAGTCAGCCCTCTATATCCATGGGTTCTGCATCTGTGGATTTGCACAACTGCAGATCTAAAATATTCAGAAAAATAATTCCAGGTTCTAAAAAACAAAACTTGAATATGCCACGCTTGAGTACTGCATTGAATTCATGCAAATTAAATGATAGGTAGGCATTGTATTAGGTATTGTAAGTAATCTAGAGATTATTTAAAGTACAAGGGAGAATGTGCATAGGTTATATGCAAATGTGACCCCATTTTTATAAGTGACTTTAAGCATCAGCAGATTTTGGTATACAGGGGAGATCCTAGAATCAATCTCCTATGGACAACAAGGGATGACTGTGTACTAATGAGTAGACTTCAGTTTGATTTTTTTGTTTGTTTGTTTTTTGTTTTTTTTTGAGATGGAGTCTCGCTCTGTTGCCCAGGCTGGAGTCAGTGGCGTGATCTTGGCTCACTGCAACCTCCGCCTCCAAGCGATTCTCCTACCTCAGCCTCCTGCATAGCTGGGACTACAGGTGCGTGCTGCCACACCTGGCTAATTTTGTATTTTTAGTAGAGACGGGGTTTCACCGTGTTGGTCAGGCTGGTCTTGAACTTCTGACCTCGTGATCCACCCGCCTTGGCCTCCCAGAGTGCTGGGATTACAGGTGTGAGCCACTGCACCCAGCCAGAATTCAGATTTTTAGTTGAGTCAAGTAAATGAGATTATTAATAAATGAGTCCCAGAGAATATGGGATTTCTTCTTAAAAAGCCAGAACATAAATTTTCTGCACCTAGATCAGTATATTTTAAGGAAATTTGCCTTACTTGTTGTACTTATGAATTTCTAAACCTTTCAGATCCTCTAACGTAGCTTTCATTAGATATCCCAAAACATATTTGCCAGCTGTTGAATGTAATACCACCTCACAGTCTGGGTAAGGACAGTTTATGACAAGTGGACAGGCAAGGAGGAGACTGGTGTTAAGCATTTTAGTGATGATGCCCATACACAGGTAACTTTTCAAAGTTTATTCTACTCTATACCAACAGAAATCAGAGTTGCTATTTCTCTAGAAGAAAACATACACACACCTGTGCCAAGGGAATAACAGAATGGATTTATGCTTTAACCTTCTTTTTTTCTCTCCCACCCATCCCTTCCATATGTTTGTTTTTCCAGAATTATCTTTTGGGGAAAAAAGAAACAGCTGAGATGGCAGATAGAAACAAAGAAGTCCTCTTGGAGGTATGACAACCCCCATTTTCCTGCACATTTAAAAATTAAAATATTAGGCCAGGCATGGTGGCTCACGCCTGCAATCCCAACACTTCGGGAGGCTGAGGTGAGTGAATCACAAGATCAGGAGTTCAAGACCAGCCTGCCCAAGATGGTGAAACCCTGTCTGTTAAAAAATAAAAAAATTAGCCAGGCGTGGTGGTGGGCGCCTGTAATCCCAGCTACTCGGGAGGCTGAGGCAGGGAATTGCTTGAACCCGGGATGCGGAGGTTGCAGCGAGCCGAGATTGCACCACTGCATTCCAGCCTAGCAACAGGGTGAGACTCTGTCTCAATAAAATAAATAAATAAATAAATAAATAAAATAAAATATTAAATACCTTTTTGAAGTCAAGTATGTCAGTGTTCTATATTTGTAGTTACAATTTTAATTAAAGAAGCCTGTGTATTCTTTGATAGTATGAGGGAGAGAGTTCAACTGTGTGAACGTGTTAGGCCACTGAAGACCCTTTATTATTTTGCCAAGCCATATTCTAGTGATCTAAGAATAATGAGCTTTTAGGGGCTGCCAAGTGGGAGAGGTGGCTGGTCAATGAAGGATGTGGTTTTGCTGTTTTTATCTGCTTACTCAGAGAGAAATTTGAATATAATTAGCTGTTCACAAATTATTTCCAGCCTTATCCTTAAATAATTAAATAATTTTTAAAATCATGATCATTTTTTGGAAAAATATAATTGAATTTTTGGCTGATTTTATAGAACTAAAATCAAATAACTTAGTATACTTGAAAACCTGAATAAACCCTTACTTACCAGCAAGGCAATTAGGAAGCGAAGATCAACATTCAGTTTTCATAGTGATACTAACTACGGTTAAGTAAAAATCTGCCTTGTAATTCCTAATTTTTCTGTACTTTGAGGAGAAAAATTAATTTAGGCCCAAATGTCCTATATTAGTGTTTTCTGAGGATTTCTCTTTTCTTTCACAAATACATGATTGATTTCTTTAATATTAGATTTTTATCAAAGCATAGTGTTTAGAACTTAGAATTTTGAGTGTTTATAGTCCTTTCAACCTAGTATTATTTTTTAAATAAATGCCCTCTTTGTCTTAGAGTCACATAAATGGATAGTTTTTAAATTCTTAAAGTTTAATCATACACTTAGCACGTTGCATTCTTTTAAAATATATTCCTGTTTAGTTTGACAGCTAATCTAAATGTAGAGAAAAAATAAAGTCTAACGCTTGGTTTGCCCTGACAGTTTTATTAAATTTAGTGTAACTGTGCTGTTTGCAAAGGTATTTAACTACTGTTACATGCAACTCAGTTCATGTGTCAACTTAGTTTTTCTCCGAAACAGTGTTTTAGTTAAAAGTTTGTAGGTAAAAATTCAGTATTACATGTATGACTGGCATTTTTATTTAATAAACATTTTAGGATTGCCATAGTAGTTCCAAATTCATATTGTGTTTAGAATAGAAAGTGTTTTGTCTTGTTTTTGTTTTTGTTTTTGTTTTTGTTTTTGTTTTGAGACAGAGTCTCGCTCTGTTGCCCAGGCTGGAGTGCAGTGGTGTGATCTCAGCTCACTGCAATCTCCGCCTCCCAGGTTCAAGCAATTTTTGTGCCTCAGCTGCCCACATAACTGGGACTACAGGCTCGCGCCACCATGCCTGGCTTTTTTTTTTTTTTTTAAGTAGAGACGTGGTTTCACTATGTTGGCCAGGCTGGTCTTGAACTCCTGACCTCAAGTGATCCACCCGCTTCCCAAAGTGCTGGGATTACAGGCATGAGCCACTACACCTGGCTGGAAAGTTCTAATTGAGGTTAAATTAGCAGCTTGGTTTTAATATAAAACCATTTTGGTTTAATAACTGTCATGCATTTCACAGGAGTAAACACAACTTTGTTCTGAGAATCCAACGATCATAAGTCTTTGCAAATAATCTTGTTATTTTAGGAATGTTTTTGTGGAAGTTCTGTAACTGTACCAGAAATTGAAGGAGTCCTTTGGTTGAAGGATGATGGCAAGAAGTCCTGGAAAAAGCGTTATTTTCTCTTGCGAGCATCTGGTATCTACTATGTTCCCAAAGGAAAAGCAAAGGTGTGTCCCTTCTGTTGGAATTTGAACTTCCTCATTATGCTAATTGCTTTTAATTTGTATTGAGTATGCTGACAAGGTGAACCCAGGCTATGATTTGTTTCAGTTCGTGGAAGACATAGAATATTGCTTTGTTTATTAATCTATTATAAAGAAGAAGAAACCTGAAAGTTCTTACTTCTCTGGTCACTAGTTGAGCCTATCTCAGTTCTCTTTACCAAATTTGAAATCATAGTTTTATTTGTTGTTTTTTGGGGACTCTTTCTGGAGTAGTTTTGTTTATTTTTGTTTGGGAAGAACAGCACAGCTCTCTGGGATTACAGGCTTTTTTATCTTGTTTGGGTAATATGCTTCTTCTGCTAAGGGCCACCCTGGTGTAGCTATCACTTCGGTGCTTATTGGCACCAGGACTGTTTTAAACTTTTTTACAGTATTATCTCATCTAGTCTTCACAATAGTCCTATGAGCATATATTGTTGCCCCTATTTAACTGGTGAAAACCTCCCCCCAACCAGTTGCGAATCACTATACTTTACATATGCATTATAGGCACTGAACGACTTGATATTTTCTTGTTCTTTCCAGAGAGCTCTATTATACATTATTGTTTTTAATGTACTAGACTATATTAATAGTATCTTTAAAATGCCAACACTCCTTAACAAGTTAGTGTTCATTGTGAATGACAAAACAGTAAGTAAAATGGGCTGCTTTTTTGTTACGTTAATGATTAAAGAAGAAACATTTATGGAGCATCTCATTGTCTCGTGTAAATAGCAATAATTTCTATTTAGTATTAGCAAAAGTAGTTTTGATTCTCACCTAGAAAATGTTAACCAGGTATATTTGCTTGTTTGTGCATTATTATTAATTTTATCTTTTTGGTGTTTTTATCTTAGGTCTCTCGGGATCTGGTGTGCTTTCTCCAGCTGGATCATGTCAACGTTTATTATGGCCAGGACTATCGGAACAAATACAAAGCACCTACAGACTATTGTCTGGTGCTGAAGGTAAACACATATTTCTTTTTAGGAATTTTAATTGATGTTAGACATAGAGCAGGTTATTGGATATTTTAGAACTGTTGAGATTCCATCAATTATACTGTTTTTGCTTTATTCTCAAAGTTTAAAAAGGAATGGTGAAGTGTGGTAAGGAAAAGAAGCATGTGCTATATCATAGCAGACCCTGGGCCAATTATCTCTAGGTAAGGAGTGAATATTAGATTGTAAGCTTTGAGTTGTGAGATATAAAATGTATTTGATTATAAATTTGAGATTCTCATTTAACACCAGGCTTATTTTAGGAAAACTTAGAACAGAGCCGAATGTAGGTCATAAATGTGCTTTAGTTCTTTTCCTGTACTTACTCAGCAAACCATCAGAGGGCACTGTGTCCAAGTTCAAATCAGACTGGCTGTTATCTGGTCCAGAAATAATTTTTGTCTCTTTTTTTCCCTGAACTATAGTCATGATAGCCCATGTATGTATTGTGACCTGAGCTGTTTTTAGGGAGGTTTTTTTTTCTTCTTTATTCAAGCTTTTGTACTTCTTGCAATGATTATATCTGTACTTCTGAGAAGAACGGACATTTTAAGCAAATTTATAGTGATCTATTAGAACACTGATAAAAACGACATACAAAAATTCAAGAAAATTAGGGAGATAATTTTTTTTTCATTGGCTCCATCTTTGTAATTTCTTGGTAACTACTTAGGTCTACATGTTCATATCATGTTTAATTTCACTTTTCTCTGAGAATTGTCACTTTAGTTTGGGGACTGCCATTAGTTTGGGAGTTTTAGGATTTTAGGATTTTGGAGTTTTGATTGCTTTGATAAAGTCAGTACATTGTAGTAGCAACCTTTTTTTTTTTTTTTTTTTTTTTTTTTTTTGAGGCAGGGTCTTGCTCTGTCACCCAGGCTGGAGTGCAGTGGCACAATCACAGCTCACTGTAGCCTCGACTTCTCAGGCTCCAGCGATATTCCCAGCTCAGTCTCCCAAGTAGCTGGGACTTGAGGTGCATGCCACCACACCCAGCTAATTTTTGTGTTTTTTTGTAGAGACAGGGTTTAGCCATATTGCCTAGGCTAGTCACAGATTCCTGGCCTCAAGCAATCTGCCTGCCTAGGCTTCCCAGAGTGCTAGGATTACAGGCAGAGCCACTGCTCCTGGCCATAATGGTAACCTTTTATTACATAATTGTGTTTTTGGGGAACACCACTGTATCATTTTAGGTACCTTTAGGTGCAAATAGTTTTTTAAAAGTCAGTACAAAGTAGCTTAATTCAGCAGTTTTCAAAATGAGGTCCACAGTCTCCTGAGAGTCAGTCCCTAAGACCATGATGTCAAAATTATTTAATAATGCTAAGATGTTATTTGCCTCTTGAACTTTCATTCTCTCACATATGTATAGTGGAGTTTTCTAAGAGGTTATATGACATGTGATGGTATCTTCACGCTAGTGTAATGTGTGTTTGTCTATTTATTTATTTATTTATTTTTGAGACAGTCTCACTCTGTCTCCCTGGCTGATGTGATCTCGGCTCACTGCAACCTCTGCCTCCCGGGTTCAAGTAGTTCTCATGCCTTAGCTTCCCGAGTAGCTGGGACTACAGCCACATGCCACCACACCCAGTTAATTTTTGTATTTTTAGGACAGATGAGGTTTTGCCATGTTGGTCAGACTGGCCTCAAGTGATCCGCCTGCCTCAGTCTGCTGAAGTGCTGGGATTATAGGCGTGAGCTACTGTGCCTGGCCTGGCCTGTGTATTCTTGTAGTTTAATTTTTTTCTTAGTTTTAATTTATAATGTAAGTATTGCTGGGGTGGAAAAACTTCACTTCATACTCTTAGGGTCCTAGCTGGGCACACAAATTAAATTGACATAAGAGATCAACAGGAGAAAAGCATAATTACTTGTATACTGGATTGGACAAAGAATAATTTGTGAAGAAGCAACTAAATTATATGTGAAGCCTTAAAGATACGAGTTATTTTAACAAGGTCTGTACAGAATTCTGTTGGTTTCAACTTCTCATCCCTGAGGAGAAAGATATTTTCGCTTTCTAGTATTGAGAAAGCATCTTTTGCATGGTAATTTCATCTTCTAAGGCTTTTAAGAAATAGCATGAAGGTCAGAGTGATCTTCTGTACCTGCTGTTTTTCAAGTGTCTTTTAACTTAGTCAATATGCCAGGGTGGTACATTTTTAACTCCTTCAATATCAGTAGACATAATCCACGTAAAAGAAAGTTATTGGGGGACTCTCATAACATGAAAACAGTAAAAGTTGGTTGGTTATTTCAGTGGCTCAAGGTTGTCAGTGAGAACTCAAATTCTTTCCATCTTTCCTTGTTCTACTTCCCGCATATCAGCTTATTCTCAGGCTGATTCACCTCACAGTCCCAAGATGGCTGCTGCAGTTCTATGCATCACATGTAGACCCAGAAAAATCCAGCCAGCAGAAGAGGGATTATTGCTCCCTGTATTTGTCTTTTATAAGAGGAAGGAACTATTTCACAGAAGTTACTCAACCACCCTCCTTTTGAGAGTTACTGGCCCAGAGTACATTTTCTGCTGACAAGCCAATCACTGACAAGGGAATAAAACTACTATGGTTGGCTTACACCAGTCAGAATTCACACCCTGTGGGATATAGGTGAGAGGTAAGGCTCTGCCAGGAAAGAAGTGGGGAGGAGGAGATAGCCATAGGGGCCTGCACTCAACCTGTCAGGGTCATTTTAAAAATGAAATGTTGACCTTTCTTTCTTAATAGGTATTCATCTGTTTTGGGAGCAATTTCATTATATGTTCTCTGGACTCTCTTAAGAATCTAAATGTGGAGCTTCTGGTTTTTAGCAATGAATGTTTCCTCCAGCCTTCCTCTTAACCCTGGTATAATTTTAAAAATGACAGCATAATATTGTGGGGAAAAAAGGAGCAGAGGTAGCAGATTCAAAGGGGCACATTTTAATAAGGCAGTAGTATGAAATAGTAGTTAAAAGCATGCACTCTGGGATGAGATTGCATGGGTTCAAATTCTAGTACTACCTTTCACTTATCGGAAGCAATTTTGAGCGCTGTTTTAACCTTACTCTGTGCCTTGCTTTCTTCTTGGAACATGGAGATAATAATATGTAACTCAGAGAGGTTTTGTGAGTATTTAATGAAAAATGTGAAGTATGTGAAATATTTTACATAGTGTCTAGTACATAGCAAGGGTGCAATAAATGCCACTTTTAATAAAATAATGTATTAGCAGAACAGACAATCTGCAGAAGTACTTGTACAGAGCCTGGATGACCATAAGGAAAGTAATGAATGCCTTTATTATGTGAGAGGATGAAAAAATGTTTTGAGGTTCTAAAAGGAATTTTAAACTAGCAGTAATCTGATACTTGACTTAAAAAGACTCATACTTATACCATAGTACTCTTCAGGTTATTATCTGTATTCCCAGGTTAGAGAGATGAGGAGAACAGGGTGGAGGATAATTTCTCTTTGATTTTCCCAGATGTTGTTTTGATTAAAAAAAAAAAAAAACCCTCTTTTTGTGCAGAACGCATGGAAGCACACATGCACACTTGGGCTTCTGCTACAGTTGAACACCTATGCAGTCAAGTTTGCAAATCACCATGAAGGGAGGGCGTGGTGATACAGTTGCGAGCCATCTAAAGCAGCTTGCTGAGATCTCTGAACCTTGCCCTGCAGGCAGTGCCTCCATGAAGCAGAACAGTCTCTTAAGCCCTCACTGGCAACACTAACAGAGCTCTTTTCAGTTGGCCTATTTTATCTTCTGCACAAACTATGGCTTTTGTTTTGCTCATCACTAAACCTACCTGAAGCACCTGGCAAATAGTTCTCAATAAGTATCTGTTGAATGAATGAATGAGGTAAAATCCCCCTTCCTCCTTTTATAGAAGAATACATACTTCTCTGTCTGCCCTCCTTTGCTTTTTCAAGGTCACTATTATGGTTTATTATAATGTAATTTACCGTGGACAAGGAGCATATTCCAAGAGAGGGCCTATATTATCAGGAGGGAAGACTGTTAGGTATTATTTTGCTAACCTCTTATTGTTGAGGGTTTATTGTTTAAAACTGACTATAACCTTCAACAAGAAAATTGGTTTTGGTATTAAATGTTATAGGAGCTGAGCTCTGAAAAGCAAAGAATAGAATTAATGGGTTTCTTTTTTTTTTCCCTCATTGTAGACCAGAGTGATTGATCTTTAACAATGCAGATACATAACTTATGTTGGTGGCCATCTATTCTTGATGGATTGAAAACTTATTTAAATTGCTTATTTTATTGAGCTCATGGATTTTCACAACAAATGACTATGATTGGGGAATTTTGGAAAACTAAATTCTTTTAAAGCTTTTTTTCTTTCTTTCTTTGTTTTTTTTTTTTTTTGGAGACGAAGTCTCGCTCTGTTACCCAGGCTGGAGTGCGGTGGCACGATCTTGGCTCACTGCAACCTCTGCCTCCTGGGTTTAAGCGATTCTCCTGTGTCAGCCTCCTGAGTAGCTGGGATTACAGGCATGCACCACCACGTCCAACTAATTTTTGTATTTTTAATAGAGACGGGGTTTCACCGTGTTGGTCAGGTTGGTCTCGAACTCCTGACTCCTTGATCCACCCGCCTCGGCCTCCCAAAGTGCTGGGTTTACAGGCATGAGCCACCATATCTGGCCTTTTTCTTTCTTATAACTGAACACAAATTTAAAATTTTTTCCAGGCAAATTATAGCCATTAGTTTTTTGGTTTTCAGAATAGTTGAAAAGAGATGTGGTGTTCATAAGTCATTACATTCAGAACAAGTGTGATTTAGGGCTTTTCTTTCCAAGGACCTACTGGTTGAGGCTCAGTGGTGTTAAAATTTCTTAAACATATTCCTAACACCTGGATTTTGTAGCCAAGGTTCAGTCAGTCACCTCTCATCCAAGCCTCAACTGAAAAGTACAGTGGGTTGTGAAAACTAAATGTGAAGATGCTGTTGACATCTATGTGTCCCCTGGAGGCAAGTGCTGCAGCCCTGCAGTTTGGTAGAGAGTGGGACCTACAGGGCTGTACTTCCCTGTGACAGGTGTGACTGTAGATTCTTGTCCCAGGTGCTGTGCCATAGGCTTGGTGTACCCAGCCCAGTAATTCACCTCACCTCTAGACACTGAAGCTTTGTCAAAGTCCCTCTCTGATTTGGAGTCTTCTGCACCCATAATTTCAGTGGGTTGAAAGTGAAATTAAACATTCTCTTCCTTTTCCATAATCTTATAGATGGAGAATTCTATGGACTCTGTTAACCTTGATGAACTTTGTTTCTTTGAAATGTAGAAGGAACGTTTGGGAATTTCTCAAGATGTGAAGATCTATTTTAACTTGGATATCTTGATCTAAAATTTCACAAAAGTTTCTTTCTCATTTACTTTGTAAAAATTCTTATGGGCTACTTTATTTGGCCTTATGGCCATATAAGAAGCATAAATGTATTGGCCATTACTCTAATGGCCTATAACTTGTCAGGATATGTTTAAGCTTTGATAAAGTTTGTTTTTCTTTAGTTCTCCAAGGGACTTAGTTGGATTTTGTCTTTAATCTTGCAGCATCCACAAATCCAGAAGAAATCTCAATATATCAAATACCTTTGTTGTGATGATGTGAGGACACTGCATCAGTGGGTCAATGGGATCCGCATTGCAAAGGCATGTCTCCTTTTGATTTGATGATGGAATAATGAGGTGTTTGTCGATGATATAGTTTTCGTTTTCATGACAACTATTCTGACTATTTCATGTTCATGGATTTGCCAGTGCCTACGTTTTTCAGGCCTAAGTTTCAAGTTTTAAATGTTGTCTTTTTTCCTTGTTTATAGGGATAAACTTTTAACATTTGGTATACTTGGAATAATATTGCTGGTAAAAGCTTGTGTAGTATCAAAGTGATTTATTTTGGCTTTGGAGAATGCATTATATGATTCTTAAATAGTAGAGTTTAGCCTAAGCAAAGTAAGTTTTGGAAAAATTAAATTACTTTAAGTAATGATCATTTACCAACCACATTTGGAGCAGTATCCTGAAGAGTGCTAAAAAGCTGCCCTTGGATCAAGAATTTGGGGTGAAAAAACATTAATGTTTATAACAAACAGAATCAAGTGTTGACTTCTTGCTGCCCCTCTAAAAATGAGGAGAAATAAGAATAGATTATAATTTATGGTATTAGAGGAATTTTTGAACTATCATAGGTATTAATTTTAATACAGACCATCAATCAGTAAACAGAAATATGTCCCCCATTTCACCTTATCCTTCTGTATCATACTCAGTAAAGTTTAGATGTCACCATTTCCTGTCTTCTCTTTAGTATGGGAAGCAGCTCTATATGAACTACCAAGAAGCCTTGAAGAGGACAGAGTCAGCCTATGATTGGACTTCCTTATCCAGCTCCAGCATTAAATCGGGATCCAGTTCTTCCAGCATCCCAGGTAGTTCAAAATGCTTCAAAGCACTATTTTGCGATTAATATGAAGGTCTCTGTAGAGACTGATAGTAGACCTGGAAATTTCAACTTGATTCTTAAAAACCGGAGCCATACTTAATTCCTAAATTATAATCAATAGATGCCTTTTTAAAAATTGCTAGAGGGTACAGTATCATGGGCTAGTTCACAAATGTATTTGAAATGAAAAATCAGTATATAGATTTCTAAAGCCAGTTTTGTTATTTATATTTATAAAATTTATTCAAAACATACATACTGCTGGACACTGTTAATGCATAATTTGGGATAAAACATTACTTGGAAAGAATCTTTGTACTCAGAAACCATGAAGAAGCTGCACTCCTTCAGATTCCTATATCCTTTAAACAAGTGCATGCTATGATTACATCTTAACATAAATCTTCTTTCAATTCAAAATGTTTCATGAATGAGATCCATGTCATCTAAAAGCAGAATTTTTAAATTTTTGCATTGGATGTGATGAAAGAAATAATAACTTTAGTAGTATATTTAAAAGCTGCATGACTCTATTTCATCTCTATTAAGTAAAAACAAATTTAGAATGTGTATATACACATACATTTCCTAGTGCTGTCCACTGAGGACTAGAAGCAGTGATACCCCAGGAACAATGAGAATACCCAGTCCCTAGATCATAGAGGTTTCTTTTTGTTTTTTCGTTTTATTAAATTTTGGCCAAGGATGCTGCTTAAATAGATCATGGTTTCTAATACCATTCTTCAAAAAAAAAAAAAAAAAAGAAAGAAAAGAAAACCAAGGCTCTCAAAGAAATGGCAAATTATAGGGCTGCAGCAGAGAATATATACAAGATGAGCCTAGAGCATCTTGTAATGCCAGAAAGTAAGGGAATGCTTAAAAAACGACAGTAGGGCCAGGCACAGTGGCTGACGCCTGTAATGCCAATGCTTTGGGAGGCCTAGGTTAAGGGATCACGTGAGCCCAGTAGTTCAAAACCAGCCTGGGCAGCACAGCAAGACCCCATCTCCACAACTTTTTTTTTTTTTTTTTTTTAAATTAGCCAGACTTAGTAGTACACATAGTCCTAGCAACTCAGGAGGCTGAGGCAGGAGGATTGCTTGAGCCCAAAAGTTCAAGGCTGCAGTGAGCTATAATCACACCACTGTGCTCCAGCTTGTGCAACAGAACGAGACCCTGTCTCACAAAACACAAGATGAGAATATGTCAAAGGGATACACAGAGGAGCCAGTCTGAAAGAGCTCCAAAGGTCAAAGCTGGAACAATTTGAGCAATACAATAAGTAATATAGTATAGGATTGTAACCCATGGACATAAATATCCATGAGTTTATACTGATGTAAATAAATCATTGAATAAATAAATGGGGAAGAGGAGAGAACTGTCCTGTGTAGATTTCTAAATGATTTATGAAGACACTTTGTCCTGAAGGAAGTAGAGCTTACCTAAGTCCTCAAGTGTGGACTGTGCTTAGTGACTTGCTTCCAGTGATTATGGAACGGGGATTAGGGGTAACTTCACAGTGGAGAAACCTGACAAACACTGCCACAACCATGTGGTCAAGGTCAGTATCTAAGTCACATTGGTTATAGGGACCTTTGACATAGTGTGTGAGAATGGCTTTTTTCCTCTATGATCTTCCTCCCCAAGTTCCATAAACAGACTAATCAAGAGAAAAAGCATCAGACAAACCAAAACTGAGAGACAGTCTACAAGATACCTGACCACTATTCCTCAAAACTGTCTAAGTCATCAAAAACAGGAAATTCTGAGAAGCCGTTATAGGAGACATGATGACTAACTGTGACGTGGTGTCCTGGATCAGAAAAGGCACATGAGGGAAAAACTAGTGAAATCCAAATAAAGTGTGGAGCGTAGTTAATAGTAGCAGGACATTTCCTTAGTTGTGACAAATGTAGTATAGTAATGTAACATGTTAATAATGGGGAAAAGGGAATAAAATTAAAAGAGGACACTTTTTCCCCAAAGGAGAATTTCTTTAAAACCAAACATATTGCTAAATGGGTAAACTGGATGCCGGGTATGTAGGAATTCTGTGCTAAAACTGTTCTAATATTCAAATATCTAATATGTAGATATCTTAAAACTATTCTAAGAAAATATTTATTAAAATGGGGAAAAAAAACCAACCAACAACCCTTCCAGAACATGGTTCCCCTTCCTTTTCCTTCCTTCCTCTCCCATCACCCAGGCTGGAATGCAGTGGTGTTATCATAGCTCACTTAACTCTCCTGGGCTCAAATGATCCTCCCACCTCAGCCTCCTTGCTCAGGCGGCAAAGAGACACTGTATGCTCACAGCCATTCCCACCAGGCCCCACTCCTTTCAAAACTTTTTTGTGCCTTGCTGACAGGCCAGGATACAGCACAGCTGCCACCCTATGGGTCCAATACCTAAATCCCTAGGAAACACACTTCGCACTAGAGGGTCAAATTCTAAGTATTGCTCATTGCTAGAAAAAAGGAAATAATCATTGTGTATAGATCCGAATTCCTAAGTTACAATTCTGGCGTGACCTTAAGGCAGGGGTATTAAAAAGGCTGATTCTCAATGTAATGCAGACATGATTGAGAGACTCCTCTACTGATGGTTCATTAATTCTTTTATTGTTTAGAGTTGATTTCATGCAAGACTGGGTGTCAGGATACCAATAATGTTATGTGAATCATTTATTATAATTATCAGTCTCTCATGGTGAAATATTTAACACTAATCTGAGATTTCTTAATTCCAAGGTAAGGGAAGTTTTCTAGTAGAAAATACTGGCTGTGTTTATGATGAAATGAGTAAAATAACTTGGTGCTGTTGTACACAGCACTTGACCTTGTGTAAAAGATCTAACTAGACATACATATGAATATTGTCAGAATACTGACTCTTTTAAACCTATGTTTAAAAAACTATTTTAAACAGAGTCTCAGTCAAACCACTCCAATCAGTCTGATAGCGGAGTTTCTGACACCCAGCCAGCAGGACACGTCCGTTCCCAGAGCATTGTGAGCTCCGTATTCTCTGAAGCCTGGAAACGAGGCACTCAGTTGGAAGAGTCCAGCAAGGTAACAGCTTCGTTTTAATTTACATTGAAAATTCTGTGGTATTCTTTTGGGTTTAAATTGTTGCTCTCTTATGTCTTTATCGGGGATCTTATTTGGCCTTATTTCAGTCTCCTTTATTAATTTTCAATCTTCCTAATTGTAGTGGGTAAAGACAGTTCAGAGAGACCTGTTGATTTGACTTCCCCTTGGAAATGAGTATTTTACAAATTGGCTCTAATGACTTAAAATCTCAAAAAAACAAAAAAAACTGGCAGTTTAATTCTTTCATCAGTGGCTCAGATTTTTAAGAAATAACAATTTCTTCCTTTCCACCTTTAAGCAGTTTGGATGGCAAAACACCATCTATTGCAAATGCCCTAAATTCTAGAGAAGCTGTTTACAGTTCTCTCTCTTCTTTCCTGTCTTTTTTTCTTCTTCCTTTTTTTTTTTTTTTTTTTTTGACAGAGTGTCAGTCTGTCGCCAGGCTGGAGTGCAGTGGCGTGATCTCAGCTCACTGCAGCCTTCGCCTCCCGGGTTCAAACGATTCTCCTGCCTCAGCCTCCCGAGTAGCTGGGATTATAGGCACATGCTACCACGCCCAGCTAATTTTTGTATTTTTAGTAGAGACAGGGTTTCACCCTGTTGTCTAGGATGGTTTCAACCTCTTGACTTCGAGATCCACCTGCCTCAGCCTCCCAGAGTGCTGGGATTACAGGCGAGAGCCACCGTGCCCAGCCTCTCTCTCTCTTTTTTTCTCTTCTTTTTTATTCTTTTCTTCCTTCCTTCCCTCCTTTCCTCCCTCCCCTCACTTCCCTCCCTCCCTCCCCTTCCTTCTCTCCCTTCCTTCCCTTCCTTTCCTTCCTTCTCCCCATCCCCTCCTCTCCCTCTCCCTCTCCCTTTCCCGTCACCCAGGCTGGAATGCAGTGGTGTTATCAGGGCTCACTTAAGCCTCCTGGGCTCAAATGATCCTCCCACCTCAGCCTGCTTGCTCACCTCAGCCTCCCGAGTAGTTGCCTGAGTAGTTGGGACTACAGGTGCACACCACCATGCCTGGCTAGTTTTTTATTTTTTGGTAGAGACAAGGTCTGGCTATTTTGCCTGGGCTGGTCTCGAACTCCTGGCCTCAAGCGATCCTCCTGCCTCGGCTTTCCAAAGTCCTGGGATTACAGGCATGAGCCACCATATTCAGTCCAGTTATTTCTTTATTGGTTAATTTATTCAGACTCATTCCTTACCTTTTTTTTTTTTAATGCTTTTGCCATTTCTTTGGGCATTGATGAATTTTTTCAAATTATACTTTATGTGGAAGACTAAATTAAAATCATTTCCCTTAAAAGTTTTGGATTCCTGAGCCTTGCATAGTATATTGTGCAGTGAGACTGAAGGATGAGTATAGTTATTGCAAGACTATAATTAGGAAAATAGAGAGGTTCTTCAGTTCATTTGAAAGACATCATGGCCTTCTATCAGACATCATCTGTAGTTGTGTAGGCAAGGATGTGTCCTGGCTGTAGTCACCATTTCAATATGCAAGAGGTCACTCCATCATTGAGGAACCAGTGGCACCCTGGGCTCAACTATTTTATTTTTACTAATAATTGTTTTTATTTATTTATTTAATTTTTTGGTGGGGGGTGCTTTTGGTCTGAATCACTTATACAGGTACATTCACGAATGAGAATAAATGGACATTTTTCCTTTTATTCCTTCATTCGTATATGTGGTTCACTAACTGGGCTCCCGCAGGGAAGAGAAGGCCTTAGTAGCACCATGTGGGGCTGAAGCCCTTTCCTTCAGAAATGAGCATTTGAGAATTGGTTCTAACGATCTAAATTCTCAAAACACTGAGTTTAACTCCCTTATTAGAGACTCAAACTTTTAAGAAATAATTTCTCTCTCCCTTCCCCCATTTAATCAATTTGGATGGAGCTAGTATTTTAAAAATGTACTAAAGAAGTTGGTTTACAGAATTCGGATGGCTAAAGAAAAACCCCTTTGCCTTACCAAATTACTAATGGTGAGATCCGTGTGCATTTTAAGTTATAGAACCTAGTTATGTGTAAGGCCAAGGAAAACAAAATCACAGACCCAAAATGTTCTGTGATTAAGCAGCAAAGTCCGTTATTGCACAGAGTTTCAGAAGAGTAGGAACCCTGCTGTCAGCAGTAATGCTTTAAGGCTTGATCACTCTGTATTTCTTCTCCTGTTACCTCAGTCTCAGGTGCCAAATGAGAAGGCCAGCACAGCTAAGGCCTGCGCCCCTGAAGCAGCCAAGACAGGGTCAAGTTAAGGTCAGGGGTTGTTCTCTGGAAACACATTAACCTCGGTGACGCCTGTATCCCAATCTCACAGACTAATCTTTTTGTGTAATTTTAAAAGAAACATGTGAATGTCCGGATGGCTATTAGAATTCAGCCCTATAATGAGCCTTCTAGTTCACTAACCCATGCATTCTCGATGTCATTCAAAATTGAAAACAAATGGTTTATCTTGGATCCTCAAAGTTTGTTCAAAGAGCCTAAAAGATGTACCTAAAGTTTTTAAAACAAGGGTCCTTCCTTTCCTCTTTTCAAAGTACCTGAACCACCATCGTGCATGATTAGCTCCACGAAATAAACTACCAGATGTGATCATTTCAGCTACCCAGATGGGTTGGTTGTTGGCAAATGCTAGCTGCCATTTCTTGATACATTTTCTTTATTCTAGCCTTCCAGAGCTTCCTCTTAATTTCTTCTGGCTTTTTCTGTATGATATTTTTACAGTCTTTTGCTATAATGTTTACAAAGCATTTCTTTATGTATTTTCCAGTAAAACAAATGTAAAGAATGTCCCCCCTTTACCTGCATTGCTGGACTTCTGTGCATGTTGGATGCAATTGTCTCACACCAACACGAGTGTGTGTGTCAAGCTTATTCATTCCTGTGTGACTGTGCACGCCTGCTCAACATTCTCATACTCTCCTGTGTCAGCTTACTAGCATCAAAAAGCCATCCTCATTCCACCAGGAAGCCCTCCTAAACCCAGTTATAGCATCTGCTTGATGTGGATGCAGTCATGGACTGAAAGGTAAACTGGAGCCATCACATCTCCCCTTGGAAGTCCAGTGCTCAGAGGACCGCCACAGAGGGTTCCATGTAGGGCAGGCTGTGTCAAAGTCATACAGCCAAGGTCAGAAGTCATGCATCCTGTCACCATTCAAACAGCTTTTGCAGCCGGACATTTTTCCTAGATTGTTAGATGGTCTAGCTATTTTACTGTGGGGTAAAACAAGTTTTCTGTTTCCTTCTTGCCCGCACAATCAGATTTTAGCCTTCCTGACATTGTCCATCTTTATGATCACCACCAACTTCTGCATCCTTTTCATGCATGTCCCAGACTCCCTGCTTTTTAGTTTTACACAATCAAAGCTTACCTCTGTAACTGTTTTGTTTGTTGTGTTTTTCTCTCTCCCACTCCCTTTTTATACTCCTTTTAGGCCAGAATGGAGTCTATGAATCGGCCCTACACTTCACTTGTGCCCCCTTTATCCCCGCAACCTAAGATAGTCACCCCCTACACTGCTTCACAGCCTTCACCACCTCTACCTCCTCCGCCACCCCCACCTCCTCCTCCACCACCCCCTCCACCACCCCCTCCTCCCCCACTCCCCAGCCAGTCTGCACCTTCTGCAGGCTCAGCAGCCCCAATGTTCGTCAAGTACAGCACAATAACACGGCTACAGAATGCGTCTCAGCATTCAGGGGCCCTGTTTAAGCCGCCAACACCCCCAGTGATGCAGTCACAGTCAGTGAAGCCTCAGATCCTGGTACCCCCCAATGGAGTTGTTCCACCACCCCCTCCCCCTCCTCCACCCCCAACCCCAGGCTCTGCCATGGCCCAGCTAAAGCCTGCACCGTGTGCCCCATCCCTTCCACAGTTCAGTGCCCCGCCTCCTCCACTGAAGATCCATCAAGTTCAGCATATTACTCAGGTGGCTCCCCCAACACCCCCCCCACCTCCTCCTATCCCTGCACCCCTCCCTCCCCAAGCTCCCCCAAAACCCCTTGTGACCATCCCCGCACCAACCAGCACCAAGACTGTGGCACCTGTTGTGACTCAAGCTGCACCACCCACACCTACTCCTCCAGTGCCCCCAGCAAAAAAGCAGCCAGCTTTCCCTGCTTCTTACATTCCACCCTCTCCCCCTACCCCTCCTGTTCCAGTACCCCCGCCAACATTACCCAAGCAACAGAGCTTCTGTGCAAAACCCCCTCCCTCTCCACTGTCACCGGTGCCCTCGGTCGTGAAGCAGATAGCCAGCCAGTTTCCACCCCCTCCAACTCCCCCTGCCATGGAATCTCAGCCCTTAAAGCCTGTCCCAGCAAATGTAGCTCCACAGTCCCCTCCTGCAGTAAAAGCAAAGCCCAAGTGGCAGCCCAGCTCCATCCCAGTCCCTTCTCCGGACTTCCCTCCTCCCCCTCCTGAAAGCAGCCTGGTGTTTCCTCCTCCACCCCCATCACCTGTCCCAGCCCCACCACCACCACCTCCACCCACAGCTTCTCCTACCCCTGACAAAAGTGGATCTCCAGGCAAAAAGACCAGTAAGACGTCCAGCCCTGGGGGAAAGAAACCACCCCCAACCCCACAGCGCAACTCCAGCATTAAATCCAGCAGTGGTGCAGAGCACCCCGAGCCCAAGAGACCCTCGGTGGACAGTCTAGTCAGCAAGTTTACACCGCCAGCAGAATCAGGGTCTCCCAGCAAGGAGACCCTACCACCTCCTGCAGCACCCCCCAAGCCTGGAAAACTCAATCTTTCTGGAGTCAACCTTCCTGGAGTTCTCCAACAAGGGTGTGTGTCAGCAAAAGCCCCTGTTCTGAGTGGGCGTGGAAAGGACTCCGTGGTGGAATTTCCTTCTCCTCCATCCGATTCTGATTTTCCACCCCCTCCACCTGAAACAGAGCTTCCTCTGCCCCCCATTGAGATTCCAGCAGTTTTCTCGGGAAACACCTCTCCAAAAGTGGCAGTCGTTAATCCTCAACCACAACAATGGTCTAAAATGTCAGTGAAGAAGGCCCCTCCACCCACACGACCCAAACGGAATGATAGCACCCGCCTCACTCAAGCTGAGATTTCTGAGCAGCCAACAATGGCCACAGTTGTGCCACAAGTGCCCACCTCTCCCAAATCCAGCCTTAGTGTCCAGCCTGGATTCCTGGCTGACCTCAACAGGACACTGCAACGAAAGTCCATCACTCGGCACGGCTCACTCTCCTCCCGCATGTCCAGAGCAGAACCAACAGCCACCATGGATGATATGGCATTGCCTCCACCACCCCCTGAACTGCTGTCTGATCAACAGAAGGCTGGTTACGGAGGCAGTCATATATCAGGCTATGCAACGTTGCGGAGAGGACCCCCTCCTGCTCCCCCCAAAAGAGACCAGAACACCAAGCTCTCCAGAGACTGGTAGCCACCATAGGACTTTATTTTCATGATATCTGTAATCACTGCTACAATCAGCTCACCTGATCATCTGTGAATTCAGGTGTTCAGAGCCTCCTGGTATGATGTTATTCAGGTAGTGTCCAGCTATATGTGTATGTGTGTGTGTACACGTGCATGTACACACAGCTGTACAGTGTGTGTATATATGTATACATATATGTATGTGTATGTGTATATAGAGAGAGAGCTGAGAGTTATTCTATTTATTCCTTTTCTCTCCTAATCTGAAAATGGGTGTTCTGTATTTTGGGTGGAAGAGGCATAGAAGGGGATGTGTGTTGTCTCTTAAGATTTCTATATCATGTGGATTGGACCAAAAACTTCTAATCACTTATTTAGAAGGTATTTATAAGTGTCTGTCCATGTGTAGCCTATTCGTGCATGTTGTGTATTATATAACTAAGGAATAGATGTAGAATGTGCTATTTCTGGTTGAGAAAAATCACCAGAATGTTTGGTGTATCTATAAGGCTTTTGTGTTTGTTTTTCCCCAGTTGGCTGAAGTTAGAATTGCTTGACTGACACTTCATTGCTATACATGAAGGGGCACTTTAAATCAGGAAAATCTCTCAGCTTCATAGAACGGGTAACTAGTGCAGGATGGGGAAATGTTCACAGACATCATCTGTATGTGGTTGTGCATAGAAAGTAAATACATGGCGTAATTAACTCAGCTGTTCTAGCTGCAGTACTGCTGCAGTGATCCACCCACATTTAGGATGTGCTGACAGATAAGCTCTTTGCCTACAATACATGGATAATTAGTGCTATAATTCTGGATAGTTCCTTTTTAGTACTGTTTTATGAAGCTTTATCAACTTGGCTTCATGATCCTCACTTTGATTGATTTTAAGAGGATGGATAACACAGTTATCTCTGTAATGTTCTGTCCCAGTATGTCTTTGGGTCACCAGTTACCTTCTTAAAATATGTGCTTTAGGTAGGTGTTATTACATATCTGTAGACAATTGGTATATGAAATATACACATCCTGTGCCCCAATATGGTGCATTATGAAAAACAAAATCATTTTCTAAAATGCATTTTTTGAGCATTGCTCTATAGAAGGGAAGGGTGATGAGAGAACAGAACTGGCCCCTGTACAGGTGTCATTAATCTGGTTGTATATGGGTTATAATATGTAATACAAAAAGCTCATTAAGTATGGGACTACATGGAGAGGGAAGACAGTTTCATTTATAGCTACTGGGGCTACCAGGACCCTTGCTGACTGCAGCCTGGTTGTGATTAGTTCAGGTTACTAGGTGTTCTGATGGAGTGGGACAGTCCAAGTCCAGTAACTGACATTACGTTTTATGCGTGTGCAGTTTGGTATAACGTGGAGTCAGTGCTCTAACGACACACTATACTTCTATATGCTTTTTTCTGTGAATTTTCCTTGGTACATGAGAGAAATAAGTACTCTCATCAACTTATGATAAATTGGACTATTAGGAATAAAACAATCTCAGAGCAGCTCCTAAACAAGAGAATAAAAATGGGCCATCCCAGCACTTATAAGGGGAGCACATCTTGTAATGAAAGTCTGTGCCTATTGTTAATGATTACCAATGCAAACTGCAGAAATCAGTTGACATTGTCCCACAAGGAAAAAGTGATGCCAGTAAAGTGGGGGAAGAGATGGTAAATAATTCTAGAATGAGCAAAAGTGCTTAATTAGTACAGTATACTCAAGGTCTTGCATAACCCACACTCCACGAAAACCGCATCGTAAACAGAGAGTGAACAGCACCTCTCCATTGCTACATCTCCAGAATATTGTTCGGTTATGTTCATGTGGTTATGGAGCAATAAGAATATATACCATTAATTTTTAGGTCTTTCAAATTGTTCACCAAGTTTTGTGTTTGATATTTATGAAGTGATCTTTAACACATCTGCATTGTTAATTTAAGCATGCACAGAAATTTGGGTAATGTTTGAGTAGATTGCCAAGCGCTACTGTGATTCATGAATGAATTTCTCATAGTCTTCTGCCTGCAGTTTTATAGTTTGAGGGGCACCCATATTTGTGGGTTAGAGTTAGTAAGAATATGAATCCAGTTATCAAAGTATTCATCCCTGAGGTTTTGAGTTTTATTGTGGTGGTGATTTTCTCATGAGAAGGTAGACAACACTTCAGTTTTTCTTGAGGGGGAAAAAATGTACCCGCTAACCTTTTTTCACCCATGATTTGAGCCCTAAAACAACAGCCTTTATGTTTTCAGTGCAGGATTTCTTGGAATTTCTTGCTTGTATCAATCCTGATGATAGCCATCCTGAACAGATGCTTCTGGTCTGTTTTCCTGGAATAGCAGACATCCTTTTGAACACTAATGATGCCAGGAAGAGAGTAAGGCTAGAGGAGGAGACTCATTTTAACCCCAGTCCAGTGGCTTGTCCGACAACAGGCCATTTCCCTTTACATTCCTCCACAGACAGAAATGGCTATTAAAAATGTTTTAACCTCATGTATGAACTGAATTTAAAAAACCACTAAAGTGATACTTTATACTTCTGTTTTACTCCCTAGTGGGTTTTCTTTAATTTGGATTTTTGTTGGGATGTAGCTTTTCCTAGACTGTATTTCTGTAGCTCTTTTTCTCTGGTGTATTCATGGAAAGCATCTACTGCCGCACGACACTAGTACTGTGCCTTCTTTCACTGCCCTCTGCTCTGCAGCTCTCACCCAGCTTGGCTGCTTCAAGTCTGTGCAGTTGACTTGGCTGTACTGAAAAGTGAACAGCATGGATTAACTCATCCTGCTGCTGAGGGCAGTGCAAACAGGTGCTTATTAGAGGTAGTGACTTGCTTAATTAGTGACACTCCTAATTTCTACTATGGATAATTTCAAAGTAGAATCACTCTATGCTTAGAGTTTTGGCACCAATGCTGTAGGGCAGCAGAATCTATTCTCAGTAAAATAACTTATGGTTTATTAGATATTCTGTATTGGATTTTACCAGCTTGACTTTTACTGCTCAGATGCTTTCTTTCCCCCCCTTAGACGCTGTAATTCTCTTGGGAAGAGTAACTATTCTTAAGGTTTTTACAGATACCCACCTTAGTTGTAAATTGGATAGTTTATATTTCTGGGACTTTTTAAATGAAAATGTGGAATGTTAAGTTACAAAAGACTTTTCATCAGAAAATTTCAAACAAAGTAAACATGGCGTTTTATAGTCCTCTAAAATCTAGGTGCTCCCACCCACCAAAGGCATATCCTGCAAAGGGCTGTGAACTATCTTGGTGAACTGTCTTGGGTCCCCTTTCCATGTATGTTTTCTTGTCACTGAAAACAAACAACGCTGAGTTTATCAAGAAAATTTAAATTGGGGGATCATAATAATTCCAACCAAGTGACAACTCTGACATCAAGGTTATTAGGAGCTGTACATCCAATTCAAGTTTTATTTGCTGCTATTCTGGGAGAATAAACTTGTATATGGAGAATAAACTAATAAACTTGTATCGAGGAAATCCATAAAGTTATAAATTAGCCTGAAAAATATTTCAGGTAATGGTGTGGATTGGCCTGCTTTGACTCTCAGCCACCAACAGAAATCTTTGTCACCTTTGTTCCTCAGCTAAAAGTAATTTTGTTATAAACACAAAGTGACTTTAAACAGGTAAAAAACCCATTCCTATTTTTGTACATTACCAAAAGTTTTTCATATACCTACAGAGCTAACTAATTACAACTGATTTAATCCACTCAAGTTTAGACCAGTTAAACCCATAGGATCCTGTATGGTTATCAATGTGATGCCTTGCTTTTCATAAAATAGGTATAATTGGGTCATACACTTGACGAGAGGGTGACTGTTTCTAGGGGAAGAAAACCCTTTAGATTGCAGGTAACTTTCACTTTTTTTTTTTTAATATACACTTTACATTTGTATAAATTATGCAGGGTACTCCTAACCCTGTAGAAATGTATGACCTCTCACAAAGTTGAGATTTGATCCAAAGAGAAATGCAAGTATAAAAGAATTAGATACTTATTATCTTTTAAGGTTTTTTTTTTTTTTTGGTAGAGATGGGGGTCTCACTGTGTTGCCCAGGCTGGTCTCAAACTCCTGGCCACAAGTGATCTTCCTGCCTCAGCCTCCCAAAATGCTGAGATTACAGGCATGAGCCACTGTACCCAGCCTTTCCTTATAAAATTCAAAGAGAAAATTTCTACACCTTTATCCCTCAAATAAAACAAGTGCTCAGTTCTTACCGTGCCCTTGCAAGGTCTATATGTAAAAGAAATCTGAAATTTAGCTGTAGAATAAAACTTGATAAATAAAAAGAAAAAACATACATTTCTCCAGTTGGTTTGCTCTTTGCTTGTTGAAGTAATAAACCGTTTTAAAGAGAAAATACTTGCTGTAAACCCCCAGTGCCTTCAACTCTTTTGGCAGAATATTTTTAAAGAAATCCAGCAAGCAAACTTTGAGGTGCTAATGAAAGTAAAGGAAGGTGGTATTTCTAGTTTTGGCAGAAATGAAAAGTGTCTCACAAGAGACATCACTACCCACGTGGGGTCTGGCTGCTTTCTACCAAAGACATTTAGAGAAGTGAATTGAGTCAGGGTGATGGTGAACACTACATATTTTATAGATGGTTAAGTTGAGAATTAATTATGTTTATCATGGATGGCTACTAATACCAAGCTCATGATTGTTGCAGCCTCAACGTCTTAGGCAGTAAAACTTGTCTGCAGCACTAAAGGGGGAGAAACCCTTATATTTTGCAAACTGTCCATTCGTTAAATTTATTGTAACCTAATACCAAAAACTGCCGTTTTTCATATTATTTCCCCACCTCCTACTTTTTTTTTTTTTTTTGCTACTTGTAAAATAACCCCTTCTAGAAAATAAGCATTAACTGGAATGTTTCAAACAATTTTGCTTCATTTTACTATCAGCCACTAGTGAACTCTTACAGAGATGTACATTTAAGATAAAATTAGCTTGTGCTAAGTGTTTTAAAAACATTGTTTACTGTTAAAGGGGAATTGCACATTATATTTAACTGGGATTGCTCCCTCCCTCAGTTCTTTAAAAAACAAGAGTCAAGGCTCACACCAACTTGTAGGCTGTGGGAGCTTTGCCATAGGTAGATACAATGTAGAAGTATACTTTTTTAAAGCATGAAGAAGACAAGGAACTTCATTATAATGTACCAGGTAGAGGACATTATTATTCAAAGGATTATGCACAGCTCAGTGAAGATGAAGTTACAATTTTTCTCGCAGCTTTGTTGCTATTATTTTCTTCTGCATAAATGTATGCTCATTTCATTATGTGCCTTGCTCCCTGATTGTGCAAAGCTATATATATATATATATATATATAGATAGATAGATAGATATATGAGAGAGATATATTCAGTACTACTGAGGATGTTTTTCTGAGGATGTTTTTGTTCTGCTGGATTAAGTTATTTTCCAAGTTACTCTTGCCAGTTATGTCAGTAAACTATTGTAATGGCTTAGCACACTAGTCGTACAGTCAGTGTAAATGTTTTTCATTTACATGTTTTCATTATATCAGCTTATCAAATCCTTAATAAAAAAAATTCATAGATTTCATTTAAACATGGGGACTTTGAGTGTTTGTGGATCGGCACCATTAAGAATCTGGTTTTGCATTTCATGTCAGGGTACCCAAAACATAGGCCATACACAGAAGAAATTAAGTGTGGTAAATAAACTAGTTTGATATGTTCAATTTGTTAACTTTTAAGAGTAGTTTATACCAACTAGGGAAATTTGGCCATTAAATACATTGGTGATTAAGTGACAACAGCTTTTAAAGAAAGACTTTTCTTCTCAGCCGGGTGCGGTGGCTCACGCCTGTAATCCCAGCACTTTGGGAGGCCGAGGTGGGTGGATCGCGAGGTCAGGAGATCGAGACCATCCCGGCTAACATGGTGAAACCCCGTCTCTATTAAAAATACAAAAAAAAATTAGCCAGGAGTGGTGGCAGTCGCCTGTAGTCCCAGCTACTCGGGAAGCTGAGGCAGGAGAATGGCATGAACCCAGGAGGTGGAGCTTGCAGTGAGCTGAAATTGTGCCACTGCACTCCAGCCTGGGCAACAGAGCGAGACTCCGTCTCAAAAAAAAAAAAAAGGTAAAAAAGATTTTTCTTCTTTAAACAAAGAACTAAGTACAAAGTAAAGTAATACAAAAAGGAATGCCTTTTGTTTGTTTCAAATCTTTGGAGTCACAATTACGTGTTGGACTGCCATGTGAAGGTATGTATAAATGTATAATGTGTTTGCAATCACTTTATTATGTACCAAACTAGGGCAAAAAAAGTGGAAGCCTTCCCCTTTCGTTCACCATCTGTCAATCATACGTGGTTGTGGAAACTGCACCTGTACTTATGCCTTCAGAAGCAGCAGTGTACACAGGCTGACAGGAAAACAGAACGCATGGCATGTGCCCCTTAATTGGCATATGCCCCAGATCCACAAAGCCGTTCAACCAAATGTGTAATTCCAAAGTAACCCAAAAAAGTCAAGCAATAGGCTTATTAACAAAAGATTGGATACTATCTATCTTTGAGACAAGACAAGACTGCTCTGACGCCTAAAATCCTATTCACAAATACGAGAAACCCATAAATGTTTTAGCTGGGTATTTGTTTCCTACATTATTCTTCACCTTACCTAATGATACCAAAATAATAAAGGTACAGAGGAAATAAGATGGGCTTGAAAAGTGAGAAAAGCTGAAACATCATTTTGGGTATTGTGAAGACAAACTTACTTGCTACCCTCAGATACATCATTAGAAAATTCTTTTATAATCTAGGCTCTCATAGCAACAAAGCACAGGCTAGTTAGTGGTTTGTCTTTTAGATTCACTTCTGACCAGTCTGCAATATTTTTTAGTCAACACCCATCTTCAGTGTTTGTCTGTTGAATTAAAAAAACTGTACATTAACAGAATTAGATTTGGAGAAAAGTGGTAAGAAAACCCCAGGTGCGAGTGGAGCAAAAACAGGATTAGAAAGTTCTTAATTAGAACAGCTGTCTTCAGGGAAGAAACTTGAGATCAAATTTAAAGCTCAACATTTTAAATCTTTGAAAATTTAAAAAGACGACTTCTTCAGTAATAAAAGGCAGCTCCCTGGTTTAGAGCAACAGAAAAGTCAGATTATCCCTAACACGTAAACTCAAGATACCACCTTAGAAAAAGAGGTTATTTATATAAATAAGTTAACAAGACACCTGAATATACTTTGTGGGATTTTATTTAGGTCAAGTTCTTAGTACACGGCAACAATTCCAAATACAATTAAAAAATTAAAAAGTGATGTTCCTCCACTCATCTGGAGGTGGTTTAATGGCACACAAGGAACATTACTGGCAACAGACTGCTCCCTCAAGTTCCCCTGGATGGTTTTTACTCAACTCATAATACCACCAACTCTCCCTCTGGGAGCTAAAAGTACAACTGGCCAGATCACAAATTGTTTACATTCTTTTTTGTAAGCCATTTTAAGAAAAATGGTGCATGGACACAAAATATGATAAAAACTGCTTTTCCATAGAATTCTTAAGTTGCAAAAGAGGTTTCATTTTAATGTGAAAATAAGCTTTTTTTGTTGGTTTTTCTTTTTTCTTACAAAAAACCTTAAGATATTCAGCAAGGATCATTTATACACAGCTAGGCCCCGCCGTTTCGTTTTAATTGTTTTTTTTTTTTAATAATTATATGAGATTCTCAAAACAGGAACAAAGGTCAGCACAAAGTAAACTTAAAGGTAATGAGCTCAATGCCTCCATTTAATCACTTTTATAAGGCTCTCTCCAATAAGGCTGCTGTGCTGTGCTCCTGCCAGTGTTGGAGTAATATAACATTTTTACTGCACACACCTTATGGGAAAGTGTTTATACTGAGTGTAGTTTTAGGAGGGGTAAATGAAGATTATTTCCACAAATTAAGATTGCACTTAGTACACGCCTTTACACAACTCTGATGGTATTTACCAAAACATGGCATGTCTTTTCACGTATATTCCTGAAAACACCAAATAGAACTCTTAACTTTTAAAGAAAAATACAGCACATTTAGTTAAGACAGTTGTGGTGCAGTGGAAAATTAAGTACTGAGCACTGAGTGAGAACTCTGCTGTTATTAACTAGCTGTTCATATGAAGAAGAAAACTCACCTCATCAGTCTAATGAGACAACCAGAAATTTTAAAAATTTCATCTAGCTCAAACTCAGTGATTCTAAATCTTATATGGGGGAAATTACCACCTTAACACCAATCAGGAGTTCCCGGCCAAAAAGACCAGAAGTGAGCAGATCCCATTCTTTTCAAAGACTTGTCAGTCACCTGTGAATTCCTCCATCAAACCTTTTTCAAAGGCAAAGGTGACCTTCAGGACATGTCATGCTGTCTCCACAAAGGAGAAAAGAAAAGGTAGTAAAAGATAAAAACAGTTCTTAATGCAGAAAGGTCACCTACTAAAAGAAAATGAACATAAAAAGATAAAAGCAAACTACCATCATTTTGATGCCTCCCAAAGAGAAAAATCTTTAGTTATCTTCAACATAAACTGCCAAGGAGCACAGGTACGGTCCAGACATCACGGTAAATATGCATAAAATATTGTCTAGCTGGATAATAAACACCAGCAGTAGGAAAAAGGAGGGGATGAAAATGTCTCACACCCAGTAACTTTTAGGAACATAGCAAAATTAGCAGGCCACTGTCAACTCTAAAATGGGAACAGCAGGCGCCTCTGAGGGAGATAGGAAGTAGCTAAATGATGGAAAATATTAAACAAGATAGCTTAGAAGATTCATATTTATTCCAAATGGGAGGCTGAATCTCTCAGATGTCGATTTTGACACATTGGCACTATTTTTGTTTCTGATTTATTGCCTTGGCCGTAAGTTCAAAGGCAACAATAAAGTGTACTTTCATTAATACCACCATGGACTTTCGAGTATTAATATGACAAGAAAAGACAACTATTCATTTTTTTTAAGGGGACTGGACACACAAACTTCAGGAGGGAAGAATCCCCTCTCCCATTAGAATCCCTCTATCTTGATAAAATGGTTGCTTTATTGGTCAGATTTTGGACTTGGATCGTCTGTTATAATATTAATAGTACACAGCATGTAAGATTTTCTGCATTCATTTGAAATTCCTAATACCAACCATCTTTTAATTTATAAAAAAAGAGGGAAACTTACAATAAAACAAAAAATACTACCCTCACAGATGATTAATAGCATGCAATCTATGAAATATTACATACATTAAAAGTCTCCAATTACTGTGTGCCTGACCCATCACACAGTATCCTTCCAAGACAATCTATAGAATTCAAAACTGTACAAAAATTATAAAATATGCAGAAAACCCAAAAGGTACTGTTTGTAAAACAAAGATCACACACACATTAGTACTAAATAGGGAAAAAAAATCAGCAGACCCATGGACTACCCCTGCTCCCAACCACAGGTCTTCAGTATAAAGGACTTCACCAGTGTCTTCTGCACTGCCCCCATCCCGTAGGGGTCCAAAAGACCAGCTGCATTCCTGCTGACCGCCACTAACTCTGTTTTCTGCATAGTTGTCTTCCCTGCTTCTGTAGTGGTGAGCTGTGGGAACTTTTTTTTTTTTTTTTTGATGGAGTCTCGCTCTGTCACCAGGCTGGAGTGCAGTGGCACAATCTCGGCTCACTGCAACCTCTGCCTCCCAGGTTCCAGTGATTCTCCTGCCTCAGCCTCCCAAGTAGCTGGGACTACAGGTGTGCGCCACCACGCCCAGCTAATTTTTGTGTTTTTAGTAGAGATGGGGTTTCACCATGTTGGCCAGGATGGTCTCAATTTATTGACCTCATGATCCACCCACCTCGGCCTCCGAAAGTGCTGGGATTACAGGCATAAGCCACCACACCCAGCCTGTGGGAACTATTTATTGGATTTCAAAACACCCTCTGCCTCATTAATCCACTAAGCTTTCTCAGCAAAAAGCTGTTTAAATAAATAATGGGAACATCTAATTTAAAACAGTTTTTCTAATTATAGACCAGTACACGAAGAAGAGCTTAACTTATCCAAGTATAGTCTAGTTTGGGTCCATAATGGAGCTGAAGGCTCAGAGGACATTCAGGGCCATTACACTGCAGGAAAACAAGGAATAAGGGATGTAGAAATGACCTAAGAAAAGCACGAAGTGGAATGTATACTGGAGGCAAGTTAATGAAAGCTAATAAATACAAAGTGCTGGGAAAAATCTAAAAGCAAAATAGCTATTGTAACTTGCAATGCATTAAAAACAACTTTAAAACCAAAAAGTCTTGATAAGGAAACTCTATAGTGGGGTCTCAGTTAAATGCTGATGATTTTTAATGCTCAGATAACATTAAGTGGAATATTAACTTCTGCATCCGACACCATCTGAATTTTCTCACACACTACTACACTTGTTCACTTTTCAATCAAGTTCCACTTTCTGAACTTGTTCAAAACCTCATTTGAAATATATCCAGCTACTGCTTTTCCCCTTTCACCTAGCACAGGGCAGTTACCTGGCAAAGCTCTATTCTGGCCAAGTCACTGGGACTGAGTAGAACCCACGTTAGCAGCTCTGGACCTGAACAGGAGCTGGCCCAACATCACAGTGACCACCCACAAAGAGACAAGCCCTCCTGGATTTTTTTCAGCATTTCTTATACTGACTACAGTAGTGATGATTAAAGTTATCTGCCCTACAGACTCCACTGAATTTGAAGCTGTATTTATTGTACAGATGGGGGAAATGTGTTTTATTGTGTCAGTTATATTAATTTTTATCAATGTGATTAGATACATATTTTGGCCTATTAATCTTATTCATTATATTCTTAGTCTGAGATGGGTTTTAATTCTGACTAACAGCAGCTACTTAAGAGTCCAATCATACAAAATCAGGAGAGTATTACCCTTTCTACAGCTAAGCGAGTCAGTAATACAGCAGCAACTAATACTGGCCATTAATAACGTCCAGAGAGCACATTAGCAAACCTTGTACTCCCAGTGACTGTCAGGAGACTTGAAAATAACTACTATTCTCTTCCAAAGTAGAATAGCGTTTTTCTAGATAGTGAAGGAAATGATAGTCATAGTTGGTCTGAACTCCAAGATCCTACTCCTCAAAACAGCACCGAAGCAGGGGTTCGGGATGCCTGCTAAGAGCATTTCCACAGTTCAAGTCTCTTCAGAACCTTAGGGACCTTCGTGTCTAGCTTCACACACCCACCTCCACATATGAACCAGCCTACCACACTTCACATCTGGGTACACTGGCCATTAGCAACAATGCAGTCTCATGCAGCAGCACATTAAAATCAAACGGGTGGCAATCGTTCACCACCCTCAGAGTGTTGGGAGACTTTCACATTTCATCATCCTTATAATCCACAAACAGAAACATGAAGGGATGCAAGTGAGTTCAGCATTCACTCGTTTGGTGCACTCAAGTGCTGAGAGAATGCAGAATTTACAGTGTCACAGAGGAAAAAAGCCATCTGAAATAATTGTAAAAATGGTTAAGTGTGGTATTTAAATGTTGGTTCCCTCCTCTTCATACAAGTGGAAGAAAAGAAGGGGCTAGGGTACCCACTGGGCCATGAGGTTAACCCCTTAGCACAGGCAATGAAGAACATCCAATGCCACAGATTCTGCAGGAGGAGAAATCCCAAGGGTATACAGTATTCCTGAGAAAGATCCCAGATTTTTCTGAATCAGTCTTAATCTGATTTTGTTTTGGCTACACAGTTATGCTGTTATACCTTTGACATACATAAAAATGGTCATTTTATTTCAATCCAGACAGCTCAGCATTGTACAAATGATGGCAGAAAGATCCATTTGTTCAGACTCAGCTTGCTTTGTTTTTAATACTGGGGAATAAACCAAAAAAAAAAGTGTAATTTTTATCATTTGTATCCTTCATTCTACTTTACTGGAGTGGAATCCCCAGGGCCTTCAGATAATCTGGGAAGACCTGACTATTCCTGTGAGGCAAGCACAGCCCTGCTGAGCTTTACTCAGAATAATGCATGATAGACTCAACGTAATTCCCAGGAAAAAGCCCAGTCACTCCATTCATAACTCCCTCATACCAACCATCGTCATTCTTCTTGATGACATAAATAATGGCTCCTTCCTGAAAGGACAGCTCATCTTCCTTGTCTTTTGTATAGTCATAAATTGCCACAACTAGGAGGGAAGAAAACAAAACAGGATGTGAAAGACAGTAATATTCCTAGAAAGACAGAACCAAGCCAGTGAATAGCTATCTGTTCCCAAATCCTGTAGCACTCAAACATGGTGACTTTCTAAACACCAACCAAAACTTACATGTTTTTTTTTCTAAGTAATACCCAGTCATATACAATGAAATTCCATTTTCTAGGGATGTTAGGCTCTAAATTGAGTACAAATGGGGAAAAAGCACATTTAATCAAATGTGCTTTTGATGACCTTTTAAGAGCCTACAGGGAAGTACCTCATTGAAGAGGTACACAATCCTAGAATCAAGAAAGATGGCTGTTTCTTCATTTGAGTTTGTGTTGAGATACCATATTGTGGTTTTTTTTTTTTTTTTTTTAAAGCTTTTCTTTACCTTAGAATTATACTAGGGCAATGAGATACACTATGAGAGTCAAGTGAGAAACCAGACTAATGGAACAGCAGATTTCTGTCTCCTTTCTCACTCTCTCTGGAGCCTATGCCTCTTCGCTAAGTAGAATGGTGGTTCAATTTCCCCAAGTTAAATGTATGAATGATGGGAGTCCGCTACATATATTTTTTCAAAACATATGCTGCACTATGTCACCAATTTAATATAACTATAATAACAGACTAAAAGTGACAAGAAAATCAGATACCTATAAGCCCTCCTGTGATTTTCATTGCTTAAATCACTTGGTAACTTGGCTCTTTGAGTCATTATCTCAGTGGTTATTTCAACTGTTATCTTATTTCAACCAGATAATCTCTGGTTCCCAAGTATTATATCAATTTCAACAGTTTAGTTATACTGGGATGCCCTGTAACATCCTCAATTCCACTTGAAGAATTATCCTTTGCTCCAACCTCTTCATCTTCTGTACCTATTTTATACCACTCAATGAAATCTCCACCTATCCATTGTTCCAAGACAAACACACTGTCTTTGTTAGTTTCTCATGCAACCTTGTGCCTCACATAAATCAATGAGAAACAAACTACAACAGGGACTTCTGATATAATGTGCCCTAAAGAAAATTTGTTTCTGGCCTGTTTTAATAAAAATTAAATAGCTTCCTTAAATTGTGAATATTTTCCATTATAGTGATATTGTAGGAACACCAGAATTTTTTTTTTTTTTTTTTGAGACAGTCTCACTCTTATCGCCCAGGCTGGAGTGCAGTGGCACTATCTCGGTTCACTGCAACCTCCATGTCCCAGGTTCAAGCGATTCTCTTGCCTCAGCCTCCCAAGTGCTGGGATTACAGGCGCCCACCACCACGCACAGCTAATTTTTGTATTTTTAGTAGAGACGGGGTTTTGCCATGTTGGCCAAGCTGGTCTTGAACTCCTGACCTCAGGTGATCCACTTGCCTCGGCCTCCCAAAGTGCTGGGATTACAGGCATGAGCCACCTGCACCTGGTCAGAAAATACTTTAGAAGATCCTTGCTAGGAAGAGATCAGTGTGCATTTCTCAATATATAACCAAATGCCTGAACACAATCAAATGTAGTTAAATGGCATACAAGTTTAAATATAAGAAAATACAAAAAAACCCAGAAAATACAATTTAGAATATTTAGCATTTCTAGTCAACCTAATATTTTCTAGTGTTTTTTTAAGGAAAGACAACATTCCTGATGCTTAAAGAAATGCAAATCCAGCCAGGTGCGGTAGCTTACGCCTGTAATCCCAACACTTTGGGAGGCCAAGGCAGGCAGACTGCTGACATCAGAAGTTCTAGACCAGCCTGGCCAACATGGTGAAACCCCGTCTCTACTAAAAATACAAAAATTAGCCAAGCGTGGTGGTGGGCGCCTGTAATCCCAGCTACTTGGGAGGCTGAGGCAAGAGAATCACTTGAGTGAGCTGAGATCGCAACACTTCCCTCCAGCCTTGGTGACAGAGTGAGACTCTTGTCTCAAAAAAGAAAAATAAAAGAAAAAGAAATGCAAACCCATGAAAAGTAATTCAGAAGAGAATATGAAGCCTGTTGTAACAGAGATGCTTAGAAGTGGAAAGTTAGTAAGCTCTATCTACATTCATTTTCTTCTTTAAAATGTAGAAATTGCCAGCCTAAGCAACATGGCAAAACCCCATCTCTACCAAAAAAAAAATACAAAAAAAAAAAAAAAAATTAGCCTGGCATGGTAGCGCGTGCCTGTGGTCCCAGCTACTTGGGAGAATCACCTGAGCTCAGCAAAGTTGAGGCTGAAATAAGCCGTGATTTTCCCACTGCACTCTAGCCTGGGTAACAGAGTGAGACTGTCTCAAAACAAATCAAAAGTAGAAACTAGATTAGATAGAATTTACACTTAACATGATTCCAGAGACTGTTTATAATGGTAGAGAGCTGAGAGTTTTAACAACTGTTCAGCTTTTTCTTTTGCCAAAATTAGTATTCACTATTTTAAAATTAACTTTTTCAAAAATCAGAAATATGCTGTATAGAATATTCACTTTCTGGCTGAGCACTGTGGCTCACACCTATAATCCCAGAACTTTGGGAGGCCGAGGCAGGAGAATCACTTGAGGCCATGAGTTCAAGACTGGTCTGGGAAACATAGCAAAACCCTGTCTCTAAAAAAATAAAAATAATAAATTAGCCAGGCATGGTGGTGCACGTCTGTGGTCCCAGCTACTTGGGAGGCTGAAGCAGGAGGATCGCTTGAGCCCAGAAAGTTGAGGCTGCAGTAAGCACTGAACGTACCACTGCACTCCAGCCCAGGTGACAGAACGAGACCCTGATAAGTAATTTTTAAATGAATATTCATTTTCACTCCAGGGAAAGATATACACCAGTAGTTTACTTCACTCCAGGGAAAGATATACACCAGCAGTTTACTTCATCTAATTCTTTACTGTAAAGCCATTCATCAAAAAGCAAAATACTCTTGATTTAGTGCAACAAACTTTTATCAAAGTAACTCTAAAGCGGTGTAATAAAGTATCTGTGTTTTCACCAATATTCAAAATACCGATGTTGAGAAATGTAAAATCTGTCTAGATTTTATTTAGTCTGGAAAACTGGTTTTGGCAATAGGGAAGAAAGTCACTTTTTCCAATTATGCATGTATATCACGCATAGTATCAAAATCATATGGGGAACTGATAAAGCACATGTAAGAAAAAACTTAAAATGCTAGACATCTGGTTTTTGTGCAGTTATGACTGAAACAGAAAAGGACTTACACATTGTTCTTCTAAATGTTTCTGCTAAAGTAAAAATACATTCTAAATTTCAAAGTACATTGTTCATATTTAGCATTTCAATTGAATACATTCTAGAATATTTTATGAAGGTCTGTAAAACTGAAAAAAACTTCTTAGCTTAAATGATTCTCTTTTTAATTTTAATCCTATAATTTTATATGAAGTATGCTGCAGAGTTAAAGATAAGCAAAGAATAATGGTACCATGCCAGCAGAAAAGGACCCAGATTGGGCTGGGCGCGGTGGCTCACGCCTGTAATCCCAGCACTTTGGAAGGCCAAGGTGGGCAGATCACAAGGTCAGGTTTGAGACCAGCCTGGCCAATATGGTGAAACCCCGCCTCTACTAAAAATGCAAAATTTAGCAGGCATGGTGGCCGGCGCCTGTAGTCCCAGCTACTCGTGGGGCTGAGGCAGGAGAATGGCGTGAACCTGGGAGGCGGAGGTTGCAGTGAGCCGAGATTGCACCACTGCACTCTAGCCTGAGCGACAGAGCGAGACTCCGTCTCAGAAAAAAAAGGACCCAGATGATTTTTTCTCTCCTAAAATAGTAAATTGAAACAAAGAGGAGCAATCTAAACATAAAACTCTCTACACTATAAACTCCTGGAGGTAAGGGCCCATCACTCATCTCTGTGTATCCCTAGCGCCTAACACAAGGCCTAGCTTTTTGGATACTTCTAAATACATCTATATTCTATATTATTCAGTTACACAGTGAGTAATAAAGGTAACTTAAATACATATTGGGGGAAAAATTAAGGTGATACTAAAATAACAATGTAAAACAAAAAGGCCCAAAAGGAGCATGTTACATAGAAGTGACTGATCTGAACTAAAAAGACTGACCACCAAATATTGTAGGGTATTAGCAACCACACCTAACAATTAAGTACCCTAAACTAGCAAGCCACTGGAAAAATCAAAATGCTAGTAAGATTATCCATTTCAATATACTGTTTGTATTAAATTACATATTGTGAGTTGACATCATTTTATTTATATGGAAAAAAGTTCATCCTAAGCCAGCAAAACATTTAACATACTTTGGAATTTATGTTATAACCTGTCCTGAGGTAGAGCAAAGTTAACCTGGACACTATCAATGAAGAGTTGGTTAAACCACTTAATGTATTCTAAGAAATGTTTTAGAACCCACTGGAGATGCTGTTTCAATGAAAATAATGCTGCTTAACTAATACAGCCATATTCCTTCTGCCCCTACCACTCCAATGAAACTATTCACTTGAAAAAAACTGGCCTTCTACTTTTGAGCCTCTTCTCAGTTCTTTGTCTAATGTTCCTGTAGTGTTTGGCAATGATGATTACCTCTGCCTGCTTCTTGACATTTTCCTCCATGGCTTCCATGACAGTGTCTTCTCCCAGTTATCTGATTACTACGCTTCTGTGGAGCCAGGAAACTAGGAGTCATCTTTGCCTTCCCCTCACTCACCTTCCCCGACATCCCCAAGTCCTGTTAATTCCACCTTCTAAATCTCCCAAATACCAACACTCGACTTCTCTCCATCATCATAGTCACCGCCCCAGTTAGTGCACCCATCTTTAAAATTGATTACATTTATCACTCAGGGTACCTGAGATTTTCTAAGCAGTGTGGGTGGCAGACAGTTTATAGGGACTCTCGATATTTTTTTTCTTTTTATTGAGACAGAGTCTTACTGTCCCCAGGCAGTGGTGCAATCGCAGCTCACTGCAGCCTTCAAACTCCTGGGCTCAGGTGATGCTCCCACCTCAGCCTCCAGAGTAGCTGGAACTACAGGCATGCACCACCATGTCTGGCTAAGTTTTCTAATTTTTTGTAGAGACGAGGGTATCGCCATGTTGCCCAGGCTGGTCTTGAACTCCTCGTCTCAAGCAATCCGCCGGCCTCAGCCTCTTAAAGTGCTTTACAGCACTTTAAGGGATTACAGGTGTGAGCCACTACATGCAACTGGCTCTCTTTCTAGATTTTTTTTTTTTTTTTTTTTGAGACAGAGTCTCACTCTGTTGCCAGGCTGGAGTGCGGTGGCGAGTGATCTTGGCTCACTGCAAGCTCCACCTCCTGGGTTCAAGTGATTCTCCTGCCTCAGCCTCCTGAGTTGCTGGGACTACAGGCGTGCACCACCACACCCAGCTAATTTTTGAACTTGTAGTAGAGGTGGGGTTTCACCATGTTGGCTGGATGGTCTTGATCTCTTGACCTTGTCATCTGCCGGCCTTGGCCTCCCAAAGTGCTGGGATTACAGGCGTGAGCCACCATGCCTGGCCTCTTTCTAGATTTTCTAATCTTAAGTACTGCTTCCTAAAATTGATCTGCTTGAGATCATACCTTCAGTCAAGCAGTCATAAAAGTTTTTATATCCTTTTTGTCCTTCTACTTAAAAAAAGCACAGTGGTGCACTGTCTTAAAGTACAAAACACTGGGTGCCAAAGGGACCATTCAAAATAATGGTGCTCATATTAAAAGAATTACTCCACTGAGTAACTCAATCCGTTTGCAAATCAGGTGGCTCTTATTCCTTTGCTTTCAACAAAATTTAAGAAAGACCTTGATGATACATCATCAAACATGATTTTTGAAGATACGTTATTTGATTTTTGGCAAATAACTTTGAAAAGTGCAGTTACAATGCCACTTGAAAAATCCTTCTATTTGTATCTGCTTATTTATGTAAACAATCTTTTCAGCACCACTACCTTGGTTGAGGCCATTATCCCTTGCTTCAAAGTTTATCCAAAATGGTCTTTACAACTCCTACTTTTCCTCTCCAATGCACTCTACACTATTATCAGGTATCTCCAAAAAAAGTTACATAAGTAGATGGATATTATCATTAACCTTTTTAAAAATCCTCCATAATTTCCCTCTACTACCAGATTTTTTTTTTAATCCAACACCTTCGCATTGTCATTTTTAGCCACCCACCACCTAATTACAATTTATTCCCTTTGCGTGCTCATATCACCCTCTCTCCCTACAACCCACCCCCACCCTCATGCACTGGACACTGCTCTGCCCCAAACAGCCATGCCCTCTCACTCACGTGATTCCCTCAGCTTGGAAGGCCCTTCCTTTCTCTCTTCTCTGCCTGAGAAACTCCTATTCATCATTCAAGGCACCAAGAACGCCATGTTCTCTGAGAAGCTTTCTAGGAATTCCCCAGAAAGAATTAATGGCACTATTCATTTTTTAACAATCATTAATAGAGCATCCATGCTGACTTTTAGAGGTACGAAGATGAACCAGATAAGGGACTGTCGGCTGGGCGTGGTGGCTCACACCTGTAATCCCAGCACTTTGGGAGGCCGAGGTGGGCGGATCACAAGGTCAGGAGATTGAGACCATCCTGGCTAACATGGTGAAACCCTGTCTCTACTAAAAATACAAAAAATTAGCCGGGTGTGCTGGCAGGTGCCTGTAGTCCCACCTACTCAGGAGGCTGAGGCAGGAGAATGGCGTGAACCTGGGAGGCAGAGCTTGCAGTGAGCCAAGACCGTGCCACTGCACTCCAGCCTGGGCAACAGAGCAAGACTCCGTCTCAAAAAAAAAAAAAAAGGGACTGTCACAGTCTTGTGAAGACAGAAATGTTATCTGACAATTCCTATATATCATTTATACTTCTAGCTAAAAGCTGTATCACTGAGCCAGAAGAACAAAAGAATAGATGGCTTTACAAAAGTTAAGAGATACAAAACGGGCAGTAAAAAAGTTTTCCAGGGAGGACTTAATGCTCATAAACTGTAAAGCCAAGACTCAATCCTAGGTCTGCCAGATGCCAGAGCTCACGTTTAGGACAATGGTTAAGAGTGTGGGGTCTAGAGTTATACCACCCAGTCAAATCCCAATTCTAACACTTAACTATTAATAGTTTACAGTACATACTTAACTTTCCTAGGCTTCTTTTTATTCAACTATATAATGGGAATTACAATAGAGCTAACATTTCAAAGCATGTTTTTCTTGGAGATGGAGTTTCGCTCTTGTTGCCCAGGCTGGAGTGCAATGGGGCGATCTCAGCTCTCCCCAACCTCCGCCTCTGGAGTTCAAGTGATTCTCCTGCCTCAGCCTCCCGAGTAGTTGGGATTACAGGCATGCATCACCATGCCCAGCTAATTTTGTACTTTTAGTAGAGACGGGGTTTCTCCATGTTGGTCAGGCTGGTCTCCAACTCCCAACCTCAGGTGTTCGGCCCGCCTCAGCCTCCCAAAGTGCTGGGATTACAGCCCAAAGCATTCTTATATTAAACAAGGCAAACCACATAAAATACAAAGCACAGGCTGGGCGCAGTGGCTCACGCCTGTAATCCCAGCACTTTGGGAGGCAGAGGTGGGCAGATCACGAGGTCAGGAGATCGAGACCATCCTGGCTAACACGGTGAAACCCCGTCTCTACCAAAAAAAAAAAAAATACAAAAAATTACCCAGGCATGGTGGCAGGCGCCTGTAGTCCCAGCTACTCAGCAGGTTGAGGCAGGAGAATGGCGTGAACCCGGTAGTCGGAGCTTGCAGTGAGCCAGGATCACACCACTGCACTCCAGCCTGGGCGACAGAGCGAGACTCTGCCTCGTGGCTCACGCCTGTAATCCCAGCACTTTAGGAGGCCTAGGCGGGCGGATCATGAGGTCAGGAGATCAAGACCACCGTGAAACCACGTCTCTACTAAAAATACAAAAAAATTAGCGGGGCGCGGTGGTGGGCGCCGGTAGTCCCAGCTACTCGGGAGGCTGAGGCAGAAGAATGGCGTGAACCCGGGAGGTGGAGGTTGCTGTGAGCTGAGATCACGCCATTGCACTCCAGCCTGGGCAACAAGAGCGAAACTCCGTCTCAAAAAAAAAAAAAAAAAAAAGATCTTTAATTTAGGAAGGATATTTTTGCTAAGTAAAGAACACTGGGTTGACATTTTCCTTCATTACTTTGAAGATTTTGCTCAATTCTCTGACTTAACAGCTTTTTGATGAGAACCATGCAGTCATTCTTATCTTTGTTCCTCTGTATGTAATATGTCATTTTTCCTCTGATTATCTTTAAGATTTTCTAAGGTACTGGTTTTTAGCAAATTGATTATGATGTGCCTTGGCAAGATTTTCTTTTCTTCTATTTGGGGTTTATTGAACTTCTTGGATCTGTGAGTTTATAGTTTTGTGGGAGACAACTTCTAAAACAGCTCCCAATGATTTCTGCCTCATAGTATTCATGCCTTTATGTAATCCCTACCCCTTCAGTGTTGACTAATCCTATTAACTTGCTTTAATGAACAGAAAATGGCAAAAATGACAGGTCATCGCTGCTGGGTTAAGGTGAAAAAAGGACTAGTGTCTTGCTTGCATTCTCTTTTTGGCGCTTCTTGCTTGTTCATTCTAATGAAGTTAGCTGCCATGTTGTGAGCTGCCCTACGGAGAAGCCTATGTGATCCAGAATTGTGGGCAGCCTCTGGCCAACAGCCAATGAAGAAGCCGAGGCCGTCAGGCCAACAACCCACAAGGAACTAAATCCTGCCAATAACCACGAGTGAGCCTGAAAGCAGTCTCCCTCAGTCAAGCCCTGAGATCACTGCAGCCTCAGCTGATACCTTGATTGCAGCCGTGTGAAGAGTCCCTGAACCAGAGGGCCCAGCTGAGCCACGCAGAGAAACTGGGAGATAATGGATGTTTTGTTTAAGCCACTAAATTTTTGGAATAACTTGTTAGGTAGCAATACACAACTAATATAGTTTTCATCAAACGTGGAAATATTTTGTCTATGATTGTTTCAACTCTTTTTCCTCTCACATCTCCTGGGGACTCCAATTACACATACATAAAGACTATCTGACCTTGTCTCACATTATCTGTTGCTCTGTTTTCCTTTTTGCCTTTTTTTCCACTTTCTTCTCTGTGCCTTATTTTGGATAGTTTCTATTGTCATGGCATCAAGGTTGCTAATGCTTTCTTCTGCAGCATGTGTTTTTCGTCTCCAGAAATATTATGTTTCTCTTTCTCTCTCTCTCTCTTTTTAAAGATATATTCCACGTCTCTCTCATGTTCATGTTCTCCTTTACTTTCTTGATCACATGTGGTATTTATAGTAGCTACATAAAGAAAAAAATTAATTTCCTTCTCTCCAGTGCCTGTTGTTCAATGTCTGAAAACCATTATTTTGTGGGGTTTTAAAATTCCTGTTTTAGGAGGGAGGGTACACCTGATTACTGTTGCTCTCTCTTGGCCAAAAGTGGAAGCCTATTATTTCTTTATAAAAGCTCTCCAAGTGATTCTAATGTGTAGCCAGCTTTGAGACTCAGTGGGTTAGTAGCTTTGATTTTCTTAAAAGAAAATTTCCTTCCAGACAGCACACATTTTTTTCTGAGCTGATTAGTCTTGATGGATTTGAAAGCTTGTATCCCAAAGTGCTACATCATAATTAGCTAATATCAAAGAAGCTTTTCACTAAAAGAAATGCCCAATATTACTTGGCAAAGAAACTGAGAAACCATTATTCTGTGGAAGAAAGTTTCATGTGGAGACATTTAAACTGAAGTATCTGATTATAAGGTGACACAAACTAATGTTCTAAAGCATGGAGGTAGGAATAATAATGTGGAAAAATAATCTTCCTGAGGCCAAAGGAAAACAGAAAAACACTGATAGAAACCATTCATAAAAAGCATGTCCAATAGGAACAATATAGATAACCATCAGTTTTTTAAAATCAAATATTCACAGAATTTTACTAGTGTAACTTTCAAAATCATGAACCTTGTAAACTCAGTAAAAATGCACAAATACAAATAAATAGAACTTCACTTAGTAGAAAATAAGATTCTCTTCAGTACCGCAAATTTCATTTCTATGTAGAGGTTTCTTCCCATCTATCCAGATATCCTTCTGAAACTTACCCTTTTCCAAGTAAGAACGTGGAGCCCACGGTGGGTCCTCTTCAGCATAAGGATCACTATACTCAACCACAGCAGCTTCCTCCTCTTCGTAATCTTCTGGAGGAGGAGGAGGTGGGGGAGACTCATCAAAGACTGGTTCTTCCACAGGTGGCGGTGGAGGTGGTGTATCTGAAACTAAGAACGTATCAGGCTGACAACAAAACTATATGTTATGCAAAGTTCAGTATTTCCTATCCAAGCTTCTGGGTTCATGGAATATAAACCTAGACTTGAAAATAAATGTAATATTCCTTCAAAAAATCAATGAGCAAGATAAGTCTTCCCACCAACTATAACGTTCTAGAGCTCCAAGTATGACGTTCTCCCTCTCTTGCCCTTGGATTAATGCTAATGGACACTGAATAAAGTTTAGACAAAATAATTATTAACTGAGCCTCTGGAACCTGTTTATATTAACACAAATCCTCTTTCCAAAGAGATCAGTATGGCCAGGAGCGGTGGCTCGCGCCTGTAATCCCAGCACTTTGGGAGGCCGAAGCAGGCGGATCACCTGAGGTCAGAAGTTCAAGACCAGCCTGGGCAACATGGTGAAACCCTGCCTCTACTAAAAATACAAAAATTAGTCGCACATGGTCGTGGGCGCCCGTAATCCCAGCTACTCAGGAGGCCAAGGCACAAGAATCGCTGGAACCGGGGAGGTGGAGGTTGCAGTGAGTCGAGATCACGCCACTCCAGCCTGGGCCATAGGGCAAGACCGCATCTCAAAAACAACAACAGCAAAAAAAAAATAAACAATAAAAAATAAGAATAAAAAAACCCAGAGATCAGTACAATACAGCTGAGCTTTACACTGTATTCAAGGGTAAGTTATCAGAAATACTAACACTGAAAACCATATTTCACAAATTCTTAAAATATTTTTTCACTTAAATGAGTCCAGGGAATAGTAAAATTTTAATAACCCACTACTTTCCTCTTAATGAATTTTTCTAAAATAGCATTTTACCAAATTCAAGAGGAAAAAAATCATCAACAAACTTGGGTTACTTCATCTATGAGGATGTTTGTTTACTTATAGAATTTCTTCTAATTCAGACTATAATTCAGAATTTCTTCAGGCTAAATGTCCAAGTGTACTATCAGAGTAATTTAAAATATCTCACATGGAGATCTGCTTCCACAGCTTGCATACCAATATATAGTAACATCAAAAAGATTATCTTCAAACTCAGCTACCTTAAGCTTTCAAAATGGTTGGTAAATACGTGAGCACAACTGAACAGAATGAAATGAATAAACCTGTTTATCAGCTCCCCAGGTTTAATGAACAGCACTAATTCTTATTTATGAGGTACCAGTATAGTTCCCATGTGACTCTCTGAGCAATCCAATTTATTTAGTATTTTTTAATCTAAGCCTACGAATTGAATTAAATGGATTTTTTTTTTTTTTTTTTTTTTTTTTTGAGACGGAGTCTCGCTCTATCGCCCAGGCTGGAGTGCAGTGGTGTGATCTCGGCTCATTGCAAGCTCTGCCTCCCGGGTTCATGCCAATCTCCTGCCTCACCCTCCCAAGTAGCTGGGACTACAGGCGCCCGCCACCACACCCAGCTAATTTTTTGTATTTTTAGTAGAGATGGGGTTTCACCGTGTTAGCCAGGATCGTCTAGATCTCTTGACCCTGTGATCCGCCCACCTCGGCCTCCCAAAGTGCTGGGATTACAGGCGTGAGCCACCGCGCCCGGTGAATTAAATGGATTTTCAAAGACTGCTGATGCCTGGTGGGAGCAGCCACATCAACACCATGCTGTCTTATCAGTATTCTTCCCATCTGCTGTGCCCCTCTATACTGATCTACTTTATAAACTTTAAAACTTCAGTCATTAAATAGAATGTCTTTCATCCTAATAGTTTTTATTAATAAACAAAAGATATAGATATGTGATTTACCATATACTTGGGTGAGAAAGAGAAATTTATCCTATTTCCATTTGTAAGATAAAAAGACTGACTTTAAACAACTGCACAGAACCATAGATCCAAAGGAACTTTCAAAACAATAACCTTGAGAAATGACACTACAAAATTACTCAAAGATGCTGCCATTGGTCATTTTTACTTTTCTTGTAACTGCCAGTTTAATAAGCTACTACTTTTGACTTAAAATGTTCCAATTACTCAGCTAGTCCTTTGTAATGCATTATTTCATTTCATCTTTATATTGGGAGGTGGTGTTTTTCATTTTATAGATGTGGAGACTGGCTTTCCAAGATTAAGTATTCTGACAGCAAGTAAGTGGAAAAGCACCTGAACTCCAATGCCTATTATCTTAAAAGCTACACTATTATGGGATGGGATAAATTTTAAAAACTTCAAGTCATGCTTCATTAGTATTTATTCAACAAACATTAACTAATATGGCTGGATATTATGCTCAGCATTGAGAAAAGGGCAGTAGGCAAAAGTCATGAAGACATGAACGACCAAATCTTCATTTACAATTGAGTGTAGTGTGTGCTTTAAGATACTATAGAAGCACACAGCATAAACCACACTTGTTATGTGGGTCAGGAAAGGCTTCCTGAAACCTGAAGGAAGAGTAAGAGTTAATGGGGAGGAAGAGGGGAGGGTAGGATGGCAGAGGCATTGATATTTCATGTCAGATACAAAGAACAAAACAAGGCCAGGCGGGGAGGCTCACGCCTGTAATCCCAGCACTTTGGGAGGCTGAGGCAGGAGGATCATTTGAGCTCAGGAGTTCAAGCCCAGCCTGGCCAATATGGCGAAACCCCGTCTCTACTAAAAATACAAAAATTAGACGCACATGGTGGTGCACACGTGTATTCCCAGCTGCTCACGAGGCTGAGGCATGAGAATCACTTGAACCCAGGAGGGGAAGGTGGCAGAGAGCCAAGATTGCACCACTGTACTCCAGCCTGGGTGACAGAGTGAGACTGTCTCCAAAAAAAAAAAAAAAAAAAGACAATGCAAGTACAAAGGTAAGAAAGCAAGAAACTTTCAAAGAACTGTCCAAATTCAGTAGCCAGCTTCAGGAAGCTGAAGAGGATGAGGCAGGAAGGGCCTTACAGCAGTTTGGACTCTATCCAAAGAGCCATGGTGAGCCACAGAAAGATTTTAAGGGGAATAACAGGGTCATAGCTGTACTTCTTACCCCAGTATAACTGGGTCACTATAACTGGTTCCAAATTATTCCAGACTTCTTCCAAACATCAAACTTAATGCAGAGTGAGTATTTGCTACCAAGGAATATCTTCAAAATAATATACCTGGAAAGCTTTGAAGATAATTCCAAAGAATTATCTTTGAAGATGTACCAAAAGAAATGTATGTATTTTTCCAAGGTGAATGTTTTAAAGAGTTTAAAGACTTAAACATTCAAATAATGTTTATTATTTGACTAATGTTTAAGTCCTGCCACGTCTGTAAAATTAGTCACAGCACACCTCATACACAATTTTTTTATACGTTGTGTAAATGAGAAACGTATATGATTGTAGGAAAAGATGAAAAAGACCAATCCAAAAGGCAATCAACTGTGATAGGGTGGTCAAATTAGGGAATGACTTTTTAAAATATAGGTAGTGCTGCTATAATAATGTTTTGCAGTCATCTACTTAAGACATTCCTAAGTCTTAAAGTGATAGTCATGCACTTTACTATTAAATTAAAACAATACTTCTTAGGTTTGGTTCATGAAACATTTTGCTGTTTCTACAAAGCTTGCAGCTTTCACTGGTGACTGGCGAAAACCAATGACATCCTGCTTTAAATCCTATTCAACTTTCAAGTCTCATTTTTTGCTAAGAAAATAACCACTTAGTTGCTATACAAACATTCGTGTTTCATTAATGGATTAGTCTTCAATGTCAGTTTCAAAATCTGGCCTTTACTCCAGAAGCTGCTCAGAACCACTTTTGTTCAAAATGAATGACAACATCTCACAGAACATGCAGTAGCAATTGATTGGCAGAATTCTCTAAGGTGTACACTCATCACAATAGTAAAAACAGAAAAAACTCCCAGGGTATTATTCAAGTGACTACCATCATTAATCATTGTGATTAAACCGGATTTGTGATGGAAAAAAATTATTTTACTGTAATGACATTTACTTAGACTTTCCACCTTGTATGGAGTATGTAGAATGGAACCAGCATTGGAAAGTCCTTCAATTCTCGTACTGTAATTAAATCCTTTTCTACTTGGTATTTATCCTGTTTGGATGCAGCAGACATTTTTTAAAACCTGGCAACAGTGACCCTGTATCCCACACTTGACCTCACAAGCCTGGCAGAGGATCACACTATGGATGTGCTTGGCACATGCTGAACTATTAATAGTTGAATGTTGCTGAGAGGCAGTTTTCTCCTCGAGCCAGTGTGGGTCACACCCAAGCTAAAGAAGAGTCGGCCCCAATAGCATAATTTAAAACATATGAAATCAACCTAATTATATGTGAAAATAGCTCTTAAACTCAACAAAACATCTTATGAAGTCACGGTGTGGTAAACATTACAGGTGTTCATGGAGTACCTTCCAATAAACAAAAGTAAGTAAAATAGACTATTTTCAGAAATTAGCAAATAGAGATGCAAAGGCAGCTGAAAGACACTGAGCCCTTAGGCCAGTAAGACTGAATTATTAGTTAAAATACAACCACATCTAGAAGAATGTGCTGATAAAAGGGGGGCATTTGGTCAGCTACAGAAGCAGAAAAAAGCAGGGACCAAAAGTGCCTGCTATGTGTCAGATGCTTTTCCAAGTGCTGGGGAAACAGCTAGCAAGCAAAACAGGCAAAACTCCTTGCTCTTATAGAGCTTACATTCTAGTACTGGCAGTGCCCATTTCCAAATAAGCAGGAGTCCTAAGCCACAGATTGCAAATATTTCTACCCCACCAGTGAAGTCATCCATCCTTGTTATGAGATATATACACTGGACTACTTTGGTCTGATGACATGAGATCTTTAATATCATTCTCCTAGTTCAGATTCATGCAAATCATGTAACCTTATTATTGTGATGTGGCCCTCGCAAAGACTGCCCATAAGAAGAGGATTTGTCCATCATACAGTCTATGTTCACTGGTCTCTGTGACAGCAATTCCTCACTGAATGTTGATACAGGCCTCCTGATTTGTCATCAGCCTCCTGAGCTCCCTTAATGCTTCCCTAGAAGACTCAAGGTATGAACAAAATTAGTTACCTGAACAGGCCAAGGGAAATTCATTGCCAACCTATGAGGCTTCTTGGGAGACAGACTGGCAGCCTGGTCCTCTGAGCCCTACCATAAAAGGCCCTTCTGATATCTGGAATCACAAAACTGGAGGAAGATTCTCAGACCACCTATAATACCCATAAAACTCCAGTGATAAGAAACTAGACTACCACTTATCTGAGCAACCCAGAGAAAAAGATGGGATATCTAGTGATTAAAGATACCTCCTCAGTAGGATGTGATCTTTCTTTTCTTATATGTGCCTTATTTTATATGTATTTGTCTTATGTCTTTACTATTAGTTATTTAAAAGTAGAAAATTTCTCTATTTTATCTCCACTAGCCAGACAGTGATTTGTTCATAATATTGAAATGTTGAAGTATCAGCAAATGAATGACTATCCAGTCAATCACATATAAATGACATTTTATGCCTACAATCTGATCTACAGCATAAAGAAGACATAAACTTACTATTTTCTTGGACTCTGGCCACAAATCCCATTAAAGGTAACTGAGGAGTTACCTGTAGGATGGAGGGAGGAGGAGGAGCAAGAGATACTGCAAAAACAAAAAAGGTGTGGAGGATAAGGGATAAGGGCGAGTTACATTAAAAGGAAAGGATAATACAATAAAATAAACACATAAAGGAGGGAAACTACTATTCACAAACATTTTATCAGTGATCTCAAGGATCCCCTGTTGAGGGACAACTCATTAACACAAACAAAGTACTGGGGGAATTTTTAGTAAGTTTTTGAAAATCACAACAGGAGGCATTTATCATACACAGATATGTTAAATATATATATAACATAATCGTATGTTTTATATATATAAAACATAATCCCATTTTTATATATAACAATCATGTTTTATATATATATTATATATAATTGATCTTTTTTCATATCATTAACATCATGCCTTCTCAAGGAAAGCATTTCTGCAGATTACCATGATGTTGTTTTCTGAATTTTACCTTGGAAGGTTACAAGTTTAAATGTTTGTCAATACAGAGAGAAAAAAATATTACATCCCAACACTCTAAATGGATACTTTTATTACTCTAATTGTAGGCAAGTAAACTGGTTCTTCATTCATTAATTAGACAAATACTTACTGACTTCATACTAAGTAAGTGGCAAACACCTGCTAGGAAAACAGTATCAAAACCGTCCTCTGAGAATCGGGTGCTATGTCATTACAATTTTTCATAATCCCAACTCATTGGTACACTTCCTCCCTGATGGTATAGAAAAGTGCAGGCCTTAATCAAATCATTCCACTCTCCTTCCCAAGGTGTATTTCCCTGCACCTCAATCACCTGGCACAGTGCCTAGAACTAATAAACTGTCAACAGATGTTTAACATATATAATTGCACTAATAAGCCAGGTATGTGTGGAAACTAAAGCGGCAAAAAAAAGAAAGAAAAAAGATTACTCTACAGTTACAGTTTCCTTTAGAATGGGTACAAAGTAGGATATGCATTTTCTTATAAAGAGAAAATGCCTCTGTTAGCTCCAAAATACAGTTAAGACTAATAAAACTAAAAAGATGAACATGTCTCTGCTCTCAAGGAGATCACATTCTATTGAAACAGAAGAATACATGATAATCTTAACCCAACAATATTTGTAGCAATTCCCTGGAAGTAGTGGTGGAGGTAAGGAGGGCTACAATGAAATGACCTCTCAGCAGGGACTTGAAGAAGGGAACCTGCCAAGCTGACAGGGGTTGAGAAAGATAATCAAGTTGAGAGAAGCAAGTGAGGGTAAAGGCTCAGAGGCATAAAACAGCATAACCAGTTCACAGGACCAGAAATGTTTCCATATGGCTAGGAAAAGATACCCAAAGAGAAAGTAAAAAACCCAGAAATATCAATGGGAGGATATGAAATAGGGAAGGATCTTATATGCCTGGTGGAAGAGTGCTTAGTGGAAAGAGGTTGGATTTTCAGGTCACTCAGCCTCAAATCTCTGATCCATCATTTCCTGGCTGTTTGGATAGCTAGTCAATTAACTTCTTCAGGCCTATTCCATAAATGTGATATGAAAACAAGGTAATGCAACCTACTTCCAATAGTGGCTGCAAAGATTAAAAAAAGACAATGGATGTGGAAAGCCTAACCCAGTGGCTGGCACGTAATAAATCAAAGCAGTTTCTAGAAAAGGAGAGAACTTTAAAAGTGTGGGAAGAGAGTAGTTGGCAATTAATGATTTAGCTAGCATATCAAGGACAGCAACAAGCTGAAGGTCATTCTTAGATTTTTACCCTTCGTAACTATGAAGATGGAGATGTCACTAACTATGTTAAGCCTGGTAGGTAGTACTGGGAAAGAAATGGGATGGTAAACAGGTAAGTCAGGGAGAGATAATGATATGATATATTTGGGTTGAGATTATGCAAAATATCTACAGTTGATGCTATGGATAGATGCAGGGAGGACATATAAATGCACAGACAAGAGTTAAGCAGATAATCTTGAATATCTAGATGCAAAGAACAGAGCAGTATAACCCTAGAAATTGGTACCTTTCTTAAAAAGACACCTTTGGTTAGGTTTTTCCCTAAAGTCATAATTCTTGGCAGTAAATCCTTGACTTGCGTGTCTGCTTCCCACTCAGAGGCTTACAACAACTGTTGATATGTTCATAATACTGTTTCCAAGGGTAAGCAGAAGACAGTGAAAAGAGAAGGTAGTTGGGCCGGGCGCGGTGGCTCACGCCTGTAATCCCAGCACTTTGGGAGGCCGAGGCGGGTGGATCATGAGGTCAGGAGATCGAGACCATCCTGGCTAACAAGGTGAAACCCCGTCTCTACTAAGAATACAAAAAATTAGCCGGGCGCGGTGGCGGGCGCCTGTAGTCCCAGCTACTCGGGAGGCTGAGGCAGGAGAATGGCGTGAACCCGGGAAGCGGAGCTTGCAGTGAGCCGAGATTGCGCCACTGCAGTCCGCAGTCCGACCTGGGCGACAGAGCGAGACTCCGTCTCAAAAAAAAAAAAAAAAGAAAGGAGAAGGTAGCATAGACAAAAAAGATAAAACTGAGAAACAGTAGCAGGCAGCAACTGGCACTAGAAGAGTAGAGACAAGGCACATGTTCACATCCAAGATGAAATGCTCCTCTTCTGTTGGCATGTAACCTAACCTTCCGTGTAACAGAAAAGTGGGAAATTTCCCACTTCAGTCACTGTTTCTCTACCAAATATAAAAAATGACCTTTTGGTACTCAGCTAAAAAAGAATGATTAGGTGCTTAACCTACAGCAGTCTTTTTGTGGGTAGACTGAGGTTTTTTTTTTTAAGATGAATATGCTTATTTCTTTTCTACTTCTGAAAGTGAAAATCTGAAGCCATAGTGGTTTTAAGAAGTACACCAGCAGCCAGGCACGGTGGCTCATGCCTGTAATCCCATCACTTTGGAAGGCCGAGGGGGGCGCATCACCTGAGGTCAGGAGTTCAAGACCAGCCTGGCCAACATGGTGAAACCCCATCTCTACTAAAAATACAAAAATTAGCCAGGTGTGGTAGCAGGTGCCTGTAACCCCAGCTACTCGGGAGGCTGAACCAGGAGAATCGCTTGAACCCAGGAGGTAGAGGCTGCAGTGAGCCGAGATCATGCCATTGCACTCCAGCCTGGGCAACAAGAGCAAAACTCCATCTCAAAAAAAAAAAAAAGTCCACCAGCAGCCAGGGAAAGATCAATCGCAGTTCTTCCTTAAAAGAATGACTTGGTAACAAGTTAGACTTTTTTCAAAGCTAGTCTAAGGCATGTTCAAAAATTCAGTTCCGTCTGGGGTTACAAAGGTCATCCCAAATTCTACTTTTCTCCAGGACAAACCTTTAATAAGGTGGTCGAAATTAATTCAGATACCACATCATTTTCTTTTCGGACCTTGTAAGATTTCATCTGACAAGAACGTCTGTGAGCCAGAATATACTGTCTTTCTTGGAGTTGAGCTGAAAACAAACCATTTTAAGTGAATTTAAGCAGAATTTTGAGGAAAGAATTGTTGCAATATTCAGTTCTAATCCTAGTCATTTTGTGAACAGGCAAAGAAGAGCAGGAAGCAAACTTGTTTTCATTTCATTTAGCTAAAATGATTCCTCATAAGACAAGACTCTTTCCCAATAACCACCAAAAGATCTCCAAACTTAGATTGTTATGTAATTTTCACAATATACAAGAATGTTTAGATATAAACAGTAAAAGGCTTTCCAAGCAATCCAAACCTAAATGATGAATCTGTGCTGATGAAATGTACAGACTTTCCAAGTACAACCTTCCTGGTTATTTATAAAGTCCTCTGAAGCATCAATGAAGCTTGTATTTTAGATGTCCAATTCAAAAAGTTTGGAAAAATAAAATTAAGCTTTTACATCTTATTTTTACAGCTTTATAAATACTCTGAGAATATTAGACAAAATAAGCGCTCTAAAAACTACTTCTAAAGTCATTACTGAACATCACATTTAGAGGAGATATATATATTATATAGCCCATGCGAGTTGAGATGCTTATGTTTTTTTCCCAGTGAAGGAAATAAACAATGTGTAAGTGTAGTATTTTCTAAACATGAATACCAACTTAGAACAAAAGGTATGTAAAAGTGAATTCAGGCTGGATGCGGTGGCTCACACCTGTAATCCCAGCACTTTGGGAGGCCAAAGCAGTAACAAAATGACTAGGATTAGAACTGAATATTGCAACAATTCTTTGCTCAAAATTCTGCTTAAATTCTCTTAGAATGGTTTGTTTTCAGCTCAACTCCAAGAAAGACAGTATATTCTGGCTCACAGACATTCTAGTCAGATGAGATCTTACATGGTCCAAAAAGAAAAGGATGTGGTATCTGAATTAATTTCGACCACCTTGTTAAAGGTTTGCCGTGGAGAAAAGTAGAATTTGGGATGACCTTTGTTACGCCAGATGGAACTGGATCACTTGAGGTCAGGAGTCGGAGATCAGCCTGGCCAACCCGGTGAAAGCTTGTCTCTATTAAAGAAAAAAAAAGAGCCAGGCGTGGTGGCACACACCTGTAGTTCCAACTACTCGGGAGGCTGAGGCAGGAGAATCGCTTGAACCCAGGAGGCAGAGGTTGCAGTGAGCCAAGATTGTGCCACTGCACTCCAGCCTGGACAACAAAGCAAGACTTTGGGGAGAAAAAAAAATCTTCCTGCTCCTGCTCTTTATTTATACTTTGCTAAAGCCCCAACACATCAGTATTCTTCTAGACGTTTTAGACATTTATGGTGATGCTGTAACTTCACAAATCATTTAGAGAATATGTGAAATGGCTTTTTATTTTGGAACAGCACCATCCCAACATTGTTTCCTATTTTTTTAGTCGCTTTTAAAACCATTCAGGGGTTACTAAGCCTGACACTTTCTCTTTGTGAAACAGCATACCCATTCAGAAACTCCTATATCTCATAGAACTATATATAGACACATCTCTTGGAACCAACATTCACTTTATGAACTAGATTTTTTCAAAAGCTTTTAAGAAAATATGAGCAGTAAAATACAGGCTACTTTCTCCTAAAGTCTTCAATACTTACATGCTACATTACTGATTCCTTAACAAACAAGGCTTATGTAAGTATATGTACACATACTCACATGTAGATATATGTATATTCTTCTTGACCACCAAGGTGTTTCATATTTACATTTAAAGTAGAGACTGTTAACTCATAATTAGCCCTATGTGTTTCTATGACCCCCTCCTTACCACTGGCAAGATTAATGATAAATTGGTATTCCTATTTCATTGGCTGGATTAGATTAAGAAATAATGAGAACCAAAGGGATTTCAGTTATGCCCTGATCAAAGGGTTCCTTTCCTTTCAATAACTTGTTTCTGAAATAATCTCATGAAAAAAACAATTATTGTGCTCCTAAGACTTGGCACTAGACACTGGGTGTTCCATATTTTAACTCCTATGTTATAATTGCCCTTTTTCAAACTCAGATCAAATTGTACATTAACAAATATAGTAACAGCACTGCTAGATTTACACCTCACAGAACCCCACTGAATTTATATTCACATGAAACCTTCCAAAGATTGTCAGCTCACTTCCTCAGAAGCATGCAACCACAGCAAGACTCCAATTACCCCCCCAAAAAAAAAGCTCATAAAACACACACTTCAGATCATTTTTGTTAAATCAGAGAATTAGTTACTTGAGAAAGCACAACAAATATTCTCATTGTAAATATGAAAAAAATAGGGACAATTGCAGGGCTACTGGGAGTAATACAGGAGACTTACATAATTTTTTTTTTTTGAGACAGGGTCTCACTCTGTTGCCCAGGCTGGAGTACAGTGGCACAATCTCGGCTCACTGAAACTTCCATCTCCTAGGTTCAACCAATCGTTCTGCCTCAGCCTCCTGAGGAGCTGGGACTGCAGGCACCTGCCACAGTGCTTGACTCATAAATAATATTCTAATGAATATAAAATAAAAGTACATCTAACAGCCTTAGAACACTGATTCACAAATCATTAAGTCTTGCAAAAAGAGCTTTTCCAAGAAAATGGTTTAGTTAAAAAAAAATTAGTTTACAAAAAGTACTCTGATTAACCAACTAACAATGCTGTGGCCACCCACTTTAAACAGTTATCAAATCCCTGGAGATGAAAGGCAGAACTTAATAGAGCAGAGTACAGAAAAACAAAAAAGCACAACTAAATTGACTCACACATTACACAGAAAGCCTAACAATCCCAATTCACCTTACTTCCATGAGTGAGAAAAATACTTTTCATTAAAATCATTCCATAAAGTGGGGATCTTTTTACTTTAACATATACTTTCAAGCATTTGAAAATCAGATTTACAAAGAAACTATTGAAGTATGTATTATAAAATGCATTTAAATATGTGCTTAAACAGCCTTCAAATAAATTCTACCTACAGAGTTCTCATAGGACTATTTTGGAGCATACACGAACAAAGCATGAAATATCCCTGTATAGGCCGGGTGCGGTGGCTCACACCTGTAATCTGAGCACTTTGGGAGGCCAAGGCAAGTGGATGACTTGAGGTCAGGAGTTCAAGACCAGCTTGGCCGATATGGTGAAACCCTGTCTCTACTAAAAATACAAAAATTAGCTGGGTGTAGTGGCAGGTGCCTGTAATCCCTGCTACTTGGGAGGCTGAGGCAGGAGAATCGCTTGAACCCGGGAGGTAGAGGTTGCAGTGAGCCGAGATTGTACCACTGCACTCCAGCCTGGGTGACAGAGCAAGACTTTGTCTCAAAACAAAACAAAACAAAAATTAGCCAGGCGTGGTGGCAGGTACCTGTAATCCCGTGCTCCTGAACAAATGTGAGTTTGAAAACATGGTTTAAAAGGCAAATGTATAAAAAGGGCAGTTTTGTCAAAATTTAAGTTCAGAATGATTTAAAAAGAATGGCATAGCCAAAAACACTAAACGTGATAAAAGATAGAAGGGAAGTATATATCAATTAAGGCAGTTGGTATTCACACTATGGTTTGCACTGGATGGACTACAGATACAGCACTTAATTTACGAGAGGGACCCAGAACAGTGAAGGGATTTGGAAAAATGAACAAGGGATTCATTTGGCATTCAACAAACAGTTCCTGAGCAATATTCCAGGATGTAACTGTATAAAAGACTGACAAGGTCTCAGGCTTTCATGCACTTTATATCACATCTTTTCATCCGCCTTCCCCTCCAAAAAAGAGAAGACTTGGGAGGATAAGAGAAAAATTTTTTAAATATGTAGGTAGGACAATAGAAAGAACATGGAACTTAGGCCAGGCACGGTGACTCACGCCTGTAATCCCAGCACTTTGGGAGGCTGAGGTGGGTGAATCACTTAAGGTCAGGAGTTTAAGACCAGCCTGGCCAACATAGTGAAACCCTGTCTCTACAATAAAATACAAATATTAGCTGGGTGTGGTCGTGGGTGCCTGTAATCCCAGCTACTCAGGAGGCTGAGGCAGGAGAATCTCTTGAACCCAGGAGGCAGGCATTGCAGTGATCAGAGATCACACCACTGCACTCCATCCTGGGCAACAGAGCGAGACTCCATCTCAATTTAAAAAAAAAAAAAAAAAAAAAACAGAAAGAAAGAACATGGAACTTAGAGTCAGAAAACCTAAGTTCAAATCCTAACCTGACCATCACCTCAGCCTCATTTTCCTTACCTATAAGATATAAGAAAATGATCACCAATCTTATTTTGTACGTGATTCTAAGAATCAAATGAGATAATATAAAAACATTATTTAAATTAAGTGTTTATGTTGGAGGATCAAATTTCTTCTGCAAGACTCTTTCAAAGAATATCACTATAGGTCACAGCCACAGAGACAAACTGCAGCTCCATAAAATTCAAGGCTTATCAAAAATGGAATGAGTTGAACCCAGTATGAGAGGTGTTCACACATAGGCTTACTGGCTTCCTGGCAAAAATACAGAAAAAAGCAGTAAGTTGACATACCATGTCCACAATAGCCATGGTGTCTAATATTTGTTCTTGCCCTCTCTGGGGAGTAAACAAAATAATAATTATTAAATATGTTCCAGATTAGTTATTCTGCATGCATGATACAACCGATTATTTAGTGTAATTATTATATCTGATTCAATTTACCCAATTCCTAGTTTTTCCACCATGGGTTTGGTATGAGAATTGTATAAGCTAGTATAATTCCCTAGCACAAAGTAGCTTCAAAAATGTTCTCTTTTCCTTTGCCACTTCTAAATTCTGTTCATGTGCACACAACTTTCATTATTTGTTATTTAAAAGTAAGGATGTCTGATTAAATAAAAAGGAAATACCATTCACCACAATGTTATTTTAAAAAGCAAATAACCACTAAAATATTCAAAAAAATTCTGCTCAGAAAAACTAAGTTGTATGACTTTACGTGGAAATCACATACTGATTTTTTTTTAAAGAATTGAAAGATACAGTATTAACAACCTACAATTCATTCATTCTCCCATTCATTCAACAAATGGTGCTAACCACCTACCATGCACTATTTGTAATTAAGGGTTTTTTGTAGTTGAAGGTTTTTAATTAAATACATTCTATAGAATGCAAAAAAACAAAAAAACTAACCTGGATTCTGGCTATAAAAAGGTCCTCCATTCATCTGATTCTGAAGGCTTGTTTGTGAAGTAATGGAAGGAGGGCGTCTATAGGGCAACGAGCCCCCTATTGTTGGGGGAGTATGGCGAGAGGCAGGCCTATTCATGCTGTAGAACTGTACAGGATGACCTGAAAAAGAGATAGAACATACATATGTCATTAAAAGAAAATTATCTCAGATCATTAAATACTTTATGTACAATGCCTAAATCTTAAGAATTAAAAATAACAGCTAGTTTAACTGGTATCTGAAATATACAATGCAAGGTGAGTTATTGTTCGCTGATATTATATCAGAGTACAAAAGCAGAAAAGCAAACAAAAATATGATTAAGTTTGGAAAGTTATGTCTAAATAGTTTACTAATTAGGGCCGGGTGCAGTGACTCATGCCTGTAATCCCAGCACTTTGGGAGGCCAAGGCAGGCAGATCACTTGAGGTCAGGAGTTTCAGACCAGCCTGGCCAACGTGGTGAAACCCCGTTTCAACTAAAAACACAAAAATTAGCCAGGTATGGTGGCGTGCGCCTGTAATTCCAGCTACTCGGGAGGCTGAGGCGTAAGAATCACTTGAACTCAGGAGGCAGAGGTTGTAGTGAGCCAAGATTGCACCACTGCACTCCAGCCTGGGTGACAGAGTGAGACTCTGTCTCAAAATAAATAAATAGTTTGCTACTTAACACTATTATTTCACTAAATTAAAAATCTGATGGGGTTTCAAAATCATCACAATTAATTAAAATTTATCTACTCCACCCCCAAAATACAGCCACTGAACACTGAAAACTAAAATCGACAAGAATGATGTTTGGGAAAGCAAGAGAAAAAATGTTTGACACACAGTCTTATTCCAAAATAATAAATAATAATAAACGTAAGGTAGCAAAAAAGTATGGTTAAAGGAAAATGAAGTATTTCAACAAAAGGTTAAATGACGTAATTCCAAATCAAACATTTCTTTCTTTTAATCAAAAAAATCTACCACGAAAGCTACATTACTTTGTCTTAAAATTAAAATCTAAAAAATTTACAATCATGAAAAAAATTAAGATATAAAAAGAGGGTCAAAATATATCTTATTTTTAATATCATCCCTAAGTCCATATATAGTTATCATCAATTTCACTGTATTTTGCTCTCTTGAGAGTTCTTCCACAGCTAATGTCAACTGGAGACATGATTCCATAATCCATCAGTTTCCTAATAATATAATCCACTCCCTAAACTTTACCTTGACTGCACTCCCACCTACATTAAGCTGAGAACTTTTTCTTACAGACAGAGCACCACAGCACCCATGAGAGAGCACAATAGCAGACAAGGGAGAAGGGGAGGGCAAGAGAGAAGAGGAGGCGGAGAAATAAGCAGGTGGAGAAGAAAGCGGAAAGGGGACAGGAAGGTAGAGGAGGAGGAGATGAAGGTGGAGGAGGGCAAGAGGATAGCAGAGGGGAAAGGAAAGGAGAAAGAGAAAGGGAGAAAAGGAGGAGATAAGTGAAAAGGAAAAAAAAAACACTTTTGCTAAACCCAACAGGAAGCCAGAGGGCAAAAGAATCCACTGAAACATTTCATGGAGGTCAGCCTACTGGAGAAGAGGGGAGAGTAGAGGAGGGGGGACTGGAGGAACAGATGATACCTGGCACACTCATCTATCCATTTGTGCCTAAGGTTATCCTGAAATTTTTTAAATTCTAAAATAAACTACTTGAAACACAGTGAGATAAGACTTATGTAATATGGAATTTGATGAATGCTTGATTTGTTGAAATCTTCATGATCAAACACTGCAGTCATATCCTCTTCCAGGCTTCATATTTCTCAGCTGAGTCTTACCATCTTTATTCTACCTTAATATGAGACTATCTTCTTGGTAATTTTAATTAAAAGTATTAGAGGAAAACAACACTTTGACAATTTTTCATCTTGTCTATGATTATAAAATGGTTTTATATGACTAAAATTGTTCTACAGGAGCTGAAAGTTTACCAAGCTTAGATTCATATGGAGTCATATAAGGATTATAAGAGCACTCAAGGCTTGTTATAACATTTAAACATCTTACATGTGTATCAAAAACTTAAGCACTCAAGCTTAAACATAATCCACTATCAACTGAGAAGCCTCTGTAACCATGATAAAAATGAAAACATATAAACTATGATTTAAAAGGCATATTTAGTTATTTGAACCACTGAATACAATTAGCATTTCAGTAATTAATCTATAGCAAACTAATACAAACCTACGATCAAGTTAAAAACATCTGGATTAACATCATTATGAATTTTATATAGTTAGATCTAGTCTAAAACCTCACATGGGCTGGGCATGGTGGCTCAGGCCTTTAATCACAGTACTATGGGAGGTGGAGGCGGGTGGATCATTTCAGATCAGGAGTTCAAGACCAGCCTGACCAACACGGTGAAACTTTGTCTCCATTAAAAATACAAAAAATTAGCTGGGTGTGGTGGCTCACACTTGTAATCCCAGCTCCTCAGGAGGCTACGGCAGGAGAATCACTTGAATCCAGGCAGCGGAGATTGCAGTGGGCCGAGATTGCCACTGTATTCCAGCCTGGGTGACAGAGTGAGACTCTGTCTCAAAAAAAAAAAAAAAAAAAAAAAAAAAAGACACTATTCACACTATTAATGAGTCGATTTACCATTTGGGGTTTTAAAAATATATATACCTAATTATCATAAACCTAGCGATAAAACCTGAAACTAAAAACTTCTAGAAGAAAACACAGAACAAAATCTTTATGACTTCAGGTAAAGAGTTCTTAGATATGCCATCAAAGCACGATTCATTTAAAAAAATTTTGAAAAATAACACTTAATAAAAATGAAGAATTTCTGCTATTTGAAATACAACATCAAAAAAATAAATGAACAGGCTGGACCCAGTGGCTCACGCCTGTAATCCCAGCACTTTGGGAGGCTGAGGCGGGCGGATCACCTGAGGTCAGGAGTTCAAGACCAACCTGGCCAACGTGGTGAAACCCCGTCTCTACTAAAAATACAAAAATTAGCTGGGCATGGTGGTGGGTGCCTGTAATCCCAGCTATTTGGGAGGCTGGGCAGGAGAATCGCTTGAACCCGCGAGGCGGAGATTGCAGTGAGCTGAGATCCTGCCATTGCACTCCAGCCTGGACACCAAGAGTGAAACTCTGTCCGCCCGCCCCTCCTCCCCCCGCCAAAAAAATAGAAAATAAGCAAACGAATCACAAAATGGAAGAAAATATTTGTAACTCATAATCTATAAAGGACATATATTTAGAATATAAAAGAACTCAATGATAAGGAAAAAAACCCTATTAAAAAGGTGAGAAGGAACAAAACATTTGAACAGATACTTCACCAAAGAGGATATACACATGGCAAATAAGCACATGAAAAAAATGTTCAATATCATTAGTCATTAAGAAAATGCAAATCCAAACCACACATGTAATGAGAAACCATTACACATGTATTGGAATGGCTAAAGCTAAAAAAGGCAACACCAAGGGCTGACAAGGATGCAACTGGAAACTCACACATTGCTGCTGGGAGTGTAAAATTATACAGCCATTTTGGAAAACAACTTGGCAGTTTCTTATGACGTTAAAAATTTACTTACAATATAACCCAGCAATTCTATTCCCTAGGTATTTACCTGATATAAAAACCCATGTGCACAAAAAAAACCCTGTATGTACATGTTTATAGCAACTTTATTCATAAGCACTCAAAACTAGAAAAATCTAAATGTCCTCTGAGAAAGGGATAAACAAATTGTGGTACATCCCCATACAATACAACACTACTAAGCAATAAAATGTAATGAAATACTTAAACATGCAACAACATGGGTAATTCTCAAATGCATCTGGCCAAAAAAAACAGATCAAAAAAGCTACATACTATATGCTTTCATTTATGTTATACTTAAAAAGGCACAACTTTAGAGAAAAAAAACACATCAAGGGCTTACCAGGAGCTGGGAGTGGAAGGGAAGGACTGACTATAAAGGGGGCATGGAGGAAATTTTTGCGATGATAGGACTGTTCTGTAACTTGATTGTGGTGGCAATTACATGTCAGTACACCTTTGCCAAAACTCACAAACATATATGGTATAAAGGGTGAATTTTACTGTACATAAGTTATACCTTGGTAAAAAGAAAAACAATTGCTTGGTAACTCAGGTACTGTATAAAACAGACTATCCTGATATAAATTATTAATAAGACATTTACCTTGCTTTTTGTTTTAAAAACCACAGTTAATTATCCCCTCACATAACAAATGTTTATTTAGTGAACACTGAGCCAGGCACCTGTTATTCAATTAATATTTAATTACTAAAACATAGACTCTCAGTTGGGGGTGATTTGTCCTTTCTGATGCATTCTTTATCAAAGCAGGAGCATAACGAGATTCCTATATTTAACTAGTTAGTTTGGCCTAACAGTTGTATCTGGATCAAAAAACACCCCATGTTTACATTTATCTACTGCAGAAAGCTTTTCTTTAAAAGTCATATAGAAGGAATCCCACAAGACATCACCCAAAATCCATTTTGGCTAAAAGTGTCTTTTAAAACATGTAAAGATCTTATATATGTTTAACATGTATAACAGCAAAGCTGAATATAAATGCCATGAAGTTCTTCACTGGCAAGTGGAACACTACGGTGATTGATATGCTTTGAATCTGTGTCCCTGCCCAAATCTCATGTTGAATTGTAATCCCCAATGTTGGAGGTGGGGCCTAGGGGGAGGTGACTGGATCACAAGGGCGGTTTCTCATGGTTTAACACCATCCCCCTTGGAGCTGTTCTTGCAATAATGAGATCTGGTTGTTTAAAAGTGTGTAGCACCTCCCGCCTTGTCCTCTTGCTCCTACTCTGGCCACGTGACCAGTGTGCTTCCCCTCTGCCTTAGGCCATGAGTGTAAGTTTCCTGAGGCCTCCCCAGAAGCCAAGCAGATGCCACTATCATGCTTCCTGTACAGCCTGAAGAACCGTTAGCCAATTAAACCTCTTTTCTGCATAAATTACCCAGTCTCAGGTATTTATAGCAATGTGAGAACAGACTAATACAGTGATATATGTCCAAACACATACATTTTATAGCAGACAAGAACCTGTTACTAGCCAGCATCATTAACTCTACAAATATATTTCGTAGCAATTGAGTCTATCTCCTCCCCAATCAAAACAGATTTTAGATTGCAATTTTAAAACACCAGCCAACTTAAATAAACCTGAAATTCTTTAAAAGTCCATTGTCTATGAGTTTCCAATGCTGCTATAATAAGCAACAGATTCTGTTAAAAATAGACTTACAGAGGCTTTCCATTTGTTGTATCAAATATTTCCTATAAAATATACCTTAGAATTATTGTAATAGACTTTTGTTAATCACTTAACCTATAATGAAAATATTTCTAATGATAATTTCCAAAAACTGTATAGAAGGTAGCTCCATATTAAACTTAAAAATCTCTAATAAATGAAATTCAAGCAATAAAAAAACACAAATTTATGCTACCCTATTGGAAAAATGTATGAGAAACTTTACCTCAATTTTCTCAGGAAATGCTAATCTTTGGTCACATACTTTCTGGTTAGTACATTATTCTTATTTTTTTTTAATACGAAGTACAACAAAACCAAAAACAAACAAAAATCAGAGGTGCAAGTAAGAGAATAGCCAGATGACTGCATCTGCCTGCCAATGAATAAGCAAATACTTACCTGTAGGGGGAGTGGAAGAAACAACAGGGGGAGTTGGAGAAGTGAAGCCATCAGCAAGGGTCTGGGCACCCCCAGCAGCAGCGTCTGGGGCAGTGGAGGAAGGGACAGTAGCAGGAACAAGAGGAGCAGGGGCAGATGCAGAAGTAGCAGGAAGGGGAGGAGTGCCAGCAGAGCCAGCAGGGGCTGAGGGGAAAGAGGAGTAAGAGGCAGCATTAATGAGGCAATCACATGAGGCAGGATTAGAAAAGGTATTAGAGTATTTAATGTTAGATATTCAGTGCTTAACACTAACCAAAAGAACAGAGTTGAAAAAAAGAATAAAACTTATGCTAAAGGATTACTATATAAGCAGCAAATAATTCAAGATGCTCAGGGTAATGTGCAGATTTTTTCAATTCATTAAAAACAAACATTCCTTTTCAATTGAAAGCACTACTCCAGAAGAAAAGTGTTCCCTTCGTATTGTTATTTTTAGCATAACATTCTGTATATAGTATACAAAACTAACATAATACACTAAAAAACAACAGTTTTCCATTTTGAATTACACAAATCAGAAAATAGACATATTCCATATTATCAGATTAAAAATTTTTTTTAAAACACAAATCTTTATGATTTTTAAAAGGCATTATCTACTTGTTACTATAAGTAAATTAAGTATGTAACATTCTATTAATGTATTTTGTGTCACGTTTTCAAAACTAAGTTTTAAGTGTGTATCTCCTCGAATCAAATAAGCAGATTTTTCTGTTTCAGAGAAAAGAGGGTAGTATTTTCAGAGACTACTAAATTCCAATACAGCCACTAAATTTAACTGTCAAAACTACTTTTTATATCTGCCCAATCCTTTGTTACTAATATGGTTCTCACACTGAGTTCCCACTGTGTCCAAAGACTGCACTGTCATAACACTAGCTGGAATTAAACTTGTACTCATAACAAAGTGTGATCTGAAACCTCAAAGCAGCAACTGAGCCACATCACCAAAGGCATAAAGAGAAGTGCAAAGTGAGCAAACACTTACAAATCACTTGCTTACAAATAACAAATATATAGACTTCCCAATATTTATGATTCCTAAAGAAAAAAAATCCTGATTACGAAGAAAGCCCACCATAATTAAATCACAAATTGAATCAAATTCAGAAAGGAAAAGTGAAGACGAGGCACCATGAATGTTTTACCTGGAAAGACACTGGGAGGAGATGGAGTAGGAACAGCAATAGGAACCCCCACACTACCACTTCCACTGTTCTCTCGACTGCTGCTCCGACTACTTGGGTGGCTCCCTCCACTACTCCCACTGCTGCTAAAGAAATAAGAGCCACCAAAACATGAGTATTTATAAACAGTAAGAGATCATCAGCACTTCCCGACATTTTCTGAGATGAATGTAGCTACAATAAAGGTAATTCAAAAGCGTACCACTTCAAAATAAAATTTCCTTGAGCTCCAAGTCAGTGACAGGTTAAAAAAAAATGTGTGTGTGTGTGTGTGTGTGTGTGTGTGTGTGTGTATATATATATATATATTTACTTATTAATAAAGTTGAGGGGAAAACTGAGTTCAATAAGCTTGTTTTGACCACATTTTGAAAAAATTATCCATAAATACAAGTGATAAATGTTGAGGTTTAACACATTAAAACAATAAATATTGCCTTTTTATATTCCAGTTTAATGCCTATCTGAAGAAACTTCTTTTATAATAAAACAAAAACATTTTCCTAAACAGATTTGAGTAATTTTAATTAATAATCATACTCTGATGTACTATCCCATATTAATGTTTTATTATGTATAGTTTTTCATCTGTAAAGTTCCACCAAAAAACAACCTGACATTTCCCACATTTGGTCCATAATTTTTTTTCCAGATCAACTGAACTCTTAAAACTTGGAGAGAAGTCTGCACTTTGAGATGTCTGTTCTTTATCAACTTCCTGACTGCTCAAAGTTGAATCAGAACATGAGGAGAGAGAGGTGAAATCAGATGAGGTTTGGGAGAATAGAGTGAGGAAAAGAACTTAGTGCTTGGAAAATGAGAGATTTACCTGAAGTAATCTGAACAGATTATGGTACTATGACCATCACATTTTGCACTGAGGTAGAGAAAATACCTGTAAGTTCGATTTCTTTGATTCACAGAAGCTGTCCTCACAGGGCTCTGCTGCGAGGGAGCCATATTACGGGTTGGGCTAGGTACGTAATCATTTGGTACCACTGGAGGACGCACTGGCTCCAGTGTGCGATAGGGGGAGTGCCGCCTACAAAAAGAAGAGCGTATGTATTGTATGATTAAGCAAGTTTCGGCACAATAAATTCAAAGAGTTGCCAGCAGTTGAGATACAATTTGTAATCAGAGATAGGAAATGTGTTTTAACATAACCCAGCTACCAATTTCAGTCTTTACTAATGTATCACTTCTCCACCATTAGGGTTTTGGTGAATATTGTTATTTTTCAGTCTCCAACCTCATTTCCCTGTGCTAATGCAATTTTGTTCATTTATTCTCAAAGAGCACAAAGGTTCTCTACCATTTAAGCCAATGTTTCCCAGACCCTACCTCTTCTTAGAAGAGTTGGAATTCTTTTAGTATCATATTAAAGTCTCCCAACTGTACTTCATGAATGCACTAATTATTCTCCTCTCCCTTCTCTCCCTAACCAAAGATATTCAAAGACAGGAACTACAAATCTAGATTTAGGATCTATAACCCCCACACTGATGATCAATACTAGCCATAACAACTCATTTCCCTTTCTATATACCAAATATACAGAAATTAAAGTATATCTATATACAAAAATACACACTTTAATCTCATCTTCCGTTCTCACTTTCTCCCTCAACTTTCACCTTGATCTCTTTTCTCTTTCCTTCCTCAGAGTTCAACATTTACAAAGGTGGGGGGAAGGGAATGACCACCACAACAGCCTTTCTATATTATTTACTTTGAACTGTAAAATACAAACCAGACTGGATTTTATTAACACATATTTCCCGCCTTTTCCCAAAATTTCCTCGTAAAGAGGATGAAAAGAGGAAGAAAGGAAATATGACAGGGAACAGGATGCACATGGGGAAATTAGTGTTTATTAAATTAGTTCTCATTTCTACTTAGGTTTCCAAATTCTTTATGACAATGATAAACAGTCAATTGACATATTGTAGATGAGATCTTGGTCACTAAAAGAATAAGAACTGATCAAGATGTGAAAATTAAAAACCTTTCTTTTCCTGAAATGATGTTGCTCTACTGACTTATGTATGGATCCCAGAGTTCCTTTAACTATTGCTTTCCTGGGGCACTCAAGTTATGGATCACTGATTTTGCATGAGATCACTTTGCAATTTACTCTACTACCCTTCAAAGTCTCCTTACATAAATACATACATTGGTAATTAAAAATAAAATAAGGGACACTGGATGAAATCTTGGGTCAAAAGAGGAAAAAGTAATGTCAGGACTTTGGATTTAAAATACTAAAAGGAAGTTCCAGCATCTCTTAAATTATAATGCAAATATTAAACAATAAAATGGGAAACATTAATTTCTCCAACATCTAATTTTCAGACAATTTTTCCCAGGCAATAAAAATGTTTTGTTGCAGCCGGGTGCAGTGGCTCATGCCTGTAATCCCAGCACTTCGGGAGGCCGGGGCAGGCAGAGCACTTGAGCTCAGGAGTTTGAGACCAGCCTGGCCAACATGGCAAAACCCCATCTCTACTAAAAATACAAAAATTAGCTGGGAATGGTGGCGCACACCTGTAATCCCAGCTACTCAGGAGGCTGAAGCAGGAGAATCGCCTGGAGGCAAGAGAATTGCCTGGGCACAGAAGGCAGAGGTTGCAGTGAGCCAATATTGTACAACCGCACTCCAGTGAGACTCTGTCTCAAAAAAATAAGTTCTGTTGCATCCAAGTAAAAATTATTTGATAATTGAGAACTACAGAGTGAAGGCAATGACACAAATAAGATTTTTTTTAAAAAAAAAAGGAGCAAAGGAACAAAATGTGGTGACTAGGCAAAGACTATGTGGAAAAACAGGTTATAGCCATCAACTAGCAGAGTGGGCCTCAGCAACTCTGGTCCCCAAGGATCTTGCAGAACCATTGCTAATATACAAGGAAAACAAACATTGGTATATGAGCAAATCTTCAAAACTTGAAAACAACACAAAGTTTCATTCTTCTAGGGACTTTCTGGGGACTAAGTAGCTTATCTTACTAACAATCTTGACTTAAAACCCAACAAAATCCATAAGGCACTACACATGATATAAATGTAAATGTTTACATAGGAAAATAAAAACAGAGTTCCTCTTCATCTCTCTACCCCGACCCCTGGCACCATTATACACTACTATGCCATCTACATTCTACCTTGAAGTTTAAATCTTGTTTGATCCACTAGATTTTCTCTCTCTCTAAGCAGAATTATTTTGTCCACTCCTAATAAAGTCATCCTATTCCTGGTTGGAATTTATTTTTATTCTTTGGTCTCCTACTGTCCTATTATCTCTCTTCCAGCACTATCCTCCACTACATCTCAAATCATTTGGTCCTATCCTGATTCAGTGCTTGATTGGGTTTCGGTTTTTTGAAGGTTTGTGGTTGTTTTGTTGTTGTTGTTGTTGTTGTTGTTGTTGGTGGTGGTGGTGGTGGTGGTGGTGGTGGTGGTGGTGGTGATGGTGGTGGTGCTGAGGAAGCCAAAAACAAGACTGTCAATTAAAAACTTGTTTAGCATATATCATAAAGCCAATGGTTGTCAAAACATTTTGTCTTTGTCTTACACATTTTTAAAAATCCAATTTGTGGTACAGTGACCTTGAAAAATTTATAGAGGACAAATATTACCCCCCTTTTACAGATGAAAAAACTGAATTCTTGGCAGCTGACTATGTAGGAATTATAAAGTAACAGCACAGCTGAAACAGAATTTTAATCACCTGGCTTCTGGGCTATACTAATGCCAACCTAATCGTAAATCTCAATCACAGTAAGTCAAGTTTATAATACGATGCTCTAGAAGAAAAAAGTCAAGCTTTTCCATTAATTGGCCATTTTTGCCAAAAGTCAAATCTAGAGCCCAACTCTAGGACCAAAATAAAGCTCCATATTCTTCTTTTTTTTTTTTTTTTTTGAGACAGGGGCTCACTCTGCCACTGAGGCTGCAGCACAGTGGCATGATCACGGCTCACTGCAGCCTCAACCTCCTGGGCTCAGGTGATCCTCCTGTCTCAGCCTCGCAAGTAGCTGGGACTACAGGTGCATGCCACCACACCCAGCTTATTTTTGTATTTTTCGTAGAGACAGGGTTTCACCATGTTGCCCAGGCTGGTCTTAAACTCCTGGGCTCAAGTGATCTGCCCGCTTTGGTCTCTCAAAATCCCCACTTTGGGAATTACAGGCATGAGCCAACACACCTGGCCTGAAGCTCAATATTCTTATAAGTTTTATAGAATTTTATAATCTACACAGCTTAAAAAGGATAGTTGGAGTTAAACTGTAATATAAAAGACTATATACATTTTCTGAAAGAAAAGGAATTAAAATTAGACTGCAATTTACAATAAACTATGAACTTGGGCTAGGATTTTACCTCAAATTTAAAATTCACTAGAAAAACAATTTCTAAACAAATCTTTCTGAAGTATAAAAATGTGTTTCCCAAGAGAAGAGGAAGTTATACACACAAACAACAATCCTACAAAGAAAATGTTCTCTCTTCAAATATTCAAAAAATAATTTAAATATGTTGTGCTTCATTTTTAAACAATACTACATGAAATGGTTTTCAATTACTACTTATATACTCACCCAAGTGTCCCTTTCCCTGACATAGGGGGACTAGGGGGCTTCTGAGTTGGAGGTGTTGTACGCGGCAGCCCACCCATCTTCATGTTCTGGGTACTCACCTAAAAAATTTTAAGGAAAACTCAACTTGTATGCAGTGAAATAAAGTGGCACTTTTGGGAAATAATATGCTACACTACATAACAAAGGAGGGGAAGGTTTAAATAAAGGGAAAAAAATTAGAGGCCATGCATTTCATATGCAATCTCTACTCTACTATTACTCTACAGTTGTACTCAAAGGACTCTTCCTAACATGAGATTTTCAAATCATTATAAACTTGTATGCAAAGACTTTATTTGCCATTAGGCCATCACACCAACAGATCACTGGTTAGATTATTTGATATTACATTCAATTAAAATTAAATAGAATAACTACAAAATTTTAGTTTTAATAAAGAGTAACTCAATCAAAAACAATAATGCTTTTAAGCAATTCCTTATTTTTAGAGATAACTTTCTTTTTTTTTTTCTGAGACAGAGTCTCGCTTTGTTACCCAGGCTGGAGTGCAGGGGCACGATCTTGGCACACTGCAACCTCTGCCTCCCAGGTTCAAGCAATTCTCCTGCCTCAGCCTCCCAAGTAGCTGGTACTACAGGTGCATGCCACCACGACCAGCTAATTTTTTGTATTTTAGTAGAGACAGGGTTTCACCGTGTTGCCCAGGCTGATCTCAAACTCCTGAGCTTAGGCAATCCACCAGCCTCGGCCTCCCAAAGTGCTAGGATTACAGGCGTGAGCCACTGCACCCGGCCAGTAACTTTCTTTAGATAGTAAGCATATCATAAGCAAAATACATTTCCCAAATAAAAATATGCAACTATGCATATGATCCACTGTAACTAGAGAATATAAAGATAAATCATGTAATATATACAGAAAATTTTAGTTTTTTAAATTGTGGGCCAGCCTTATAAGTCAGATTTAGTTAGTATCTTCTTATGAGGGAACCACCTACCTGAAAACTGCTAGAAGTTCAAGCCATGTTCCTAAACATCTGAACCAGAAAGTTAGGGCTGAGGTATCCCATTCAACTGGGAGCAGCACAAGGGCCACAGGCAATGTCCTAGTTCCAATGGGAATTGGACCCACTTGGGCCCAAACTGAAGGTGAATTCAGGCATGAGAAAGATGTAACATAGTCCTAAGTCAGAGCTGGACCGTAACTCCACTCACTATTCTATCCCCAACTGAAAATGCAAGTGTAGGAAAGATGCATAATCTGGGAATAATGGAGGTCACCAAAGGAGTATGTTAGCACTTATACAGAAAGCCCTGGCTATCTCAAAAAGCTAAGAAAAATCACTCACAAGTGTAGTTCAAATGCAGTCTCAAGTTGAGACTACCAATGGGTTAATGTTCACCACACAGGTTCATATGTGATTCTATTTTAAGACCCTAATATTTTGAATTTCCATCTTCAAAACATATTTTGAAAAAGGACCTCAACTTTTCTAAAAATAATATGGCTAGAGTAGTCAAATTATACTTTCTAAATAAAATTGCAAGACATCATACCATTGAAATCAGAATACATTTATAACTGTAACTTCAGAATATAAATTTTAAGAAAGCAAATCATAATTGTATACAGAGAAGTGAGGCTATCAAAACCAACCCTGGCTTAAGTGGAATTTTTTAAAATCCTAAAATACTACCTGTTATTTGAATAGGCAAGAAATACTATCTCAAGAAACAAATTCTTCAAATGAATAGCCCAGTGAACAAGTTGTGTGTGATGTTAAAACAATCTTTAATGACAAATGATACCTTTGAAATGTCAATATTTTAAAGTGAAGCATTTATCTGTAATCCTTTTGTTGTTGCTTTTAAACAATAAAAACAAACATTATCAAGTAAGAGTAAAGATTAACTTATCCTTGCTCTCCCTCTCATTAATAAGCGGAGGGTATACTACTTGTATCTTAAAATGAAAATGCCAGAAAAAGTTTTTTTAAAAAAATCAATCCACATTTGGGGAAAATTTTAGGAGTAATATGACAAATAATGAATAGCTTTTAAAACTGCATATCTTAATTTCTGAAACCAGAAGATTTTTTTAAAGTGGTAACCAAAGTCCTTTAAGCTCAACCTTAAACAACATAAAACCCAAAGTTACTTTAAGTGATGAGGGAGAAGTGAACCAAACACTAAAACTACATCAATTTGCTGAGAAACAGGAAGGAAAAGGAGCAGGAATTTAAGAGAGAATTTTATTCTATACATGGGATAGCTAAAATATTTGAAAAGAGCTTTCCAGCTTATATTTGTTTTAAGTTTTGGTATGCAAGGTGTTTTTGTTTAAATTGCAGTATCTTCTGTAAGTCTTTGGACCTACCCGCCCCCCACCAAAAAAAATAGCATAAAATAAACAATCTATATATTAAAATCTGGTGGACATTTATTATTATTATTATTATTTTTTAAGACAGAGTCTCGCTCTGTCACCCAGGCTGGAGTGCAATGGCCTGATCTCGGCTCACTACAACCTCCACCTCCTGGGTTCAAGCAATTCTCCTGACTCAGCCTCCCGAGTAGCTGGGATTACAGGCGCACCACCACGCCCAGCTACTTTTTGTATTTTTAGTAGAGATGGGGTTTCGTCATGTTGGCCAGGCTAGTCTCGAACTCCTGACCTCAGGTGATCCACCCACCTTGGCCTCCCAAAGCGCTGGGATTACAGGCATGAGCCACCATGCCTGGCCAACATTTCTATGAATATAACTTGGTACATTTTATGATCTGTAGAATCATCAAATGACTGTATATTTGTTTGGTTAATGGGATTGGATGACTAACATAAGTCACTTAAGAAACAAGAGTCTCTGTAGAATGTCCAAACAATCTAATTTTATACCTAATATTTCATTACCTTTCTATTAAAAGAGTTTTTCAATATTTCCTCAAGGCAGCTTTTCCCGTGTGAAAAATGTTTCTACGCTAAGTAAAACAATAAATATGCTATGCAGAATATAAATACTGCCATCAAATTTGAAGAAAAGGAAGAACAGAAATAAATGCCAAACAAAACAATTTTTATAATAGGTAAAATCTATATTATAATTAAAGTTAAACTATATTTCAGAACTAAAATAATCTGGTAAATATAAAAATATATTTACTAGACAGCCATCATGATTGATCCTAAAAAAACTATTTTGAGGGAAGTATTTAAGAGAGAAAACATTTCCTGACAAGTAGCAAAACATGAGATCTCTATGTGCTGATGGAGAGGAACTTAACGACAGCGACAGAGAGAGAGACAGAACATATACCATAAACTCAAGACAAGGAAAACAAAGCAATACTGCAGCCACTTCATAATAGTAATTTCACTTGAAATACTTTTTAAAGTTACAAACATAGCAGAACTATCATCAGGCACACACAGCAGTTTAGGAAATTAGAACAATACTCTGGTGGCCGATACCAATCATAATTTTGTTATGTATTTTTTTATTCCATAAAATGAAAAGACCTCAAGAGCTAAGTGAAGCAGGTATTAGGTACAAGAAAGAAAAGTTGGAAAAGTCCCCACTTTTTCCCTACCAGACAGAAACCTCCAAAACAGAAGAAATATTTCATTTAGGTGATGAAGGTTAATGCATGGCCACAGCTCAAACACTTTCCCAATAGGCTATGATGAAGGAATGCAAATACCACCGGAGGTAGAAGCAGTTCCTTTATGACCAGGCTTTGGAGATCACTACAACTGGCACCACACATTAAGCCAATTATTGTGACTTAATACTTTTTCTACAATGCTCCTACCTATCCTGCTCTACCTTCTTTGGTACATTCAATACTTCCTTGAATACTGATATAATATTCATTACAAATATCATGCCTGGACAGCCAAGTATCTCTAATTCATAGAAGACATCACCTCTGCTATGAAATCTCCCATTAACAGATGACCTACTACCACAGAACAGTGGCAGACACATCCTAAAATGTTATGTGTGGTATACACCTTATATATTAATCTCCTACTAGACCCTCTAGGTACAAGAGTAAAGGCATGTGGGGAAAAAAAAAAAAAAAAAAAAGGAAGGGAGCCTGCGGGGAAAAAAAAGGAGACAAAACGGTCTATAGAATGATTTCTCTGCTTTAAAGGTATTCTGAAATAAATAAGACTCACATGCCTAAAATAAAAAGCAATGTCTGGCTGGGCATGGTGGCTCATGCCTGTAATCCCAGCACTCTGGGAGGCCAGGGTGGGCAGATCGCCTGAGGCCAGGAGTTCAGAGACCAGCCTGGCCAACATGGCAAAACCCTGTCTCTACTAAAAATACAAAAATTAGCCGGGCATGGTGGCAGATGCCTGTAATCCCAGCTGCTTGGAAGTCTGAGGAAGGGAGAATCACTTGAACCCAGGAGGCGGGGGTTGCAGTGAGCCATAGCGCCACTGCACTCCACCTTGGGTGACAGAGTGAGACTCCACGTGGAAAAAAAAAAAAAAAAAGCAATGTCTACAGATTCTATAGAAAAAAAAAGAAATATCAATGTGGGAAGGTTACGGAATGTTTCATAGAGAAAAACCTGAGCTGGTTTTTCTCTATGAAACTTCCCTAATAATTTCTTAAACTTGTTAAGTTTTAAAAGAACAGGATTCCAGACTGGGCAACACAGCAAGACCACGTCTCTCCAAAAAAAAAAAAAAAAAAAAAAAAAACAGCCAGGAGTGGCTGTAGTCCCGCTACTTGAGAGGCCGAGGCAGGAGGATCATTTGAGCCCAAGGATACAGTGAGCTATCATGCCACTGAACTCTGGCCTGAGCAACAGAGCAAGACCCCATCTCTTTAAAAAAAAGAAAAGAGAATTTAAACACACAAATAGAAGAGGGGAAGTGTGTGTAGGTTGTGTCTGTATGTGAAATAGTGAGGATGGGAAAAAAGTGAGGTCAGTCACCTTTGGGCCTTCATTCTCTGTCCAGTTTTGTTCCCCATTATAGTCCCATCTAGTACATAATTATTTGGCTTTCTAGAGACCTCTATCCCTCTCTTCAGAGGATGTATGTTCCTACTTCAATTCCTAAGGGACACCAGGAAAAGGACCAAAAGATCCTCTGAGGAAAATCAAAGCTGAAACCAGGAATTAGAGTATAAATTCAGGACAGAGGTTAAGATTTTTAGAAAAAGGGTTAAAAGACAAAAAAGCCTATCGAGTCAAGAGTCCAACAATAAAACACAGAGAATAAGGGAACATAAGATTAGGAGTAAGAGGAAAGAGAAACAGGTAAAGAAAGCAGAAGAAAACAAGAGAAATAAAGATGGACAAACTCCTGCTTGATTTTGAAAACAGATTCTAACAACTGGCTTTTGTCAAAACAGAATTGATGGCTTAAGGTTGGAACTTATAGGCAAAAACAGATGGGTCTCTCAAAGGTTGATGTTACTACAAAGGTTTTCCTCCAGGTGCTGTGTCGGATAAATTTTTAAGAGTGTACCTTCAACTGTACCTGAAAGCTAGAAATATAAGGGGAATTTATCATATTTCTGTAAGGAATGACAAATACTTGCTAAAAATAGTACTCAAGTGAAAACAGTCCATTTTTTAAACATGGGGCTAAATGATGGATCTTCAAGATCTTAAGCAAAATTTTTAAAAGTATTATATTCTTAATTTGCTGGCTGTAAAACTCTTAAGCCCTGCTCATTAATTATTAAGAATCTGGCCGGGCACGGTGGCTCACGCCTGTAATCCCAGCACTTTGGGAGGCCGAGGCGGGCAGATCACGAGATCAGGAGATCGAGACCATCCTGGCTAACACGGTGAAACCCCGTCTCTACTAAAAATACAAAAAATTAGCTGGGCGAGGTGGCGGGCGCCTGTAGTCCCAGCTACTCAGGAGGTTGAGGCAGGAGAATGGCGTGAAACCTGGGAGGTGGAGCCTGCAGTGAGCCAAGATGGCACCACTGCACTCCAGCCTGGGCAACGGCAAGACTGTCTCAAAAAAAAAAAAAGAATCTGAGCCGGGTGCGGTGGCTCACACCTGTAATCCCAACACTTTGGGAGGCCGAGGCGGGTGGATCACAAGGTCAGGAGTTTGAGACCAACCTGGCCAACATGGCGAAACCCTGTCTCTACTAAAAGTACACAAATTAGCCAGGCGTGGTGGCAGGCACCTGCAATCCCAGCTACTAGGGAGGCTGAGGCTGGAGAATCGCCTGAACCCGGGAGGCGGAGGTTGCAGTGAGCCAAGATCGTGCCACTGCACTCCAGCCTGGGTGACGGAGCAAGACTCGGTCTCAAAAAAAAGAAAAAAAGAAAAAAAAAAAAGAATCTGCTTGGGCGATGTTCAACTGAAATAATACATTAAAAGTCAGAAGTTTTTATTACTTTTGATTAAACTAATATGCTTATTTTAAAAATACTTAAGTTTAGCTTCATTAGTGACAATTTTAATGCATTCAACAGAAAAATTCATTACAAACACATCATACTGACCTCAGTAACAGGGTCTTAAAATTCTTTTTACTACTAAAAGAGTACTGGCCAGGCACGGTGGCTCACAACTGTAATCCCAACATTTTGGGAGGCCGAGGTGAGAGGATGGCTTGAGCACAGGAGTTCGAGACCAGCCAGGCCAACACAGTGAGACCCCATCTCTACAAAAAATTTGTTAAAAAATAGCCAGGCATGGTGGTGCACACATGTAGTACCAACTACTCAGGAAGCTGAGGCAGGAGAACCACTTGAGTCAGGGCAGTCAAAGCTGCAGTGAGTCATGATCACACCAGTGCACTCCAGCCTGGGTGACAGAGTGAGACCCTGTCTCAAAAAAAAAAAAAAAAAAAAAAAAAAAAAAAAAACAAAAACAAAAACAAGAGTATGGAACAGGAACCAGTTCAAGGTACATTCCACTTTTATATGGCCTTAGGTATATATGAAAACACCTCCAATATGGCATTCTATCCACTGACCTTGTACGTCCTTTGCTATAAAACTATTACCATAGTGTTTTTAAAAATCTTATGAACTCTTAAATTTGTAACTTGACTGAAGAAAAACAGTTAATCCAAATTTCAGATGTCAAGAACAATTAAGCATCAAACATGCTGTATAAAATAGTAAAAGTTAAACTTTTAAACAAGGAGGTCTCTTCTGAGTCAAATCCCACATGTCTGGTCCTAAAGTATGATGACTTTCTCTGGAGACTGTCTGAAAAGTATAAAAAGTATGACAGCAATGGGAGCAGCAAAGACAGAGCTCAAAAAGTGCTGAGAAAGAGAAAAAGAGAAGTAGAAAGAAAAACGACTAGGTCTTAAATAGGTTTTAAATTTTGAACATTTAATCAGCTACCCTGATTAAAATGAGGATAAGGAATCCATAATGCTATTGCTCATCAGGAGACTTCTAAGACACTTGCTAGAATCCACAGGTCTCCAAAAAGCTCAGGGATCTTATCTAAGTGTGATTCTTCATTAGATCTTTCTAGGAGACTCTGTTTGGCCTGTCTCTCACAATGGAAACAGATCCTGACGCAGGAACATCAAGAAGGAATCATACTGGGGCTTAGAGAAAACAAGCATGAGATAGTAGCTTGGGCAAGCTAGTCTAAACTTTAAGGGTAAAGAATCTGTGTGTTTCTGTATTTTTTCTTCAATTAAACTTTCCGTGTATTTCTATCACTTTGGAGGTTAACACATCAATGGTCAAAATTTGAATACAGACTTTAGGGTAAAAGGGCCAAAGCAGCCACAGTCTGCTTTTGGTCTAGTTCACTGCAACCCACCTATTTCAAGCAAAAGGATTTCTTCACAATTCCACATCTTACTCACCATGACTGAGGATTTGGAACCAACAATCCAATCAATAATACAGGTGTCCATATGCCTGGGCTCTTCCAATCAAATCTACCTACCACGGGCAGGGGAAAGTTGTGTGGCCTTAGTTAGTACTAGTTAATGATTCAGAGCTCAGTCATCTTGTCATCACTTTCTACACTAAAGATATGGCAAATAATGGGTATTAGATGGGAGGAATATATATTTGAAAATAAACTATAAAACTCACCTACAAAAAAAAATCAAAGAAGAAATGCATGCTAAGTTTTGTATATAATTGTAGTAACCTTGTATTTTAGGCAGGCTTCTTGAATATAGTTGAATTTCTTTTATCACGAATCCTCCACGATACCAAAACATTATTGAAACGAATTCTAACAGGAAATATCTCTAATTCTTAACTGATATTCTGTTAAACATTATCATGAGCTTTTGATGTTTTGCATATAATTATATTCACCTTTAAAAGCTCTTACAGTTTATATTGAAATATATTCTTTATACAGCTATTTGGAAAAAAGAATAATTTTTCTACAAAATATGATACTGCAACTTAAAAAAAAAACCCGTGTCACTGAATATTTTCTGCTTCTCAATTTCTTTATACTGATTAAAAGATAATGACATATTGTCCATAAGGTATATCAGAAAGCATACCATTTATAGAATAAAAAGGCTATTACACAGGGGGAGGGTTAAATAAAGTACATTAATTGGCCCTCCAATTCATAACAAAGTCTCTATATTTATAAAAATCCAGCTAATTATATTTCATAACATTTTTATGATAGGGTAGCTTACATTTCAGTTTCACAAAATATATTAACATTACAAAATAACCATTCATTCAACAAATATTTACTAAGCACCTAATGTGTGTCAGGTACTGTTCTAGGCACAAGGATAGAGCAGTGAACAAAACAGACAAAAATATCTGCCCTCAAGGAACATGAAGACACACCACAAAGTTGCATGACAAAAAATAAAACAAAAAGGAGGAATTATTTATTGGGTTTTAAAAGGCCAAGAGTTAACAATCTCTTTAACTCCCCATATGTAATATTCTACATAAGAACAAAGAATGGAAATCCAGCCCTGGAATCTCTTACCTTAAATCTAAGCAACCACTTAATGCATAAATGGAGCAAATAAAAGAGGTAAGGAAAAAAAGCATTGAAAGGTTAGTTGAAACTTCAGGATGTGAAGAGAAAGGAAAAAAAGAAAAAACAAGTTAAGCATTCAGCATTAACAAAATAATGTTTCAGTAGATCATAGAAAGAGTGGTTAAAGCAGAATGTGTCATGAACAGAAGTTTCTCTGATGAATTTAAGATACTGTTTTATTCCACAATTTAACTGTATTAAAGATTTCTTCAAATTAATGACCCTTAAACACTGAAAGTCAAAAAATGAAGGGGCTAGAATCCTGAAAGAAAAACATTTTACTTTGAGGATTATAAGAATGGGGGATGTAAACCTATGAATTATATATTTTAAAAAAATGGGATTACTTTTTTCTTATGTAATTGGGCAAACACAAATGTCATCTTTTATATTCTAAGTGTCTTTTTGGCATTAGATTCTAGAGGTATTCTAAAATATTCCATTAGCAGTTGTTAGCCTTGAATAAATTTTCCCAAGTTAGAAGAAATTTCAGTTATTAACTAACCATCCAATTACACATCTTATTTTAACATGCTCTTATTAGTAATCTAAATGCATGTAGGTATTGGCTATAAAATTAAATATTGGGCAGGCACGATGGCTTACACCTGTAATCCCAATATTTTGGGAGACCAAGGTGGGAAGATCACTTAAGTACAGGAGTTCATGACCACCCTGGGCAACACAGACAGGCCCTGTCACTACAAACAAAAAATTTAGCTCAGCATGGTGGCACGTGCCTGTAGTCCCAGGGAAGCTGACAAGGGAAGATCACCTGAGCCCAGGAGTACAAGGTTGGAGCGAGCTATGATTGTGCCACTGCACTCCAGCCTAGGTGACAGAGTGAGACCCTGTCTCAAAAAAGTTAAATTAAATATCATATTCCAGATAATAGTGCTTGCATCAAAACCCTGAAGACAAAGAGATTTTAAAAATAAATTTACAGTGTATATTTTCTTTTTACCTAGATCTCCATTAAATTTAGATTTAACTGATTTCCATCCATAACAGTGTTTTTTAAGTATGTTTATATTAGAAAAAAAATCAACTACATGAACTGTACAGTATCATTATAAGCATGTATATTTATTTAGTCACATCTGATAAGTCACTGTCTTTCAAACTACTGATCAGACATAAATTAATACTCAGCTAAAGCTCTGAATCATTAAGTTCAAACACCAATTTAAATGAAATTTGCATGTTCTAGGCACCCAAATACATCTTAAAAGACAGCCAAAATATGTAATAGCTACACACTCAAAAGCAGTGGCAATATTAATTCACCTATCACTTTTACCTAACACTATTCTTGCCCAAAATGTTGGGATAAAATTATTTTAGAAAAATTCAAAGTACATGTCTATTAATATATCTTGTTTTTGAAAACTAATGCCAAAAGTCTGCTGATAAATACTTGAGATAAGGTAAACACTTTCATAATAACATGATGAATGATTTTTTAATCAGTCATATTAAATTAAAATTGGAAAGATTACACGACACTTATTTACTCAAACCATAGGAGGTATTATCATAACCAAGCAAATATAATTCATTCAAAGATGACTGTTTAAAACTTGAGAATACATCACTAAGAAAAAGCAAAAAGGGTAAAACAGTTATAGTAGCAAGGAATCTTCACAACCACAACTGGGCCAAGACTTTGTCCTCTAGGAAAGAAAGACAGATAAAAAGCTTAATTTTCTCAAGAGTTGGTTTCATTATGGGTTACTACTTTTAAAAGCTTGAAAAAAATTATACCTACCTTTACTCCATGTCCAATATCATCTAGAATTGTATAGTCAATAGGTTTTCTAATATAACGAACTGGTCGTTCAAGGTTGGCTGGAGCAATAATCTTATGTGTCCTTGAAGTGTTTTTATTGGTAGTCAAAATACCAATTTCTCTTCTTGCAACTTTCTCTTTATGAATATCAACTGTCTGCAAAATATAATGTAAAAAACAACACAAAAATGTATAGTTCTAATATCCACAAAAATCAAAATATATATGCCTAGAGATTTAATATTGCTACTCATATTCTAAACTATGCTTGCTAAATTTTTATTCTTCTGGACTACTGATTTTCTCCATTTTTAGGTTAAAGCAAGGGCTGGTAAACCATGGCCCACAGGCCAAATCTGGCCCATCATCTGATTTTTACAGCCCACAAGCTAAGAGTGGTGTTTACATTTTTTAATGTTTGGAGAAAAGAACAACCAAAAAAAACCTTCACGTGAAAATTATATAAAATTCAAATTTGCTTTTCCATAAGTAAAGTTTTATTGGAATACAGCCATGCCGCTCACTTGCTTATCTGTCTAGGCTTTACACTGTAATGGCAGAGATGAGCCACAACAGAGATGGTATGGCCCACAAAAACTGAAGTATATATTAGCTGGCTCCTTTACAGAAAAGGTTTGCCAACCCCTGGGTTAAAGCATGCTAATTTTTCCCTCTCCATTAAGATTTAGACTAATATAGTGATTAAGAAAGCCCCCGAAATTAATCTAGTTACATTTCTAATGACCTATTAGTATAATTTCTATTCATGTTTAAACATCTTTTTATTTAAAAAGAAAGAGGGCTGAAATATAATGTTAAAAATAAAGCCAGGCACAGTGGCTCAGGCCCGTAATCCAAGCACTTTGGGAGGCCAAGGTGGGCAGATTGCTTGATCCCAGGAGTTCATGACCAGCCTGGGCAACATGGCGAAACCCCGTCTCTACAAAAAGTAGCTGGGTATGACAGCACATGCCTGTAATCCCAGCTAACTGAGAGGCTGAAATAAGAGAACTGCTTGAGTCCAGGAGGTCAAAGCTGCAGTGAGCCATGAATGCACCACTGCACTCTAGCCTGGGTGACAGAGCAAGACCCTGTGTCAAAAAACAAAAAAGCCATTTTTTGACCCCAAAAGACCAAGTTGCTTGGGCAAAGCTGCTTATATTTTATCATGACAAAATGCCTGTAAAATATTTCATTAATTTATTTATATTTATTAAATGCTCACATAAGACATACGAGTAAGAATGTATTGTAATTACAATCTTCTATTTGCTAACAGAGGGTGAATTTCTCCACATACACAGGTAATTAGTACACTAAAGCAAAATTTTTTAAACTGCAAGCTGCAATTTAGTGGTATGTAAGCAGCAATTATTTCAAATCAAATAGAACAGAAACATCAGACTGCATGTACACATAGTAAGGTAAAATACTGTTTCTTGAAAAGTCTGTTTATTATATATATAAATATATACATGAATTATGTGCTGAATACAACGTAAAAAAAATTTTTTCCTGTGTGTCGCAGTCAAAAGAGTTTGAAAAATCACTTCACTAAAATGGTTCACATCTCTTACCACCAATTCCTGGCTCAAGCAGCAATCAACAGACACATTTTTTGCTAACTCCTCCCCAGTCCCACTTCAATGTCCTACTTCAATTTCCCCTTTCTAAAAGAACCTGGTAGTAACAGTGAAAAGATAATCATCATGACATTATAAAATACTGCTTTAAGAAATCTGAACACTGATCATTTATCCTTCTAAACTGCCTCAAGTATGAGGTAAGCCTGAAACAAATTCAAAGCCTCTTATTTCTCTACAACCAAGAGACCTTAAAAACAACAGGATCTATATGTTCCAGAGCTAACGAATGTATAAATGGAACATCAAATAAAAAACTAACCATGGTAGTAATCTTACAATTTTAAGTATTCAAGAAAAAAACAATCTCAGCCAGGCATGGTGGCTCACGCCTATAATCCCAGCACTTTGGGAGGCCAAGGTGGGCGGATCACAAAGTCCGGAGATCGAGACCATCCTGGCTAACACGGTGAAACCCCGTCTCTACTAAAAATACAAAAATTAGCCGGGCATGGTGGCGGGTGCCTGTAGTCCCAGCTACTTGGGGGGCTGAGGCAGGAGAATGGCGTGAACCCAGGAGGCAGAGCTTGCAATGAGCCGAGATTGTGCCACTGCACTCCAGCCTGGGCAACAGAGCGAGACTCCATCTTAAAAAAAAAAAAGAAAAGAAAAGAAAAAGAAAAAGAAAAAAAATAATCTCTAAACTTTTCTACGCATGTTAGGCTAATTATGAGAATAGCTTTCCTCTTCAACTGCTTGGGAAAACTGTAACAGAAAAGTTAAGCTTGCATATTAGTGATGATATTGGAATTCACTTAATTTTTAACTTTAGAGAAATGGAAATTAATCACATTTGGATTAAATTTTATTTTTATGAGACAGTATCTCACTCTGTCGCCCAGGCTGGAGTGGACTGGCCCGATCATGGCTCACTGCATCCTCGACCTCTCAGGCTGAAATGATTCTCCCGCCTGAGCTTCCTAAGGAGCTGGGACTACAGGCGTGTTCCACCATGCTGGCCTAATTTCTCTACTGTCTGTAGAGTTGGGGTTTTTCCATGTTGCCCAGGCAGGTCTTGAACTCCTAAGCTCAAGTGATCCACCCACCTTGGCCTCCCAAAGTGCTGGGATTACAGGAGTAAGCCAATGTACTGGCCTTGAATAAAGTTTAGTGAGTCATTCTAAATCATTAAAAGTATGGGCTAGAAATACCATTTCATACCATCAAGTATGCTTCAAAAAATAAAATATGACACTTTTTTTATAAAATGGGTCTTCGTCAGATCAATAAAAGGTTCATCAGATAACACAATCCTCAAGACATTGTTTTTATTCTCCTCAGTTTTTAGAAATGTACTTAACTTATTCAGAAATGAAACTATAAGAGTGTAAACCTGAGCAGCCATAACAGAATTACAAGCTTATAGCTTCTATTTCACATCTGCATACTATAAATATACATTTTTTTGCAACAGGTTCTCACTCTGTCACAGAGGCTGGAGTGCAATGGGACAATCATAGCATACTGTAGTCTTGAACTCCTAGGCTCAAGCATCCTCTTACCTCAGCCTCCTGAGTAGCTAGGACTACAGGCATGTACCACCATGCCCAGCTAATTTTATTTTTTGTAGAGATGGGATGTCACTGTGTTGCCCAGGATGGTCTTGAACTCCTGACCTCAAACAATGCTCCTGCCTCAGTCTCCCAAAGTGCTGGGATTATAGGCATGAGCCACTATGCCTGGCACATACTAGAAATATTAATAAATCTCCAGAGAATGAACAGGGAGAAGTAATCTTCCACTTATTATTTACACTAACACACAGTAATATTTTATAACAAGCACATATTTCTTGTTTGAAAAATTGAGACTTTAAAAAAGCATTAAAATATAAATTAGAAATCTGTTCATTTGATCTTATAGAGATGTGACTTGGTCTAGGGATTGGGGACATTTACATATTACCCACATGTTCTCTTCATATACACACAAACACACACTTAGCCCAAACCCATAGACCATAACAGTAAAAAAAAAAAAAAAAAAAGGGAAGACCAATACAGTAAATAGAAAGATAACAATAAGCCTAAAATAAAGGGTCATTGTTATAATAGAGCAAAAAAATTGGCACTAAGCCTCCAGGGAGAGAAGGCAAAATAGAAACATAATGAGTTACGAGGAAATATATCAATTCATCAGGAAAGTGAAATGTTTCCCAGGATTAAATTCTTTAAAAATATATTTGTTGTTGCTTTTTATATCAAATCTCAGTAAAAACTGAAGGCATGTTTTTTAAACAGCATAAGTATACAGAAAGTCAAAATAATTTAGTTTGGCTATATGATGTTTTTAATTGTCTACTTCAAAGAATGCCTACATCTTAGAAACACTAGGGGCAGGGTAACTCAACAGTGGCACTATTGACATTTTGGGCTTGATAATTCTTTGTTGTGGGCAGGGGTGAAGGCTGCTGTCTTGAGGATTGCAGAATATAGAAAAGCATCCAGGTAGATAACTGTAGCACTCCCCCACCATGAGATGTGACAACCAAAAATGTCTAACATTGCCAAATGTCCCCTTGGGGGCAAAACTTCCCTGGTTGAGAACCAAAGATCTATAGAGGAAGGACTAATTAGCTGGTCCCTTACCTCATTCAATCTCAAACTGCAATTGTTTCCAAATTTGGTCACAAAAGTCGACTCAAGATCAACGCCTCTAATTTGCCTAAGTATAGATATTTTAAGTAAATAACTTTTAAAAAACATCTATAATAATAAAGGTAATCTAACAACGGTATAATTTGCATTCTTGCCATCATACTACCACACGGGGTTGAACTGCAGTATTGCCTGTGGGCAGAAGAAAACATGCCTTTAGAAAATGGCTACGGTTCTATTTGGAGTTTGAATAATTTGACAGAGAGCACTAAATCTATTTCATAAACAAGCAGAAGATTCTCAGGTTGGTCCAGAAGATTCTAAGGTTTTCAGCAATCATCTGCTTCAATTTTTTTATAGCTTTCACTTGTAGAAAATAAGCATATTCAAATTAGATAGAATAATAAACACTCCCTCCTCACATCTATCATGCAGCTTTAACATTCATAAATTCGTAGACAATTGTCAGTTGTAAAAGAAATTTAGGAAAGCTCCTGTAACATATTCTTAAATAAAATATGGCTACTATATTTTTCCTACATCAAATTCACAGTATCAGTAATTATGGCATTTGCCCTCATGATATTCTTTGACATTACAATGTTAAATTTCATTAAGTTAAATTTTGGAAGTACAAGTTCAACACTGATATTTAGGATGAATTTTAAAAGTAAGAAAAGTATTTCAAATTTATTCTGGGTTTTTTAAGTTACTAGTTATATGACAATAAACCTACTTATTTAGAAGAGACCTCAATAACAGCACTCACCTGTGGCAAGTAAAAAATGTGTTCTGCTAGCAATCAAAGATGACCAAAACTAATTCAAATACACAATTAATATAATTATTGTTTGCTACAGATCCCATTAACCAAAAAACACACCAAGATATATCACTGCAATTGTATAGGACTTAATAAACAACTATTCTCCCACAGTTCCTTATTAATTAGCTTCCCCATCCTTCTCACTGATATTGCCAAGCTGATCTTGCATGCTGCAGGCTTTCCCCATGACACTTCAGCCACACAGTGCCAAACCCAGGTTCCTTAAGGATACCTCTTATGGCCTTGAGATAATCATACTGACTCCCAGCTCCTTTGCAAGCCTGAGCCCCACTCCCACATCTCCCTCATGAACCCAAGCACATGCTCAGGCCACAGCAGATGACAGGAAGGTACTGTATAAAATATTTTGTTTTAGGATTATCCATGCATTGTCATTTCCCATTACCACAGATAATTGAAAGTTGACTGTACTGGATAGCACTACCTCAGTTAGCTGCCCATCAGTGTGGGAAAACATCTGCAATCAAACAGTTACAGTGGATTAACCCAACTAAATTGGGTGTTTTTAAATATGTCTCAATTTTTTTTATTAGTAAGCTAATGTTTCAAATAAACATTTAAATTACAATTATGCTTCAAATTATGTATCATTCATAAAACAAATTAGTTACTAACAGAGTAATTTTCAGTTTTTTTATATAAAGTGATATAAAAACTACATAGGAAATTAATTGGGAAGTATAAAAAGTCTACTTTCTATGCATAATTACGTATTGATAACCTTCAGTGTATCTCCTTAATTAAAATTGGAAATTCCTTTTTTTTTTTTTTTTTTTTTGAGACAGAGTCTCGCTTTGCCACCCAGGCTGGAATGCAGTGGCACGATCTCAGCTCACTGCAACCTCCGCTCCCAGGTTCAAGCAATTCTCCTACCTCAGCCTCCAGAGTAGCTGGGATTACAGGTGCCCACTACCACACCCAGCTAATTTTTGTATTTTTAGTAGCGACAGGGTTTCACTATGTTGGCCAGGCTGGTCTCAAACTCCTGACCTCAGGTGATCCGGCCACCCTTAGCCTCTCAAAGTGCTGGGATTACAGGCGTGAGCCACGGAGCCTGGCCAAAATTAGAAATTCTTAAGCAAGGCTATCTATATAAAGTTTTTGTGTTTTGGGTTGTTGAGACAGTGTCTCACTCTGTTGCCCATGCTTGAATCCAGTGGCATGAACATGGCTCACTGCAGCCTCGACCACCTGGGCTCAAGTGATACTCCCGCCTCAGCCTCCTGAGTAGCTGGGACTACAAGTGTGCACCACCACACCTGGCTAATTTTTGCATTTTTTGGAGAGATGGAATTTTGCCATGTTGGCTAGGCTGGTCTCAAACTCCTGACCTCAAGGGATCCGCCTGCCTCAGCCTCCCAAAGTGCTGGGACTACAGGCATGAGCCACCACACCCAGCCTAAAGTTTTTAGACAGTAAAAGCTACCCTACTTGTTGAGTTCTTAAGGCCACTGCCTTTCAATACCTAGCTCTTGAGAAGAATTACTTCCAATTTTATATTATTTTATGATAATTATTTTCCAGCTCCTTTAATTGTTACCTGCTAACTAATTTAACACCTGGCCCAGTAAGTCCTACTCAGCCCTTGGGAAGGTGGGAAGAGCACTACTTTCTTAAGTTCTTTATGTTGCCTTTTGACCTTGCTTAATCTTTTTTTCTAAGCCATGACAAACTTGAACATGGATAAGTACTGACTAATTTTACTAGCAAAGAAAAAAGATGGGCCTCGCTTAGAAAAATTTTAGTTTAGTCTCCCTCTCCCTCTCCCGCTCCCTCTCCCTCTCCCTCTCCCCACGGCCCATGGTCTCCCTCTCCCTCTCTTTCCACGGTCTCCCTCTGATGCCGAGCAGAAGCTGGACTGTACTGCTGCCATCTTGGCTCACTGCAACCTCCCTGCCTGATTCTCCTGCCTCAGCCTGCCGAGTGCCTGCGATTACAGGCGCGCGCCGCCACGCCTGACTGGTTTTCGTACTTTTTTGGTGGAGACGGGGTTTCGCTGTGTTGGCCGGGCTGGTCTCCAGCTCCTAACCGCGAGTGATCCGCCAGCCTCGGCCTCCCGAGGTGCCGGGATTGCAGACAGAGTCTGGTTCACTCAGTGCTCAATGGTGCCCAGGCTGGAGTGCAGTGGCGTGATCTCGGCTCGCTACAACCTCCACCTCCCAGCCGCCTGCCTTGGCCTCCCAAAGTGCCGAGATTGCAGCCTCTGCCCGGCCGCCACCCCATCTGGGAAGTGAGGAGCGTCTCTGCGTGGCTGCCCATCGTCTGGGACGTGAGGAGCCCCTCTGCCTGGCTGCCCAGTCTGGAAAGTGAGGAGCGCCTCTTCCTGGCCGCCATCCCGTCTAGGAAGTGAGGAGCGTCTCTGCCCAGCCGCCCATCGCCTGAGATGTGGGGAGCGCCTCTGCCCCGCCGCCCCGTCTGGGATATGAGGGCGCCCAGCCGCGACCCCGTCTGGGAGGTGAGGAGCGTCTCTGCCCGGCCGCCCCATCTGAGAAGTGAGGAGACCCTCCGCCTGGCAACCGCCCCGTCTGAGAAGTGAGGAGCCCCTCCGCCCGGCAGCCGCCCCGTCTGAGAAGTGAGGAGCCCCTACGCCCGGCAGCCACCCCGTCTGGGAAGTGAGGAGCCCCTCTGCCCGGCCAGCTGCCCCGTCTGGGAGGGAGGTGGGGGAGTCAGTCCCCCGCCCAGCCACCCGCCCCGTCCGGGAGGGAGGTGGGGGGGTCAGCCCCCCGCCCGGCCAGCCGCCCCGTCTGGGAGATGAGGGGCGCCTCTGCCCGGCCGCCCCTACTGGGATGTGAGGAGCCCCTCTGCCCGGCCACCACCCCGTCTGGGAGGTGTACCCAACAGCTCATTGAGAACGGGCCGGGATGACAATGGCGGTTTTGTGGAATAGAAAGGGGGGAAAGGTGGGGAAAAGATTGGGAAATCGGATGGTTGCCGTGTCTGTGTAGAAAGAAGTAGACATGGGAGACTTTTCATTTTGTTCTGTACCAAGAAAAATTCTTCTGCCTTGGGATCCTGTTGATCGGTGACCTTAGCCCCAACCCTGTGCTCTCTGAAACATGTGCTGTGTCCACTCAGGGTTAAATGGATTAAGGGCGGTGCAAGATGTGCTTTGTTAAACAGATGCTTGAAGGCAGCATGCTCGTTAAGAGTCATCACCACTCCCTAATCTCAAGTACCCAGGGACACAAACACTGCGGAAGGCCGCAGGGTCCTCTGCCTAGGAAAACCAGAGACCTTTGTTCACTTGTTTATCTGCTGACCTTCCCTCCACTATTATCCTATGACCCTGCCAACTCCCCCTCTGCGAGAAACACCCAAGAATGATCAATTAAAAATAAATAAATAAATAAAATAAAAATAAAAAGAAAAAAGAAAAATTTTAGTTTACAAACTGATAAGAGTTTTAGTTTGAAAAGTGTTTTGCAAACTTTTTATTAAAAAAAACTTACCAGAAAAGGACACAAAATAATGGGCACAGTAAGCAACATTCATCCTTATAATAATGTTACACTATACTGACTTAAAGGTATGTGTACCTGTACAAGTATTCAGTAAAATTACATGTTTGCTCTGATAAGTATATATTTAGGGGAAATATTTAATGTTAATTTAACTCCACTATCAGTTTGAAGATAAAAATTTTCATTTGTTTTAATAATATCCTTCCAAAGAATGAATAGGATAACAGCAACAAAGCTAGAGATGAAATTTCTTTAAAATTTACCAGCCCTAAAATACATAACATAATCCATGTTAAGAACCAACCCTAATACTGCCTTATAGATATGATGAATGTAGTAAAAATTAGTATACTACTTAATACTATATTGTCCTTTTAATACAAAAAAGTGTCTGATACTATATATTCCTAATCAATTAATATCTTGTTTTTGAAAACATTTGACATTTAGAAAGAGTGGGTTATTACTTTGTTTTGTTGAAGTATTTCTCCCCGATACAGAGTACAGTCAATGGAATTCCCATCCTCGGATTACAATTCAGAGTAATTTGGGAAACAGTTCAGTTACATTAAAGTAATAGAGGGTTGAGACCAGTGGACACAGATTGAGGTAAAGAGCAGAACCAACAGAACAGAATGGAAGCAAATAAAATCAAGCTCATTTGTGAGAATCGCAAAAATAAGGAATTCAAGATGGAAAACATTTAAGAAATTATCTAAACAGTCCTACCTTACAGATGAAAAAACCTAAGTTCAAAGAAGTCAAATGTCACACAAGTCAGCAGAAGAGTCAGGGTAAAGCCTAGATGCCCTGATCTTTTTCAGGCCAACTCAGCGTTCTTTTTCGTTAAAATAGATGAAAGGGCTAGGAGGCTGAAAGGTGGTAAAGTTCTTACCCAGGCAATAGAGAAAAGAATACTAATGGGAAAAGAAACTCAATACCCTAGATAACTAGTATCTACTAGTCCTAAACAACTCTACCCTTACAACTCTTGAGGCTTATTGCCATTCCAATAAATGTGTGATCTTGTCTTTGACCTGACTGAACCCTCCATTCCTTCAACTCAATCTTCTCTACAAACTCTCGGAATCTAGTATTTTTGCCCAAGTTGCACAAAAATCTGGTCTCAAGAACCCCCTGGTTCCCTCTAGAAACACACAATATTTTAAATAATAATACAAGCATCATAATAAAATTTAACACTCAAACATTTGGAAAAAGTATTTTAGAGCAGGGGCTGGCAAACTAAGGCTCCATGCCAGAATGTGGCCCGCTGCCTGCTTTTATATGGCCCAGAAGCTAAGAATAGTTTTAACATTTTTAAATCATTGTTTAAAAATACACACACAAAAAAGAAAAGAAAACGTAATTAAACTGTCTCTCAAATCTGTCCACATCTCTATCCTTACATGCAATGTCATCTCTCTTTGCTGGGCATGGTGGCTCATGCCTGTAATCCCAGCACTTTGGGAGGCTGAGGTGGGAGGATCACTTGAGACCAGGAGTTCAAGACCACCCTGGGCAACATCATGAGACCCCATCCCCCAACCAAAAAAAAAAAAGTACACACACACACATACACACAGAAAGAGAGAGAGAGAGAGAGAGAGAGAGAGAGAGAGAGAGAGAATAGGAGAATGACACCATACGTAGCCCACAAAACCTAAAATAGTTATCAACACATGGCCCACAAAACCTAAAATAGTTACCATCTGGCCTTTTATTTAAGAAAAGTTTGCCAACCCCTATTTTAGAGTATTTACTATTTGTTTTGTAAGCAGAAAATGTTTTCTTCTACACTAGAGAATAATATTCCAGTCTGAAGAATATCAAATAGTTTTGATATTCAACTGACTTTTTAAATAAAGAATTCTACCTGTAAACACAAGTAAAAAAAAAAAATTTCAATCCTTGAGGCAAATGCTAGAAAATACATAAATTTTTAAAATTACTCTTATTTCTTAAATATAGCCTCTATCAGCCTATTTCTCAGACTTGATCCTTTATCCAACATAATAATTTATATTCTGTATAAACTTAACAGCCACTGAGAATTGCAGATCTATTACCCCTCCAACTATTGCCCTCTAGACACTCAACTCTGAAAAAAGAAGGTTCGACGTATTCCTGACAGCTTTGACTGAGGCCTCTGTAATTTCCAGTTTATTAATCTCTATCCATTCTTCTGTTTTTTACTTAATCCATTAAGATAGCTTTAAAAGACAGCATTAATTGACCACATTAATTAAACGCCAATTTATATGATACTCCTAAAGAAAATGTTCTGAATAACTGAATTAATACATATACTCAAAATCTAGGGTGGCTGAGTATTCACCTTCCTCCTTGAGCTTGCTAACACTTTTCTACCAAAGTACTACAAAATTCTAAACAGAAAATAAATTATTATCCTTCATTGCTATTTGCTTGTTGTCATCATTTACCCACATAATCTCTCCTACTCTCCCCTAATGCCTAGTAAAACTTGTTCCTCCTTTTTAGGAACTCAAATATACTAGTTTCTCTTCTATATTTGTTCTTTTTTTTAACGTTTCTTTTTAACATCCTTTGCTAATGCTTCAAACATGGAAAAATTTTAGGATTCTCAAGAATAGATCTTGAAATTCTATATCACATTAGCAATTTGTCAACCTCCCTCCTTCTACAGAAAACCAAGTTCAGGCCAGGAGTACTGGCTCACACCTGTAATCCCAACACCTTGGGAGACTAAGGTGGGAGACTGCTTGAGCCCAGGATTTCAGGACCAGCCCCAGCATGATGGCAAGACACTGTCTCTACAAAAAAAAAAAAAAAAAAAAAAAAAAAAAAAATCAGCCAAGCATGGCACGTGCCTGTAGTCCCAGCCAGCTACTTGAGAGGCTGAGGCAGGAGGATCCCTTGAGCCCAGGAGTTCGAGGTTGCAGTGAGCCATGATTGTACAACTATACTCCAGCCTGGGAAACAGGGCAAGACTTTGTCTCTTAAAAAAAAAAAAAATTCATCTATTTCGTCATTTAAAATCCCATTGATTATTTCCTTCAGGAGGCCTTTCCCAACTGAAATTTACCTTACACTCATTAAAACGCACCAATTTTTTTTTAACTTAAGATACACAATATAACAAGCAATAAATGATATGTCTGCAGAAGTTTGTATAAAATGTGAAGAAACCCTTATAATGGCAAATTCAGATTTCAGATTAAGTAATATTAAATAAGAAATCTCTCTAAATTGGTCTGACAAATTTTCAAAAATACCATATCTGATTTTATTATCTGGACTATATTTGGTCTAGTTATACAAATTTGCTAAACTTTAGACTCTCAAAGATGGTTAGTTCATTTGAAAAGAGCCCTGAACTCTCAAGACATTAAAAATAATAATAATATGCACATTTAAAAATTATTTTCATTCCAAAATAGTTCTAATCATTTAGGTCTAAAAAGAGTGTTGAATAATAATCATTCAAATGACAAGAGTGCTAAAATAGAACATTTCAAAGATCTATTCAAAAAAAGGGAGGCAGACCAAAACCTTTATCATTTTTATATTTTTTAAATTGCATTTTACAACTTAATTGGTTTTTCACTGCAGTATTATTTTAAATGGCCCCAAAATATGGGAATGATTATGAAAGGTACAACATATACACGCAACATTATGCAGCCACTGAGAATGTTTATGAAGAACTTACAACATCAAGAGATTATGTTTGCCTTAACGCTAAGTTAAAAAAGCAGAACCCAAAATTTTATACCTATTCTATAACTGACTCTATTATAATCCTGGCTACTTTTTTTTATTTTTTTTTGGAGACAGGGTTTCACTCTGTCTCCCAGGCTGAAGGGCATGTCATAATCACAGCTCAATATAGTCTAGACCTCCGCATGCTCAGATGATCCTCCCACCTTAGCCTCCCAAGTAGCTGGGACAACAGGCGTGCACCACCAAACCTGGCTAATTTTTGTATTTTTGGTAGAGAACAGGGTTTTGCTATGCTGCCCAGGCTGGTCTGGAACTCCTGGGCTGAAGCGATCCTCCCACCTCAGCCTCCCAAAGTGCTGGGATTACAGATGTGTGCCCAGCCCACAGTTACATTTAAAAAAAACTACTTACAGGAAAAAGGATTACAAGGAGATATACCAAAATATTAACAGAGAAAAGCTTGGGAAGTGGTAAAATGGTTTATTTTTCTACTTTTTCTCTTCTTTTTCTGGGTTTTCATGAGTATGGCTTTTATAATGAAGACAGATTAACATTTTTTAAAAAACTTTTACAAGCCCATGAAGTAATACACTTTTTTTTAAATTATATATAATAAAAATAATTTCATAAGGTTTGCTAGTCTTTCCATTATTGCAGGTATGGTACCATCCCAGTAAACATAAATCCTACCAAAAGAAAAAAAAATTTTTGAACAAGCCACCAATCTATCAAGTTTATCTTTTTAAATTGATAAAGAAGTATGAAATTTGTTTTAAAAAAAAAAAAAGGCGGGGGAATGGATGAAGTTTCATTATAGGGCTGATTATGTTACCATGACAACTGAGTTTTAATAAAATTCATTACGATTTACTTTCCTATCAAAATCACAGAGAAGATAACCATCCCACAAAAAGACAGAATCTAAAAACAACCTAATATTAAGTTGCTATTTTCCAAATCGTACATGTGAGTTAACTTACATAATAAAAGCTGCCAGCATTACAGATAGCCTGTGTTTATTATTAAGGGTTCCTCATAGGCAAATAGGAAAATATTGTGGTCTCACTTGTGAAATATGATTGATTGAAGATTCCATCCTTCGTAGCTGGGATGCCTGGATATCCAGCATCTGCAGGACATTGTTGGCCAAGGTGTTTATCAGATAGGCAACACTTGCTAAGGATTGGGTGGTGTAGGCTTTGGTTTCTTCTAGGGCTCTCTGCTTATCTGCTGACTGGGAAAAAAAACAAACCAGTGATCATTAATTCAAAAATAACCCATTTCTAGCAAACTAACCTACCAAAAAACTCATCACAACGATTCTGCTGAGTCCACCAGAAAGTAAAAAAACTAATCCACCAGAATTGAAAACTACTGGTATCACATAAACCCCAAACCAAACTATTGACTGAACTCACTAATGTTTTCATGTTGAATAGACACATCTTTGCACAGATGCAAATAAAACCCTAAAGCCATTATCTAGAAAATGAGATCCAATGGACAATTTGAGCAGTGGCAGCAAAGTATATATTGCTTGGAAAGGTAGCACTGATTTGAACGTATAAATTTTGACTCACTTTCTTCTGCTTTTCTGAATTCCTCTTTTCCTTTCACTCTAATATGTGAAATGTGGCCATAACATAATGTCTGATTAAAGTGATAATAATGTTTAACCCTATAAGAGCATCCAGGAAAAAAAAATTTTAAGAAAAAAATTATAAATAATATGATAAATAAAATGGTAATAATAATCATGATAAACTAAAAGTAATAAAAGGATCCTTCCTTCCCAAACATTGTAAGTGTTATAACCCTAAAAGATGTAAATTGCCATGTTGCCCAAGCTGGTCTCGAACTCCTAGACTCAAGTGATTCATTGGCCTGCCTCAGCCTCCTGAAGTGCCGGGATTACAGGCATGAGCCACCAGGCCCAGCTAAACATTAAGTAATTTTTAAAATAAATTAAGTTGACACATGCAGTTAGACTCATTCTTCTTTTCCATTTTAAAATTAAGATTTCTATCCATTAATGATGTCTAAGAAATACTATGACAGTTTACATATGAACATGAAAAAACCAATATGGAAAAAAACACAAAAAGTAAAAAAATTTAAAAAACAAAAATAAACAAAGATAAAAATACAAATAAAGTCCTGTAAGCATTAAGATAACAGCCCCGGCCGGGCACGGTGGCTCACGCCTGTAATCCCAGCTCTTTGTGAGGCTGAGGCGGGCAGATCATGAGGTCAGGAGATTGAGACCATCCTGGCTAACACGGTGAAACCCCGTCTCTACTAAAAATACAAAAAATTAGCCAGGCATGGTGGCGGGCGCCTGTAGTCCCAGCTACTCAGGAGGCTGAGGTAGGAGAACAGTGTGAACCCGGGAGGCAGAGAAGGCAGTGAGCCAAGATCATGGCACTGTACTCTAGCCTGGGCAACAGAGTGAGACTCCGTCTCAAAAAAAAAAAAAAAAAAAAAAAAAGATAACAGCCCCAGAAAACACGTAGCCTGAGAGAGAGAAATATTTTTCCTAATCTTGATCCCAGAGTAACAAAAAATAAAATAAAAAAAATACCAACACCTCAAGGGCTTCAATATTTCACTCTGAAGTTTTACAAGTTCTGCTACATTTGTAGCTTTAAATTATACAATAATGAAATAAGAAAAAGGTACAGACAAGAATATTCATGTTCATGAACTCATTTAATGATGAAAGAGAAAAAGCATGAGGCTGACTAAACAATACATTCATATAGTACATTAATGCAGTAATTTAAAATGGTATTACTATGCATTACTGCTATGTAAAGATATCTACGATATAACTAAGTGAAAAAAAGCTGGTTACAAAGCATCTTGAACATAATCATCATAATTCTGTATGTGCCTGTGTGTAAATACAAGCACAAAAAAAAGTCCAAAAAGTAAGCTCCAAAATGATAACCTAAGTTTTCTCTGAATGTTGGAAATAAAGTTGATTTGTATTTTTAAAATGTTTTCAGTATGGCTTAATTTTTTTTTAACTTGGGCATGTATTACTTCCATTATCAAAAGGAGTAAAGCATAACGCTGGCCAGGCGTGGCAGTTCATGTCTGTAATTCCACAACGTTAGGAGGCTGAGGCGGGAGCATTGCTTAAAGACAGGAGTTCAAGACCAGCCTGGGCAACATTGTGAGACCTCAACTCCACAAAAGTTTAGAAAATCAGCCAGGCATGATGGTGGACCCCTGTAGTCCTATCTACTAGAGAGGTTGAGGTGGGAGGATGACTTGAGCCCAGAAGCCAAAGATGCAGTGAGCCATGATCATATCACTGCACTCTGGCCTGGGTAACAAAGCAAGACCCTGTCTCTTGAAAAAAAAAAAAAAATTAAAAAAATATGTATGTGCATTAATATAAAAGAATAGAAACTTTAAGTATTCTATCCTAGTCAACTATAAGGAATAATTATAAAGCATAAGAGGTCCAAAAGATTTTTAAACCTTTCTGAAGTGTATTTTACATTTGCATGCTCGTCAAAAAGTTATTTGGGGCTCAAGGGTCTTTTCTTGTTATTTCTAAGTTCAAGATGAAGTTTAAAGGACCAAGGTTGCTGTTCGTTTATCTGCTCTACGGATAAGTCAGCGCAATGGTGGTTCAGTGGTAGAATTCTCGCCTTTCACACAGGAGACCCGGGTTCAATTCCTGACCCATGTACAAGTATCTTTCCCTGCCAGCCACAGTGGCTCACGCCTGTAATCCCAACACTTTGGGAGGCTGAGGCGGGCAGATCATTTGAGGTCAGGAATTCAAGAGTAGCCTGACCAACATGGTGAAACCCCGTCTCTACTAAAAATACAAAAATTAGCTGGGTGTGGTGACAGATGCCTGTAATCCCAGCTACTCAGGAGCCTGAGGCAGGAGAATCACTTGAACCCAGGAGGCGGGGGTTGCAGTGAGCCAAGATCATGCCACTACACCCCAACCTGGACAAGAAACTCTGTCTCAAAATAAAACTTAAAAAAAAAAAAAAGATGAATGGACAAAGAAAATATGGTACAGGCCAGGTACCATGGCTCACGCCTATAATTCCAGCACTTTGGGAGGCCAAGGTGGGCAGATCACCTGAGGTCAGGCATTTGAGACCAGCCTGACCAACATGGTAAAACCCCGTCTCTACTAAAAATACAAAATTAGCCAGGCATGGTGGCACATGCCTGTAATCCCAGCTACTTGGGAGTCTGAGGCAGGAGAATTGCTTGAACCCAGGAGGCAGAGGTTGCAGTGAGCCGAGATCGCACCATTGCACTCCAGCCTGGGTAACAAAAGCAAAACTCTGTCTCAAAAAAAAAGAAAAGAAAAGAAAATATGGTACATATGCCCAATGGAGTACTATTCGGCCATAAAAAATAATGAGATTCAGTCATTTGCAACAACATAGATGGAACTGGAGGTCATTATATTAAGTGAAACAAGCCAGGCACAGAAAGATCGCATGTTCTCACTTATTTGTGGGAGTTAAAAATTAAAACAATTGAACTCACAGAAATAGAGAGTAGAAGGATGGTTACCAGAGGATGGGAAGGGTAGGGGGAAAGTGGGGAGGTAGGACAGGAGGAGGTAGAGGGAAAGATAGGGAGGTAGGGGAGTGGGGAGTAGGGGGAAAGTGAGAATGGTGGAGGTAGGGGTAAGTGAGAATGGTTAATGGATACGAAAAATAGAAAAGAATGAGTAAGACCTAGTATTTGCTAGCACAACAGGGTGATTTCATAAAAAATAATTTAATTGTACATTTTAAAATAACTGAGAGTATAGTTGGATTGTTTATAATACAAAGGGTAAATGTTTGAGGTGATGGACATCCCATTTACCCTAATGTGATTATTACACATTGTATGCCTGTATCAAAATATCTCAGGTAACCCATAAATATATACACCTACTCCTATATACTCACGAAAAATTTTTTTTTAATGTAAAAGTATTTAAAATACTGCCAGGTGCACTGGGCCACACCTGTAATCCCAAAAGTTTGCAAGGCCGAGGCAGGCGGATCACTTGAGGCCAGGAGTTCAAGACCAGCCTGGCCAATATGGTAAAACCCTGTCTCTACTAAAAATACGAAAAATAGCCGGGCGTGGTGGTGTATGCCTGTAGTCCCAGCTCCTCAGGAGGCTGAGGCAGGAGAATCACTTGAACTCAGGAGGTGAGGCTGCAGTGAGCTGAGATCAGGTCACTGCACTCCAGTCTGGGCAACAGAGTGAGACCATCTCAAAACAAAAAAGTATTTAAAATATAGGCTAGGTGTGGTGGCTCACACCTGTAATCCTAGCACTTTCGGAGGCCAAGCCAGGTGGATCACCTGAGGTCAGGAGTTCAAGACCGGCCTGCCCGACATGGAGAAACCCCATCTCTACTAAACATATAAAAATTAGCCAGGCACGGTGGCCCACACCTGTCATCCCAGCTACTTGGAAGGCTGAGGCAGGAGAATAGCTTGAACCCAGGAGACAGAGGTTGCAGTGAGCCAAGTGAAGCACCACTGCACTTCAGCCTGGGCAACAGAGTGAGACTCAGTCTCAAAATAAATAAATAAAATAAAATAAATAAAATACCAGTAGAAAAAACAAAATAAAATATAGTAAAACTCAATATTTAAAATGTAGTGGGACCCAAAGGTAATACACTCCCAATTACATGAATGTGAATATAAAGCAACTACCCCCAGAACGTCCAAACAACATGACCTTATACTGCTATATTAGAAGTTATTAAAAGAAAATAAATATTCACAGTGAAAGTACAGGTTATTTTATCTAACATTATATATTCCTCTTATAATTAAAAACAATTTTTCAATATCATTATTTCATGCTTAGATGAAAAACAGACCACAATAGCACATTCTGGATGTCACATTATCTGTACTTCACTTGTTTCAGTACAAAAGTTTTTGCCACAACTGTGGATATGAACTAGCTGAGCTACTGCCAGAATAACTGAGATCACAGGAACTATGTCATCCAGGGTCCAGCATACAAATAAACTAGAAATATATTACTATGCTGATCAACTGCAGAGCTCTTTTCTTTCCAAACTGATCTGTCAACAGCAGAACTCATTAGAAATGTTTCCTCTAACAAAAAATTATTTTTAGCTAAATCTCCTAAGGATTCATGAAGGATCACAAGGGAAGTAATTATTTTTCACTAGCCTTCCTCACTAATATAGTACAATCACTCAAAATTTCGATTCCTGCAAACTTAGCACAGACACAGCTTTGAGAAAGGGTACCTCGCTCAATAAATGACACTATAAGACACAGGACATCATTCAATCTAGGCAAAAGGATGGAGAATGTCTATGTTAATGGCCCTTTTAAATTTTCCTGTATTTGCATAGAACAGTCATGTTTTAAGTAGAAATAAGGAACTGTCTGGTTGAAAACAGGTCATTCTTCATCTGGTTTTATTGCCATGCAACACAACAGGCTCTGCCTTTCTCCTTTTTTTTAGTTTTCATTCTGTTTTCCTTAGCATTCTGTCAACTTCTATACTGTCTCCTACAAAAAGAGAAAATTCAGTGCAGCAAACTGTCCCCTGCCAAGAAAAAATTCAGTGCAGCAAACCACCATTATAGAGAACTTTTTTCTTTTCTGAGACAGGGTCTTACTACGTTGCCCAGGTTAGACTCCAACTCCTGGGCTCAAGTGATCCTCCTGCCTCTGCCTCCCAAGCAGCTGGGACTAGAGGCACACACTACCACACCAAGCCAAACATTTTCTTGTTCAGCATCCATTACTGTTCTCTAGTAACAGAATTTCACTTTCATATGGTGATTTAAGCCCGAGAATTGACTCCCATCCCCTCAGGAAGGGACACATGACCCAAGCCTGCCAAAAGCACACCAACCTGTTGGCCACTGACAGGCTAAGGCACTGACTCAAGACAGGCCAACAGGAGACTTCTCTGGGACTTTTCTAACAGTAATGGAAAATTTTATTTCAAGCAAGGATTGCTGTGGCAGCCAGACACATATATTCAGATCTCCTTTCAAGAGAACATGCTTTACAAAGCACTGACAGCCATCAGCCACACCTGTGGAGCTAGTGCTCATGCTGAGGCCACGCTTCTCCTCAGTAATGTATTACTCTTGAATAAACAGAGCATACGTCATCCTTGAAAGGGTAACAATTAGTTGTTACCCTAATTTTGGTCCTTGCTGATTTCATAAATGATATTAGCAACAGCATAAGAGTCAAAGGAGACTAAACAAGAGTCCCATTTAACCTTGTGTTGAGTCAATGTTCTAAACTCAGAAGTTTCCTGATCTTGGAAAGCCATGTCCCTAAATATTGGTAGAATCTCTGGTTTGCCAAGCAAACTTCTTTTCTGCATGCTGGGCTTCTCACTCATCATCTGTTGTTTCACAGCTAGGCCATATCTTGAGCCCCAGTTAGACTGATCTCTAGGCAAACGTCACTTACTAGCCTGAATCAGGTCATTCCTGGTATCTAAATTCTCCATTTTGCTAAACTGCTTCTTTAGCCTGTTCATCTCTCTCTATTCTTACCATCTCTGTCCTCCACTACTTACACTGCTTTAATTCTTCTTACCTCATGTTTACAGTGCCTCAACTGTTCTATCCCAAACCACCAAATTTGTTTCCCTTCATCATATCCCATTTCTCCTTTCCAGCTTCTCAAAAATCTAAGCCAAATAATCTGCTCCACCCAACACTTCGCCTTTTGTTTAAAGCATTCCTCATCCTCTTACCAATAAGAACCTTTATCATTGATAACCGACCTCACATGACAACACAAATTGTTTTTAAATTATTTTAAAGTGTTTTTTTAAATCCTAAAATAAAATAGACCACATTAACTAACTTAAAAGGCCTTTAGGGTACAACTGCTTCTTTTTTTTTTTTTTTTTTTTTTTGAGATGGAGTCTCGTTCTGTCACCCAGACTAGAGTGCAGTGGTGCAATCTTAGCTCCCTGCAACCTCCACCTCCCAGGTTCAGGCGATTCTCCTGCCTCAGCCTCCTGAGTAGCTGGGACTACAGGCATGCACCACCACGCCCAGCTAATTTCTGTACTTTTAGCAGGCACGGGGTTTTACCATGTTGGCCAGGATGGTCTCAATCTCTTGACCTCATGATCCACCCGCCTCAGCCTCCCAAACTGCTGGGATTACAGGCATGAACCACCATACCTGGCCAAAACTGCTTAATTTCTAAATATTCATTGCTATAGTCTGAATTTTTGTGTCCCCCCCCCAAAAATGTACATGTTGGAACCTAACACTGATGTTGATGGTATTAAGAGGTGGAGCCTTTAGGAGGTGATTAGGCAGAGCCTTCATGAATGGGATTAGTGCCCTTATAAAAGAGGTCCAAGGGAGCTTGTTTGTCCCTTCTGCCAAATGAGGACACACAGAAGGCACCATTTATGAGGAACAGGTCATCAACAGACACCAAATCTGCTGACGTCTTGATCTTGGACTTCCCAGCCTCTAGAACTGCAAGCAATAAATCTCTGCTAAGTTACCCCAGCCTAAGATATTTTGTTTTAGAAGGACCAATGAACTAAGACACATACATTTATATACTTGCACATATTTGAATATAACCTGTATATTGTCTAACTACAACAGATTTTAAAAATATTGATTTTTTCACATTAAGCAAAGTACAGATTTGGGATCTTTGTACATTCTACAAATGAGAGAAACTACAGGCTGAATACTCTAAATTAAGACATCACTCATAAGAACTCAAGTGAAAATGTAATCAGTGAAAATTCTATCAACTTGGGAATTAGAAGTCTTCAGTTCATATGAAAATGAAGGAAAATATAAAGGCATATATAAAAAGACTGGTTATGTTATTTAAAAAAACCTTAATCTGTCATAGCAGATCACATTTGTCTCAGAAGCATCTTGATTAAAAAGGAAAACAAAATGCCTTCTCTCCATCCCACACCCCACAGTCTGACCTACACTAAGGAAATTCCAATACATTTGCCCATTTTAGGCCCACAGTGATTTTGTTCAAGCAACAGGACCATGACATAGATCCCTCCATGGATTTTTCTTTTGTTTTTTGTTTTTTTGAGACAGAGTCTCACTCTGTCACCCAGGCTGAAGTGCAGTGGCACGATATTGGCTCACTGCAACCTCTGCCTCCCAGGCTCAAGCAGTTCTTGTGCCTCAGTCTCCGGAGCAGCTAAGATTACAGACGTGCATCATTACACCCAGCTAATTTGTGGTTTGTTTTAGTAGAGATTGGGTTTCGCCATGTTAGTCAGGCTGGTCTCAAACTCATGGATTTAAGTGATCTGCCCACCTCAGCCTCCCAAAGTGCTGGAATTACAGGTGTGAATCACCATGCCTGGCTGGATTTTTCAAACTGATTCTAAAAGAGAGAATGCTTTTGTCTTCTGATGTCAGAACTATTAATATACAAGGCCTAAAACACATGAAAGGATATCTCACAGAAAATGGAGTATGCCCATCTGAAAGGATGAAGCCAACATGCATAAAGAAGCAGAAACGAGACACAGAATTCTAAAAGTGTTTGAGTTCCTGATTCCAGTGATTCCTGTTCCTTCACATGGTTTAATTAATAACTAATAAATTTACGTTTTGTTGTTTAAGTTTGTTCAAACTACATTTCTGGCTGGCTGTGGTGGCTCACACCTGTAATCCTGGCACTTTGGGAAGACAAGGCAGAAGAATCACTTGAGGCCAGGAGTTCAAGATCAGCCTGGGCAACAGAGAAAGACCTTGTCTCTACAAAAAATAAAAAATAAAAATAAAATTTAAAAACTTGCCAGGCATGGTGGCATACACCTGTAGTCCCAGCTACTTGGGAGGCAGAGAAGGGAGGATCACTTGAGCCCAGGAGTTCAAAGCTGCAGTGAAGATATAGCGAGCTATGACTAACTACCACTGCGCTCCAGCCTGGTCAACAGAGCAAGGCCCTGTCTCAAAAACAAACAAACAAACAAACACACACACACACACACACACACACACACACACACACACACAAACAGGCCAGGCACAGTGGCTCATGGCTGTAATCCCAGCACTTCAGGAGGCTGAGGCGGATGGATCACAGGAGGTCAGGAGTTCGAGACAGCCTGGTCAATATGGTGAAACCTCATCTCTACTAAAAATACAAAAATTAGCCAGGTGTGGTGGTCCACACCTGTAGTCCCAGCTACTTGGGAGGCTGAGGCAGGAGAATCGTTTGAAGCCAGGAGGCGGAGGCTGCAGTGAGCCAAGACTGCGCCACTGCACTCCAGCCTGGGTAACAGAGTGAGACTCTGTCTCAAACAAACAAACAAACAAACAAACAAAAAACCCCAAAAACCAAATTCAGTTTCTGTCACTTGAGACCAAAGAATCCTAAAATTCTTTAAATTGTTCCTTTTAATCATTTAACATATACTGGCTTCAGTTCTCAATAACATGACACTTTTAAAATATGTTATATCATCTGCCTAGACAACATATGTATAGACAAACTGGAAATAACTGAGGCAGGTTAACTTGATATTCACCTACACACCAAAGTGTCAGAGGAGCACTTTAGAAAAAGGAGGTTATTTAGAAATAAAACAAATGATCAGAGGTTAATCTTCGTGAGATTCAGAACATAAAGTCACCTAGGTATTTGCTACATTTGTGGTTGACTATTTTGAGTAAAACCTATCACATTAATGCCTTAAGTGAGGTTTCTAGAAATGCTGTGGATATTAGAATGGATAAGGGCATCTGAGTTATTGTTCTAGCTCTGCTACTATCTTACTTGCTCTTAAATAATTAATTTATACTCCCAAGGAGTCAGTTACCATATGTTATATTAAAAGGACTGGATTTTTAGGTCCTTTTCAGCTATAAAATGTCATGATTCTTTTCTGGAACACATTTGGAAGTTGGTCATTTTAGACTGGACTATATATGCTTACATAAAAAGTAACAAATCACAAATTTTATATCTATTTTATATTAGGAAAAAATTGAGTGTGGTAAGAAATCTAACATGAAACTTGCTTTTTAAAAACAGACAAAAATTTTAAAAACGCTTTCCTCATTATTTGAAGAAGTAATCGTTTTTTAGTTTTCTTTTTACTCATTTGCCTTTAACATTCCCAATGCTTTCGGTCATTCCCTCCCCCACAAAAAAGACAGGAACAATGTGAAGTATACTCTGTACCATACGTAAGCATAATCCTTACAATACATCTTATTACCTAAAAAAAAAAAAATTGTGTAAAACCAAAAACTTTCAGAAATAACTGCATTTTAAAATATGCTGCCGAGTGTGGTAGTTCATGCCTATAATCCCAACACTCTGGGAGGTCGAGGCAGGAAGATTGCTTGAGCCCAGGAGTTCGAGACTGGGCAACATGGTGAGACATCATCTCCACAAAAAATTTAAAAATTTGGACTGGAATGGTGGCTAACGCCTGCAATCATAGCACTTTCGGAGGCCAAGGTGGGTGGATCGCCTGAGCTCAGGAGTTCGAGACCAGCCTGGGTAACATGGTGAGATTCCCGTCTCTACTAAAATACAAAAAATTAGCCGGGCGTGGCAGCACGCGCCTGTAGTCCCAGCTACTCGGGAGGCTGAGGCAGGAGAATTGCTCAAACCTGAGAGGAAGAGGTTGCAGTGAGCCAAGATCACGCCAATGCACTCCAGCCTGGGCAACAGAGCGAGACTCTGTCTCAAAATAAATAAAATAAAATAAAATTTCATTAAATTAAAAAATTAGCCTGGTGTGATGGCACAGGCCTGTGATCCCAGCTACTTGGGAGGCTAAGACATGAGATCCCAGGAGTCTGAGCTCGTAGTGAGCCATGATTGCAACACTGCCCTCCAGCCTGGGTGACAGAGCAAGACCTTGTCTCAAAAAAAACACAAGTTAATTTTTTCAGACCTGAAAAGTATGTCTCCACTAACTGCACTCATTAAGTGTGCAGTACAATTAATGAAAAAGACCCGTAGGAAGGATCATCATCATGAGGAATAAATGATTCCATAAGCTTTCAGAGAGAGAGAAAAAAAACTATATACAAAGAACTGAGAATCAAAACACTACTTGACTTTTCAAAGGCAACAACAAAAGCTAGGAGACAATAAACTAAAAGAATGCCTTTACAATCTGGGGAAAAAATTATTTCCAATCTATAATTCTACATCTAGTCAAACCATCTAGTGAAAGTTGAAGATTTTCAGCACACCAGGGGTTTCTTGGTGGGGTGTTTTTTTTTTTTTTTTTTTTTTGAGACAGTTTTGCTCTTGTTGCCCAGGCTGGAGTGCAATGGCGTAATCTCGGCTCACAGCAACCTCTGCCTCCCAGATTCAAGCGATTCTCCTGCCTCAGCCTCCCGAGTAGCTGGGATTACAGGCGTGCGCCACCATGCCTGCCTAATTCTGTATTTTTTTAGTAAAGACGGGGTTTCTCCATGTTGATCAGGCTGGTCTGGAACTCCAGACCTCAGGTGATCCGCCCACCTCAGCCTCCCAAAGTGCTGGGATTACAGGCATGAGCCACTGCGCCTGGCCTCTTGGGTTTTTTGTTTTTTGTTGTTTTCTTTTGTTGAGACAGGGTCCTGCTCTGTCGCCCAGGCTAGAGTGCAGTGGTGCAATGACAGCTCACTGCAGCTTCAAACTCTCAGGCTCAAGCAATCCTCTAGCCTCAGCCTCCCAAGTAGTCTGGACTAGAAGCACGCACCACCACGCCTGGCTAATTTTTTTTTTTATTTTATTTTTAGTAGAAACAACTCACCATGTTGCTCAGGCTAGTCTTCCCACCTGAGCTCCAGCAATCCTCTTACCATGACCTCCCAAAGTGCTAGGATTACAGGAATGAGCCACCGTACCCAGTCTTCTTTTTTTAACTTTCCATGTATTCTTTGTCAGGAAGCACCAGAGGATATGCACTGTCAAAACGGAAAGCCTAGAAAGAAGCATGGGATCCAGAAAATAGGATCTACATCAAAGAGGAAAAGGGAAATCCAAGGTTGACAGCAAAGGAAACTTCTGAGATGCAGCTGAGAAGCAGGACTAAAACGTTAACAATCCAGACAATCCAGATTGGAGAATGGCAAAGGGGACACACTTATGTCTTCTTGTGGGGAGGATGGATGAAACTGATATTAGAAGACAATTTTCCATAGGTCTCTGCACTCATGTGAGCAGAGGTACTGACTACCTTTATTCCACACCATCTTTTCCAGAAATGTTTATATCGAAAACAGTCTTAGAAGATACTAAGATAGCATATCCCTCTGGAGCAAAGGGCAGGCATGTTTACAGACCAATATAAAAGATTTAGGTTACCTAAATTCAGGTTCTTCCCTGTAATACAACCCTTGCATATACAAGTATCACCTGGGCCTCTTCTTATCACAATATGTGAACTGGGGCCTTGGGAACCAGTATAGTGCAAGAAAATGCTAATATGCTGGCTATTATTGTTGCTGTAATAAAGTCCTACGCCTTTGACCCAGAAGTCTCACATCTTTTGCCACAGCATCTACAAAACTCCCTGGCTAACCTGTTAACTTCCAGACAGGGTAAAAATTCAGTCCCTTCGAAGGTCTTGACAATTGGTAGTTTACTGATATGTTTCAGTATGTTCATATAAGATTCATACATCCAGAGGAGAGTTTAGAGATGAATTAAAGATAGATTCACAGGTAACTAAGCAAGTCAAAAAAATGAATTATTAGGGCCAAGGAAAAGAAAAAATTTAAGAAGTCTAATTGGCTGGGTGCAGTGGCTCACACCTGTAATCCCAGCACTTTGGGAGGCTGAGGCGAGAAGATCACTTGAGCTCAGGAGTTTGAGACCAGCCTGGGCAACATGGCGAAACCCTGTCTCTATAAAAAATACAAAAATTAGCAGGGCGTGGTGAAGCGTGCCTGTAGTCCCAGCTACTTGGAGGCCAAGGTGGGAGGTTGGCTTGAGCCCGGGAGGTGGAGGTTGCAGTGAACTGAGATTGCGCCACCGCACTCCAACCTGGGCGACAGAGTCAAACCTTGTCTCAAAAATAAATAAATAAATAAAATCTAATCACAATCCACTCTATGCTTCAGCTGTGATTACTTATATAGATATAATGGATACAATGAATAAATCTAAAAGTTGCTAAATCTACATGTTAAGAAGATAGGAAGAAATATAAGAAAGCTAAGTTACCATATCTCATAGTAAAAATGTCTGAATCTCAAAAAATAGCAATATGGGCATATCACATGGACATATGGAGACAAGTACCAGAAGAAACAGATAAGAGTTTAAAGTACCTCTGGGCCTGGCATGGTGGCTCACGCCTGTAATCCCAACACTTTGGAACGCCAAGGTGGACAGACCACTTGAGGTAAAAAGTTCGAGACCAGCCTGGCCAACATGGTAAAACCCCATCTCTACTAAAAATATAAAAACATTACAGGAATGAGCCACCAGCCAGGCGTGGTGGCACATGCCTGTAGTCCTAGCTACTCAGGAGGCTGAGGCAGGAGAATCACTTGAGCCCGGGAGGCAGAGGTTGCTGTGAGAGAAGACCATGCCACTGCACTCCAGTCTGGGCGACAGAGCGAGATTCTGTCTCAAAAAATAAATAAATACATAAATGAAGCACCTCTGGACAGAGGGAAATTAGAGGTAAAAGGGGTACTCATTTTTTTGTTTTTATTTGGTATCTAATAAAACTGCAACGTTGAAAATAATCAAATCTGTGCTACTAAATATGGTAGTCACTAGCCACATGTAGCTATGAAGCGCTTGAATGGTAGCTAGTGGAAATGCAAAATGTAATTTTAAATGTAATTTTAATTCAAGTTTAAGTAACCATGAAAGATCAATATACAAAATCAACTGTATTTTTATATGATAATTGTAATCTGAAAAAAAATTACAAATTCCATTCACAACAGAAAAAGAATAAAATATTTAGGAATAAATTTAGAAACAGAAGTACAGTCATGCATCACTTAACAGGGATACATTCTGAGAAATGCGTCATTAGACAATTCTGTCACTGTGCAAACATCACAGAGTAAACTTCGCAAATCTAGATGAAAGAGCATACTACACACTAGGCTATATGGTATAGCCTACTGCTCCTACACGACAAACCTGTACAGTATGTTACCATATGGAATACTATAGAGAGTTTTAACATAATGGTAAGCATTTGAATACCTAAACATAGAGAAGGTACAGTAACAACACAGCATAAAAGATAAAAAATGGTATACCTGCATAGGGCACTTACCATCAACGCAGCTTACAGGACTAGAACATGTCTGGGTAATAGGAGGGCCTAGGACATTACTGTACAGTACTGTAGACTTTAAAAACACTGTAGATTTATGCTACGCTAAATTTATTTCTTAAATTTTCTCTCTCCAATAATAAATTAACCTTTACTGTAATTTTTACCTCATAAACTTTTGACTGTTGTAATAAAAATACATTATGCAGTTGTACAACATTTTTTTCTTTATATCATTTTCTCTTTTCTCTATTTTTTTTTTCTTTAACTTTTTTTGTTAAAAACCGAGACACAGACGTATTAGCCTAACCCTACACAGGGTCAGGATCATCAATATCACTGTCTTCCACCTCCACATCTTGTTCCACTGGAAGGTCATCACAGGCAATAACACTTATGGAACTGTCATCTCCTCTGATAACAATGCCTTCATCTGGAATCCTCCTGAAGGACTGCCTGAGACTCCTTTACAGTTAACTTTTTTTTAATAAGTAGGAGTAAACTCTAAAATAAAAAGTACAATATCATAAATACATATACCAGTAATAATCTTTATTATTATCACTGTAACCTTGAACTTCTGAACTCAAGCCGTCCTTCCATCTCGGGCTCCCAAAAAGCTGGGATTATAGGCATGGGGGCAGCACCCCACCCAGCCTGGACAACCAGCTGCTACATCTATATGTGTATCTGTATGCCAGTACCACAGTGTCTTTATTATTGTACTTTCATAGTTTTAAAATTGTGATGTGTGTGTCTTCTGCCTTTGCTCTTCTATAACGACTAGTAGCGAAGTAGGTTTGTTTACACCAGAATCACCACAAACACAAGAGTAATGCATTGTGCTACAACATTAGGACGGCTACCATGTCACTAGGTGTTAGGAATTTTTCAGCTGTTATAATCTTATGGGACCACCATCATATATGCTGTCCATCATTGACCAGAACATCATTATGCTGCGCATGACTGTACGAGACTGAAACACTGAAAACCGGCTGGGTGCGGTAGTTCACTCCTGTAATACCAGCACTTGGGGAGGCCACAGTGGGAGGACTGCTTGAGGCCAGGAGTTTGGGACCAGCCTGAGCAATGAAGTGAGATGCTGGCTCTACAAAAAATACGAAAATCAGCCGGGCACAGTAGCACGCACCTGTAGTCCCAGACTACTGAGAGACTGAGGCAGGATGATCACTTGAGCACAGGAGTTCAAGGCTGCAGTGAGCTATGATCACACCACTGCATTCCAGCCTGCATGACATACCAAGACCCCATCTCTAAAGGAAAAAAAAAAAAAAACTAAACACTGAAAACTACAAAACATCATTGAAAGAAATTTTAAGATGATGTAAATGAAAAGACATCCATGTTCATGGATCAGAAAAGTTACTATCATTAAGATGGCTCCCCAAGTTTATCTACAGATTCAATATAATTACTGTCAAAATCCCAGCTGCCTTTGTGGCAGAAATTAACAAATGATCCTAAAATTTATATGGAAATTCAGGGGCTATAGAATAGCCAAAATAATCCTGAAACGGAAGAACAAAGGTAGAAGATACGTCACAATTTTAAAACTATAAAAGTACAGTAATAAAAACACTGAAGTACTGGCATACAGATAGACATATAGATCAATGGAATTCAGAGTCCAGAAATAAAACTGCACATTTATGGGTAATTTTTGACGAAGATGCCAAAACAATTTAACGAGGGAAAGAAAAGGCTTTTAAACAAATGGTGTTGGGTCAACTGGATAGTGACATGCAAAAGAGTAAATATGAACCCCTACTTTACAACATATGCAAAAATTAACTCAAAATGGATCAAAGATCTAAATGTAAGAGCTAAAACTATAAAACTCCTAGGAGAAAATCTTCAAAGACTCTGGATTAGGCAATAGTTTCTTATATATAACACCTAAAAGTATGCGCGCGCGCACACACACACACACACACACACACACACAAAACACACAACAAAAACAAAGAAAAGGCCGGGAACAGTGGCTCATGCCTATAATCCCAGCACTTTGGGAGGCCGAGGCGGGTGGATCATGAGGTCAGGAGTTCGAGACCAGCCTGGCCAAGATGGTGAAACCCCATCTCTAATAAAAATATAAAAATTAGCTGCGCACAGTGGCGGGCACCCGTAATCCCTGCTACTTGGGAGGCTGAGACAGGAGAATCACTTGAACCCGGGAGGCAGAGATTGCAGTGAGCCGAGATCACGCCACTACACTCTAGCCTGGGCGACAGATTAAGACTTCAACTTTAAAAAAAAAAAAAAAAGAAAAGAAAGAAAAAGAAAAAATAGTAACCACATGTGGTAGTGTCTACCTCTAGTCCTAGCTACTAGGGAGACTAAGGCTGGAGGCTTGCTTGAGCCCATGAGTTCCAGATTACAGTGAGCTTATGATCATGCCGCTGTACTCCAGCCTGGGCGACAGAGACTGACCCTGTCTCTTAAAAACAGAGACCGTTGGCCAGGCGTGGTTGGTCACGAGGCGGGAGGATCACCTGAGGTCAAGAGTTCGAGGCCAGCCAGGCCAACACGGTGAAACCTCGTCTCTACTAAAAATACGAGAATTAGCCGGGCATAGTAATGCACACCCATAATCCCAGCTACTCAAAAGGTTGAGGCATGAGAATGGCTTGAATCCGGGAGACAGAGGTTACAGTGAGCCAAGATAGCACCACTGCACTCCCGCCTAGGTGACAGTGAGATTCTGTCTCAAAAAATTTAATTGAATTTAAATAAAGAGACAGTCCACAAATGCTGACAACAATGTGGAGAAACTGGAACGCTCACACACTGATGGTGGAAATGGAAAATAGTGCAACTACCTGGGAAAACAGGCTGGCAGTTCCTCAAATGGTTAAATATACAGTTACCATATGATCCAGCAATTCTACTCTTAGGTATATACCCCAAAGAAACGAGCACATATGCCCACACAAAAACTTGTACATGAATATTTATAACGTTATATGTTATGAAATTACTCATAATTGGCAAAAGGTGGAAAAATCAGAATGTCAATCAACTGACAAATGGGTAAACAAAATGTGGTATTATCCATGTACTAGAATATTATTCAGCCGTAAAAAAAAAAAAAAATGAACACAGCCGGGCACAGTGGCTCACACCTGTAATCCCACCACTTTGGGAGGCCAAGGCAGGCGGATCACCTGAGGTCAGGAGTTCGAGACCAGCCTGACCAACGTGGTGAAACCCTGTCTTTACTAAAAATACAAAAATTAGCCAGGCATGGTGGCATGTGCCTGTAATTCCAGCTACTTGGGAGGCTGAGGAAGGAGAATCGCTTGAACGTGGGAGGCAGAGGTTGCAGTGAGCAAAGATCCTACCATTGCACTCCAGCCTGGGCAACAAGAGCAAAACTCCGCCTCAAAAAAGAAGAAAGGATATCACTGGAAAACATGGCAAAATGTTAATGGAGACTTCAGGATTAGACAGTGGAAATATATCAATATTATTTCCTGATTGTTATGACTATTTTGTGATTAATCAGGAAAACATTCTTGTTTGTGGAAAAAACACACTAAAGTGTTCAAGAGTTATAGGGCACCAGCTGGGTTCAGAGGCTAATGCCTGTAACCCCAGCACTTTGGGAAGCCAAGGCAGGCAGACTGTTTGAGTTCAGGAGTTGGAGACCAGCTTGCGCAACAAGGCAAAAGCCCACCTCTAAAAAAAAAAATACAAAAAAAAAAATTACTCGGGTGCAGTGGCACATGCCTCTAATCCCAGCTACTCAGGAGGCTGAGGCAGGAGAATCACTTGAACCCACGAGGTAGAGGCTGCAGTGAGCCGAGATCACACCATTGCACTCCAGCCTAGACAATGGAAGTGAAACCCTGTCTCAAAAACAAACAAACAAACAAACAAACAAAAAACAAAAAAAAACACCTTCAGCAAGGTTCAGGGGGCTTTGTACTATTTTTTAAAAAAATTTTTAATTAAAAATAAAAGAAATTTTGGGTGATAATGATGTGTAGATTCATCAATTATAATGATGTACCACTCTGGAGACAGATATTAATAATGGAGGCGGCTGTACATACGTGATGGGAGGAAGAAAATACATGAGAAATCTCTGTACCTTCTTCTCAATTTCACAGTGTAAACCTAAAACTGCTCTAAAAAGTAAAGCCTATTAAAAAAATAATAAGATAAAATAAACTCATTTCACCCAGGTGAGGTGATATTACATTATTGTTGAATGTTTTTAATTGAGGGAAAATTTCCATTAACTTAACCATCATTAAATTTTGGCTTATAAATCTACTTTTAATTATCTTGTCGACATATAACATATAACTGACCATATGAAAAAGAACTCTTTCATAGCTGCACATGTAACAAGGCTTGTATATAAATTATGCATGTTTTCCACCATTGCATCTTAAGCTAATTACCTCCTGCATGCTTCATACCAATTAGAATGATCACTGAGTTTTGAAAAACTCTTCATGTTTAATGTGGGAACTATTACTCCCTAGGAATAAACAAACTTTAAAATACTAAGCTTAACCTTTATTACATTTATTTTCACATAAAATATTATTATTTTGAGACAAAGTTTCGCTCTGTCCCCCAGGCTACAGTGCAGTGGCGCGATCTCTGCTCACTGCAACCTTCGCCACCCGGGTTCAAGCGATTCTCCTGCCTGAGCCTCCCAAGTAGCTGGGATTACAGACACCCGCCATCATGCCCAGCTAACTTTTGTATTTTTAGGAGACACGAGGGTTCACCACGTTGGCCAAGATGGTCTCGAACTCCTGACCTCAAGTGATCCACCCACCTCACCCTCCCAAAGTGCTGGGATTATAGGCATGAGCCACCTGCGCCCAGCCCAAATCATTTTTTTCATGCTTATATTATCACCTGGTTAATGATCAAATCCTAAATATCTAGAAAGCATCGAAACTGCAGGATTCTGAAAACATTACAAAAGGTTAATCCTATATGTAAATGTTCCTCAAACAACTGCTAGGCCTTAGACAAACTGCCAAACCAAAAAGCCATTAACAACACCCAATAACTAAACAAGCACCTACAATTTCCCAGTTAGAAACCTAAGTGTCATAAGTTATGTGTCGTATAATACACAGTTTGCCTGTGCAGAATAAACCTAAAGTATTATAAAAATATCATCTCAATCCTTATATCATTTCTATTCCCTGTTCTCTAAAACAGAAACTATTTTGTTATCTCTTCTCTCAGCTGCCCAGAAAGGCTTGGCACATGGTGGAGATTGATAAACGCCTTGTCAAATTGAACCATGAGTTTCCACTGCACATTTTCCTTGGGTGGTAATGTCATCATGCCATTTACTACATGCTACGGTTCTTCGTGTAATGGTCTTATGTCCATTATGGGATTACAAGGCTAGAAGTATCTTCAGAACAAGAATCACAAGTTTATTGATTTCTTTCTAAATTCCTATGCCACCAGAAATTTCACACAAAAGATGAGTGAAAACCAGTGCACCTTTATCTATGAACAAAACTTGCATAAACTGGGAGTCAGGATATCATCCTTCCCATTTTCAGATGGAAAAATAGAGCAAAAATGAATTACTCAACTCACTTCTATGGTTTGACCAGAGACCAAACCCATCACTTCCTTGCTTTCTATATGATCACTCCTTACCCTGTTAGGACATGCAATGGCTCCAATAAAACCAACTACAAAACAAAAAAGTACCTGATGCACATGTTAGGGCAATCATCATAATTTAATAGCTTAGTTTCAAACTCTATTATATGAAACTCATGTAAGAACACAAAGTCCTTCCTAAATAAGAAAAACTATACAAAATTAAAACAAATTCAAGTTTATAAGATAAGAAATGAATGGCTGAATAAATTTTAAAATGCACTATAGCACATGAAGTCGGGCAGCACAAACAAGGGCCTAGGTTTAAGGTCTACTGGATCCATTTTAACAGCTAGCACTGCAAGAATATAAGATAAGATAAAGGAATGACATTTCATCATACATCACATCCCCTCCTTTTGGCCACAGGTTATTATTTTGTCCCTGCTCTTTCTCCTATTTCTCTCAAAGTAGTTAATTCACTTCCCTTAAAGAAGTTAATTCATTCCCCTCAAAGACAAGATGTTAACTAAAAGACAACAGAAACATGGAATGAGAAAGAGAACAGCACAAGTTTACACTCCCTAGAGTTAAATGTGGTGGGGGAGAAAGAGTTAATTCAACTCAACAGACAATGAGGAAGAGCTAAAAGCTACAGGAATTATGACAAGGGAAAACGTGCAACTCCAGTAATGGATAAACCCAAAACACAGACCAGTATTTCTCAAATTCTCACCTTCCTTCTTACAGCTGATGTGTTCATTCAGGCAGTAATATGGTATCATACACACTGGTGATACACATGCCTATTAGTCCCATATATTCCCAAGCTGCAGAAATATTTTCCTCTAATATACAAACAAACAAACAAACATAGTCTTTTGTGGTTGTTAGCAAAAACCTGAAAAAGATACCAAATACCAAAGTAGCATCCGGTAGATCTATCTGGTTTGCACATCTGCAACAATAAACTCCTCAAAGATTTAAATAGTTGGGAAATAGCTTACTATTCTGAAATCTTATTTGGAATCAACATAGAATTACAAGCAATTTTTTTTTTTTTGAGATGGAGTTTCACTCTTGTCACCCAGACTGGAGTGAATGGCATGATCTCCATTCACTGCAACCACCACCTCCCCAGTTCAAGCGATTCTCCTGCCTCAGTTTGTGTGTGTGTGTGCGCGTGTGTATTTTTAGTAGAGACAGGGTTTCACCATGTTGTCCTGGCTAGTCTTAAACTCCTGATCTCAGGTGATTTGCCCGCCTCGGCCTCCTAAAGTGCTGGGATTACAGGCGTGAGCCACCGTGCCCGGCCAGAAGCAAATTTTTGTCAAAAGCAAAACTCATCTGATTAAAAAAGAAAATATTGCTGGGCACAGTGCCTCACGCCTGTAACCCCAGCACTCTGGGAGGCCGAGGCCAGTGGATCACTTGAGGTCAGGAGTTTGAAACCAGCCTGGCCAATGTGGTGAAACCCCGTCTCTACTAAAAATACAAAAATTAGGGCTGGGCGTGGTGGCTCAGGCCTGTAATCCCAGCTCTCTGGGAGGCCGAGGTGGGTGGATCACCTGAAGTCAGGAGTTCGAGACCAGACTGGCCAAGACGGTGAAACCCCATCTCTACTAAAAATACCAAATTAGCTGGCATGGTGGCGGGCACCTGTTGTCCCAGCTACTCAGGAGGCTGAGGCAGGAGAATCGCTTGAACCCAGGAGGTGGAGATTGCAGTGAGCTAAGATTGTGTCCGGAATTGGTTCCTTCCGGTGGGTTCTTGGTCTGGCTGACTTCAAGAATGAACCCGTGGACCCTCGCCGTGAATGTTACAGTTCTTAAAGATGGTGTGTCCGGAGTTTGTTCCTTCAGATGTTCAGATCTGTCCGGAGTTTCTTCCTTCCAGTGGGTTCCTGGTTTCGCTTGACTTCAGGGTGAAGCCACAGACCTTCGCAGTGAGCGTTACAGCTCTCAAAATGGCGTGTCTGGAGTTATTTGTTCCTCCCGATAAGTTTGTGGTCTCGCTGGCTTCAGGAGTGAAGCTGCAGACCTTCAATGTGAGTGTTACAACTCATAAAGGTAGTGCGGACCCAAAGAGTGAGCAGCAGCAAGATTTACTGGGGAAGAGCCTAAGAAGAAAGCTTCCACAGCATGGAAGAGGACCCCGGCGGGTTGCCACTGCGGGCTCCGGCAGCCAGCTTTTATTCCCTTATTTTGTGATGCCCACGTCCTACTGATTGGTCCATTTTACAGAGCACTGGTTGGTCCATTTTACAGAGCACTGGTTGGTCCATTTTACAGAGCGCTGATTGGTTCGTTTTTACAGAGTGCTTATTGGTGCATTTACAAACCTTTAGCAAGACACAGAGCGCTGACTGGTGCGTTTTTACAAAGTGCAGATTGGTGCGCTTGCAAACCTTTAGCTAGACACAGAGTCCTGATTGGTCCGTTTTTACAGAGTGCTGATTGGTGCGCTTACAAACCTTTAGCTAGACACAGAGCACTGTTTGGTGTGTTTACAATCCTTTAGCAAGACAGAAAAATTCTCCAAGTCCCCACCGGACCCAGAAGCCCAGCTGGCTTCACCTCTAAAGATCATGCCATTGTACTACAGCCTGGGCAATAAGAGCAAACCTCCGACTCAAAAAAAAAAAACAAAAACAACAACAACAACAACAACAAAGCAAAAATTAGCCGGGTGTGGCGGCAGTTGCCTGTAATCACAGCTACTCAGGAGGCTAAGGCAGAAGAATCGCTTGAACCCAGGAGGCAGAGACTGCAGTGAGACATGATCACGCCCCTGCACTCCAACCTGGGCAATAGAGCAAGAGACCCTGTCTCAAAAAAAAAGGAAAAAAAAATTTAAAAATTATATTGTTCTTGATTTTTTCATCAGGAAATACATCATTAGTACTTTAAAGCAATTACTGGCATTGTTGGGGTTTTATTATTAAAGATTGTTTCCTTTCTATGAATATTATTAATGGCCTATAGTCTTTTCTTATAATTGTAAGATGGTACAACTTATGCTGCTCAATAAGACTGTCTCTAAACAGTTGAAGCGCTAAGCTTTACTATGGAGTAAGAACCAAATGGAAATATATAAATGAATAGTAACATTTGACATTTCAAGCACTATCAAGGGTCACTGCAGCCTCCAACCCTGAGCTCAAGCAATCCTCCCACCTCAGCCTCCCAACTAGCTGGGACACCATCACACACCTCTATATCCAGCTAATTTCTGTAATTTTTGTAGAGACGGGGTCTCTCTCGTCTTTTTGCCAAGGCTAGTCTCAAACTCCTGGGCTCAAGCAATCCTCCCACCTCAGCCTCCCAAAGTGCTGAGATTAGAGGTGTGAGCCACCACATACACCAAAAAATAGTGTTTTAACTAACTTGGACAAAAACTGTTACTTTTGGAAAGGGAGAAAGGGGACCTGATTAGTGGCCAAAGAGGACATGATTTAATTAACATATTTTTGTCAGAAGAGCCTATATGCAAATAACATCAAATAGTATTAAACCAATCTCAATCAGAGAGCTTTAAATCTACTTCTAAAAACATGTTTTTAAACCTCATTAATAACTCTGAAGTGCTGGGCATAGTGGCTCACACTTGTAATCTCAACACTTTGGGAGGCCCAAGCAGGAGGATGTCTTTGAGGTCAGGAGTTGGAGATCACCCTGAGCAACCCCATCTCTATTTCAAAAATAAATAAATAGTCCTAGAAATTCTATCTTTAATCACTCATTTCAAAAGAAGGAAAAAAAAACCTGGAATATAATGCCTTGTCATTACATGCACATAACATGTTTGTACCACAAACTAACCTGCTAACATTAAATTTTTTTATGTTTTTTGAGACATAGTCTCGCTGTCGTCCAGGCTAGAGTGCAGTGCCGCAATCTCAGCTAACTGCAACCTCCGCTTCCCGAGTTCATGCGATTCTCCTGCTTCAACCTCCCGAGTAGCTGGGACTACAGATGCGTGCCACCACATCCCGCTAATTTTTGTATTTTTAGTAGAGACAAGGTTTCACCATGTTGGCCAGGCTGGTCTCAAACTCCTGACCTCACGTGATCCACCTGCCTCAGCCTCCCCAGGTGCTTGCTTTTAGTTTTGGCTGGAGGCTCCACTTCCCAATCTGCAGGCTGTAATCCTCTATAGGAAATAAAGTTCTCCTTTTTCTTCTTCCACAGATCTCATGGTCTTTTGTTAACGGTATAGACTGTATTATTTACACATGAATAAAATTCATAATTATGCATGTTAATGCATTATAAACAAATGCATGAATGATTAAAAAACTAGAAATAATATAAATTTCATGTCCATAAATTTAAACTTCCTTTTCTCTCAAAAACAATGAGATGTGTGTGTGTATAGACATTATATCAAGCCAGGCAATTTAAATATTTTTGTCAACCTAGCCTGCTCTTCTAGATTCAGAATAAAAGGTTTTGAGGGCGATTAGCCAGGCATGGTGGCGAGCACCTGTAATCCCAGCAGTAGTACTAAGGAGGCTGAGGCAGAAGGAGTGCCTGAGACCAGGAGGCAGAGGCTGCAGTGAGCTGAGATCACGCCACTGCACTCCAGCCTGGATGACAGAGTGAGACCTTGTCTCAAAAATAAATAAATAAATAAATAAATAAATAAATAAATAAATAAAAGGTTTTGAGGGAGACATGGAATCACTATTTAAGCACTATCTGCTGGCAGAAAACTTGTGGTACTACATATTGAAAGATGCTGGCATCCCTTGTTGGCTTCCCCTATTCAACTTTGTTTCGTAGGTTCCTAACAACCTATCTCCTTGCCTTTATGAAAAGCCTTCAACACATAAGTGGGTAAGGCCACATAACATCAAGAAAAACAAAAAAACAGTCCCATATTATATGCAGTTCAACTCCATTAATTCAAAATTTACAACGAAGATTCTTCATAGAAATCAAAATGGTAACAGAACTGGACTTGGTCCATGAGTTACTTACCACTGACCTCACAGAATGGAAAGATGCTCAATAACTATTTTTGAACGACCAGGAAGGAAAAAAACATATAATAAAATAAATGGTGTGAGTCATAAGTTCATTTTACTCAACAAAAATTTACTGAACACTAAGAAATGAGGACATAACAGGCAAAAAAAAAATGAACATAATTCCTCTCTTCACAGAATTTTAGTTTAGCAGAGTCAGAGGTAAACTTGAGTTGTCTCATCTAATATGTTATAATAGGAATATCTCCCTTGCTTATACCTCCCAGGAAGCTGTAGATCAGTTCAGACATTTGATGAGCTTCCACTATTGAGTAAGTCCTGCACTAAGTAACTGTAAATAAACTGCTTAACCCTAAAGCACCAACCACATGTGGAATATTAGTGTCAATTCTGTTGGCCATATCTACATTAAATATTCTGGACAAATAAAAAGTATTTGCCAACTTTCATTTTCCAGAGCATAAATCTATCAACTCTTCAAATTTGCAAAACTAATTTCTTTTGTTTTTTTTTGAGATGGAGTCTCGCTCTGTTGCCCAGGCTGGAGTGCAGTGGTGCAATCTAGGCTCACTGTAACCTCTGCCACCCGGGTTCAAGCAACTCTCGTGCCTCAGCCTCCCGAGGCACTACTGGTGCACACCAACAAGCCCGGAGAAATTTTTTTGTTTTTAGTAGAGATGGGGTTTCGCCATCTTGGCCAAGGTGGTCTCAAACTCCTGAGCTCAGGAAGTCTGCCTGCCTCAGCCTCCCAAAGTGCTAGGATTATAGGAGTGAGCCACTGAGCCTGGCCCAAAACTAATTTATTTCACTGCCCTCCGACATTTTCTAATGCTTACTAGAAAAGATCTAATTCGCTCATTTAGCGAATATTTACGGAGTGCCTATTTTGTGCCAGGCACTGTTCCAGGTACTGGAAATGAGTAAGAGACAAAAATCTCTGCCCTCACATACCAGGGAGGGAAAACACACAAATAAATAAGAAACACTGTATGTTAAGAGAAAATATGTAGGCGTAAAAAAAGCATGGAAGGATAAGTATAAGCAAAGGGAGAGTGAGCAAGGGGCAGGAGTATGTTATAATTTTACACAGAGTAGCCAGGAAGGGGTCATCAAGAACGTGATGTATCAGCAAAAGCTTGAAGGAAGTAAAAGAACCAATCATGCAACTATCTTGGAGTAGAGTACTCCTGGCAGAGGGCATAACAAATACAAAGCAAAAAGGCCCTGAGGCAGAAGTATGCCTGGTATGTTCAAGAAAAGGATGCCAAAGTGGCTGAAGTTGAGTGAACAAAGAAGGGTAAAGGAGTGTAACAGGAGATGATGTCAAGGCTAGATGCTGATTGTTTGTGGCTTGCAGGCAATATTGTTTTGGTTCAGTTTGCTTTGGGTTTTTTTTTTCAGCTTTGCTGAGGTATAACTGACAAAAACTGTATATATTTAAAGTGTACAACATGATGACATGATACACACATAAACTGTAAAATGGTTATCACAATCAAGATAATCATTTCTTGATTATCTTTGGTGGGAGCGGGGAGTGGGCAACACTTAAAATCTACTCTCAGCCAGGCAAATGGTAGCTCACACCTGTAATCCCAGCACTTTGGGAGGCCAAGGTGGGTGGATGGGTAGAGCCCAGGAGTTCGAGACCAGCCTGGGCAACAGGGCGAAACCCCGTCACTACAAAAATTAGCCATGTGTGGTGGTACACACATGTAGTCCCAGCTATTCGGAAGGCTAAGGTGGGAGCATCACTTGAGCCTGGGGAGGTGAGGCTGCAGTGAGCCGTGATCATGCCACTGTACTCCAGCCTGGGTAACAGAACAAGACGCTGTCTCAAAAAAAAAAAAATCTACTGACTTAGTAAATTTCAAGTATACAATATTATTAACTATAGTTACTACACAGTACATTAGACCCCCAAAACACATTCATCCTATAACTACAAGTTTGTGCCCTGTGACTAACATCTCCCCATTTCTCCCCACCTCCCAACGGCCCTTGGCCGATAATAGAAGCAGATTCTATTATCTGCTTCATTCTATGGGTTCATCTTTTTAGATTCCTCATATAAGTGAAATCATACGGTATTTGTCTTTCTGTGCCTGGCTTATTTCACTTACCTAATGTTCTCCAGGTTCATCCATGTTGTCACAAATAGCAGGGTTTCCTTCTTTTTATGGCTGAATAATATTCTATTACATATGCAGTTGACCCTTTAACTGTGTGGGTCCAATATACAGATTATTTTCAAACAAATACAGTATTCATCCACATATACAGATGGGACAGATGACTTTTCATATACACGCGTTCCACAAGGGTGACTGCAGGATTTGAGTATATGCAGATTTGGGTATACTTGGGGGTCCTAGAACCAATGCCCCATGTAGACTGAAGGAGAACTGTGCATGCAGTACACATTTTCTTCATCCATTCATCCACTGACACTTAGGTTGTTTCCATATCTTAGTTACCATGAATAATGCTGAAATGAACATGGGTGTGCAGATGTCTCTTTGAGATAATGATTTCATTCCCTAGGGATATATACCCAGAAGTGGGATTGTATGTTTGTCCTATTTTTAATTTTAGGGAGAACTGGGTTTTCTTTTTTTCTTTTTCTTTTTTTTTTTTTTTTTGAGACGGAGTCTTGCTCTGTTGCCCAGGCTGGAGTGCAGTGGCGCAATCTCGGCTCACTGCAACCTCTGCCTCCCGGGTTCAAGCAATTCTCCTGCTTCAGCCTCTGGAGTAGCTAGGACTGCAGACACCCGCCAACCACACCCAGCTAATTTTTTTATTTTTAGGAGAAACAGGGTTTCACCATATTGGCCAGGCTGGTCTTCAACTCCTGACCTCAGGTAATCTGCCTGCCTCGGCCTCCCAAAGTGCTGGGATTACAGGCATGAGCCACCACACCCGGCCGGAACCAGTTTTTCATAATGGCTGTTCCAATTTACATTCTCACTGCACACAAGGATTCTCTTTTCTCCACCTGCTTGCCAACACTTATCTCTCTTTTGATAGCCACCCTAACAAGTGTGAGGTGACAGCTCCTTTTTGTTTTGACTTGCATTTCCCTAATGATTAGTGATGTTGAGCACATTTTCACATACCTGTTGGACGCCTGTGTGTCTTCTTTGAAAAAATGTCTACTTAGGTCTTTTTAAAATCTGGTTATTTGGTTTTTTGCTATTAAGTTGTATGAATCCTTTATATATATATATATATATATATATTTATATATATATATATATATTTATATATATATATATATATATATATATACATATACACACACACACACACACACAGATATAAACCCCTTATCAGATAGATGTATGGTTTGCACATTTTCTCCCATTCCATAAATTGCCTTTTCATTTTGTGTCCTTTGCTGTGCAGAAGCCTTTTAGTTTGATGTAGTCACTCTCATCTTTTCTTGCTTTTGTTGCCTGTGCTTTTGGTGTCATATTTATAAAAACCATTGTCAAGACCAGAATCAAGGAGCTTTTTCCCCTATGTTTTCTTCTAGGAGTGTATCAGTCCATTCTTATGATCGTATGAAGGAATACCTGAGGCTGGGTAATTTATAAAGAAAAGAGGTTTAATCGGCTCTTGGTTCTGCAGGCTTTACACAAAGCACAGTGCTGGCACGTACTTCTGGTGAGGTGTAATCATGGCAGAAGTGGAGCCAGCATGTCACATGGTGGGGGGGCTCCCAGACTAATTTTAAACAACCAGTTCTCACGTGAACCAAGCAAGAACTCACTTATCACTAAAGGGATGGTGCTACATCATTCATGAGGGATCTGCCCCCATAATCCAATTATCTCCCACCAAGACCCACCTCCAACACTGGGAATCACATTTCAACAAGAGATTTGAAGGGAACAAACATCTGACCCATACCAAAGAGTTTTATAATTTCAGATCTTACATTTAAGTCTTTAATCCATTTCTAGCTAATTTGTATGTGTGATATAACAATCAAATTTCATTCTTTTGCATGTGGATATAGTTTTCCCAATACCATTTACTGAATTATCCTTTCCCCATTGTGTACCTGGTGCCTTTATCAAAGCTTAGTTGACTGCACAGATGTGGCTACATTTCCGGGCTCCATTCTGTTCCATTAGTCTACATGTCTTTTATGCCAGTAACACACTGTTTTGATTACTATAGCTTTTTTTGAGACAGAGTCTCGCTCTGTTGCCCAGGATGGAGTGCAGTGGCATGATCTCAGCTCACTGCAACCTCCACTTCCTGGGTTCAAGCGATTCTCCCAACTCAGCCTCCTGAGTAGCTGGGACTACAGGCGTGTGCCAGCATGCCCTATAATTTTTGTATTTTTAGTAGAGATGAGGTTTCTCCACGCTGGCCAGGCTGGTCTTGAACTCCTGACCTCAGGTGATCTGGCTACCTAGGCCTCCCAAACTGCTGGGATAACAAGCATGAACCACCATGCCAGGCCTATAGCTTTGTAATATAGTTTGAAATCAGGAAGTATGATACCTCCAACTTTGTTCTTATTCAAAACTGCTTTGGCTATTCAAAGTATTTTGTGGTTTCCTATGAATTTTAGGGTTTTTCTATTTTTGTGAAAAATACCATTGGAATATTGATAGAGATTGCATTAAATCTGTAGATGGCTTTGTGTAGTATGGACATGTTAACAATATCAAATCTACCAATTCATGAGCACGGGATATCTTCCCATTTATTTGCATGTTCTTCAATTACTTTCATAAATGTCTTATAGTTTTTAGTGTACAGACCTTTCACCTCCTTGATTACATTTATTCCTAAGTATTCTATTCTTTCTGCTGTTATAAATGGAAATGTTTTCTTAATTTTTCAGATCGTTTGTAGTTAATATGTAGAAACACAACAGATTTTTGTATGTTGATCTTGTCTCCTACAACTTTACTAAATTCGTTAATTAATTCTAACAGTCTTTTGGTGGAGTCTTTAGGGTTTTGTATACATAAGGAATCATGTCATTTGCAAACAGAGACAATTTAACTTCTTCCAATTTTGATGCCTTTTGTTTATTTTTCTTTCCTAACTGGCTGGCTAGGACTTCTAGTACTTTGCAGTACTTGATTAAATAGAACTAGTGACACTGGGCACCACTGTCTTATTCCTGATCTTAGAGGAAAAGGTTTCAACTTTTCATGGTTGAGTATGATGTTAGTTGTAGGCTTGTCATATATGGCCTTTGAGACATCACTAACAAGAGAATAGCTAAAATTTTAAAACCTGACAAAACCAAATGCTGACAAAGATGAAGAACAACTGGATCTTTGCTGGTGGGAACGCAAAACGGTACCATCGTTTTTGGAAAAGAGTTTGGCAATTTGTATAAAACTAAACACACATTTACCATACGGTAATAATCCCACTATTAGATATTTATTGTCAAGGCAAAGAGAAGGCAATGTGATAGACCTGCCCAACTGCTTGTTAGGTTCAGAAAGCCTACCATTTACATGGAGGGCAGAAGGAATAGTAGTAAAAGATACAGCCCTTGTGTAAAGCAATACTAAAACAAAAGGAGCCAGGTGACTACAACATAGATATGACACTCTGTTGCGGAGGAGCCAATGCCATGCTGCAACTAAAGTCTTACAGCCTGCAGCTACTACCTAAAAGGGTACAATAGAGAGCCTCATCTCATGGGAACTAGGAGGTGATGAGGCACTGTTATCACGTACAGCCTCCTCGGCAGATGAAGAGATTGAGAAAGGGCTTCACATAAGGTCCTCGCAAACTTCCATAATCTTATATTCCAAGAGGATCACAAAGTGCTCGGCCAAGATTCAGATCAGATGCAGTTCAAGCACTGGCCTATGCAGCCTATGTGGATACATCCACTGTTACCAGGGTACAACAGTTGATCTTTTCCCTTAAATTTACCCAAAAGAGTGAAGACTTAGGTTGCACCAACACCTGTATACAAATGTTTACAGCCATATTCACCACTGCCTAAAACTAGAAACAATCCAGAAATCCATCAGTTGGTGAATGGATGAACAAATTATGATTCTTTCATACTCTAGAATATTACTCAGTAATAAGAAGGAACAAAGTACTGACAAAACACAATAACACTGATGATTTTCAAATGTATTAGGACTTCTAGTACCAAGAAGTCAAACACAAAAGGCTATATACTACATAATGCCCCTTATATGGCATTCTGGAAAAGGCAAAAACTAGAGGGACAGAAAATATATCAGTGTTTACCAAAGGCTAGTAGTGGAGGGACAGGACTGACTACAGAGGGTACAAGGAAAATTTTACATTGTGGTGGTTACATGACTATGTAAGTTTATTGTAATTCATAAACCTTTACACCTAAAAAGGGTGACTTGTACCATATATGTATTAAAACTCAATAAACCTGACTTTAAAAATCAAATGAGAAAAAATTCATGTTGTAAATGATTCAAAACAAAGCTGTTACCTCATCCAAATTTTCTACAAAGTATATTACTTAAGAAGAAAAAAGCAAAACTATGTTCCTTGCATGAATTATGCAAATATGAAAAGTACTGCAAAACTTTACAGAACATAAATGTCACCAAAAAATCAAATAGGAAAAAACTTGCAAGGTAAATTTACATGTAATTATATCCTACTTATAAAATAATTCAAGGCCAGGCATGGCGGCTGACAGGTGTAATCCCAGCACTTTGGGAAGCCAAGGCAGGAGAATTGCTTGAGCCCAGGTGTTCCAAGACCAGCCGGAGCAACATAGTGAGATCCCATTTCTAACAACAACAACAAAAAAAATTAGCTGGGCATGGTGGCACAAGCCTGTAGTCCCAGCTACTTTGGGAGCTGAAGTGTGAAGACTGTTTGAGCTTGGGAGTGCAAGCTGCAGTGACCCATAATCGTGCTACTACACTCCAGCCTGAGTGACAGAGTGAGACCCTGTCTCAAAAAATAAAATAAAATAAAGTAATAAAATAAAAATAATTCAGTGCATAGGCTCTTGCATATTCAAGTCTGTATTTCTTACATTCAGCAACTATTTAATGAGTGGCTAGTATATGGAGAACATCCTACGGCTAATGGGAAAATATAGAAATTTTTAAGAAATGACTCCATCTTCTAGGAGCTTCGTATCTGGAAGGAAACACAAAGTAAATGAAAAATCCAAAATAGAATGTGTTGCCCTACATGCTACCTCATGAATCCAATCTATTAACCAATCCCATAAAAATTCAACCATAAGCTATCAAAAGTCTACAACTAGGCCAGGCACGGTGGCTTACGCTGTAATCCCAGCACTTTGGGAGGCCGAGGCGGGCGGATCACCTAAGGTCAGGATCTCGAGACCAGCCTGGCCAATACGGTGAAACCCCGTCTCTACTAAAAATACAAAAATTAGCCAGGCGTGGTGGCGTGCACCTGTAATCCCAGCTACTCAGGAAGCTGAGACAGGAGAATTGCTTGAACCCAGGAGGCAGAGGTTGCAGTAAGCTGAGATCGCACCACTGTACTCCAGCCTGGGCGACAGAGACTCTGTCTCAAAAAAAAAAAAAATCTACAACTAGCCTAATGTAACTTTCAGAATATTCACAAGGTAGAGTCAAATGGTGTCTAGACTGGCTTTGTCTTCTCTATTGTTTTTTTCCCAGAATCTCTGGACAGTGAGTAGGGTGCTGCAAAATGGATTTGGGGTGGGTGTAAGCAAATCACAGCATATTCATCCACCAAATATATTTCATCCACCAAAAGATTACCTTACACACCCTGAAACTGCATACTATTAAATTCCCTGCATTTTAAAAGAAAAAGTAACACCAAAAGCACCTCATGCTCAAAAATATCTCTACTACATATTTTACACATAAGTAAACCAATTTGGTTTATATATTATTCTCTGGGTGAGAAAAGATGACTCTAAATAAAGTAAACCTATCATACATTCTCACATTACCCATACCAAGGTAAGAAGAAAAAGTAAATGAGGCTGGGCACGATGGCTCACACCTGTAATCCCAGCACTGTGGAAGGCCAAGGCGGGTGGATCACTTGAGGTCAGGAATTCGAGACCAGCCTGGCCAACATGGAGAAACCCTGTCTTTACTAAAAATACAAAAATTAGCTGGGTATGCTGACACATGCCTGTAGTCCCAACTACTCAGGAGGCTGAAGCAGGAGAATTGCTTGAACCCAGGAGCCGGAGGTTGTAGTGAGCGAAGATCACGCCACTGCACTCTAACCTGGGCAAAGGAGTGAGACTCCATCTCAAAAAAAAAAAAAAAGAAAGAAAAAAGAAAAGAAAAAATAAATGAACAGTTTATTAATTAATTATTTTGGTAAAGAGCAATTTTGAACCAGGAAGCTCTTCAAGGAAGGGTGAAATGAGGTGAGACTGGATTTCCTGGATCAATAACGGAAATTATGAGGTCACTTAAGTTCCTTGGACAAGAAGGTGTAGGAAGTGTACAAATGACAAAATGTTTAAAAGAGCAAGGGGCTCAAATATAAATTAGCCTGTTTTTGCAATCTTGTCAAAGGTCTTGAAGATGACTGATTTGTCACTGAAAATCTATTCACCAAATGTCTCTGCTGAGAGTTAGGGACTAATTTCTTGAGGAATGGTAAGCCTTGATCAATTTCAAATGAGTTGAGTCATCTTAATCTATGGGGAATTCAGTCTCCCAAATTCTACTCAGTCTCCTTACTCTCAACTGACCTCTTTCTCCTTCATTCTAGGTATTCTAAGATTCTCCCATTTGCAAGAACATACAGAACTCGACCTATAAATATAACCAACCTCCTCCCAATATAGTATATGACATCCATTTAAAAAAAAGTCAAGCCCAGCATCCTTAAAAGGTTCTTTTAAAGGTACAGAATATAGAACATAAACCCATTTCTACAAAAATATTGATATATAGTTGTGCATACAAAAAATATTTAAAAGTATGAGTACCAGATATATATTCAAGATGATCGGGCAATTTTCCATTTCTTTCATAATACCTACTTGTATTCTCCAATAATTTTTCAACAATGAGCATGTATTCTAATGATTTTTATTAAATAAAAATTTTAAATCTTTGTATCATTTTGGTAATTACTTTTGATGAAACTGACTGATAATATTCCCTTGTAAACCTCTCATGAAGTTTTTAGTGAACTCTGGGAGTATCCACATTGATTAAGAGAAGAAAAGGAAAGCTACTAATATGTCTCCTATTGTTCAAAAATATTTCAGGTAAAAATTTAAGGTAAGTTCTTAATTTCTTCTCTTTTGAATAAATCCATATTATGGGATGATTCTACTCTTAATCCAAACAATAAGATTTTACTATGCATCTATGTGAACTGTCACTCACAAAAATCAGTAACTTTTATCTAACAAAAAGAAAAACGTACATATCAACAAGTTGGCTTTTCAGATTTCAGGGAAGTAACAAATAGGGAGTTATTTCATCTACCAAAACATTAAGACAACTATATTGTAATAAAAATTCTTCTATTTGTAAAAACGTAGATTCCAAGTTAACCAAAACATTTTTAATTCCTGGACACCTTCAAACATATTAGGCATTATATGTGTAATTTTTGTTTTTTTGAGACAGAGTCTTGCTCTGTCGCCCAGGCTGGAGTGCAATGGCATGATCTTGGCTCACTGCAACCTCCGCTTCCCAGGTTCAAGTGATTCTCCCATCTCAGCCTCCCAAGTAGCTGGGACTACAGGCACACGCCACCATAGCCAGCTAATTTTTGTATTTTTAGTAGATACGCGGTTTCACCATGTTGGCCAGGATGGTCTGGATCTCCTGATCTCGTGATGTGCCTGCCTCGGCCTCCCAAAGTGCTGGGATTACAGGCGTGGGCCACCGTGCCCGGCCTAGGTGTGTATATTAATAAATGAAGAAAAACGCAGGTCTTACATGTATCTCAAAAAAAAGTCTCTACCAACTACTAAATCCTTTGTATAGGCAAGAAATAAAATTGATCTGATAAATATCAGCAAACTGTAGTTATACCTGTTTATCATATTTTAGAAAAAATATTGACTATCCCATTTTCTAGAGGTTAGAATAATGAAACTATCTAAATTTTTATTAAAAATGACTCTTAGGGGGCCAGGCACGGTGGCTCACGCCTGTAATCCTAGCACTTTGGGAGGCCGAGGTGGGTGGGTCATCTGGGGTCAGGAGTTTGAGACTAGCCTGGCCAACATGGCAAAACCCCATCTCTACCAAAAATACAAAAATTAGCTGGGCGTGTTGGCACGTGCCTGTAATCCCAGCTACTCGGGAGGCTGAGGCAGGACAATCACTTGAACCCGGGGGACGAAGGTTGCAGTGAGCTGAGATCGCGCCACTGCACTCCAGCCTGGGCGACAGAGTGAAACTCTGTGTCAAAAAAAAAAAAAAAAAAAGAACACTGAGCAAAAACACTTATTACACATGATAAACAGATTTTTTTCTACTTTATAGGCAAAAATTACATTTCCACACAATAAAATGAGTGTTGGGTTAGTTAACTCGAGCTAGTGGCTAAGACATGATGCTATAATAAGGCTAAATTGGCCAGGTGCGGTGGCTCACGCCTGTAATCCCAACACTTTGGGGAGGCCAAGGCAGGTCGATCATCTGAGGCCAGGAGTTCCAGACCAGCCTGGCCAAAATGGGGAAATCCCGTCTCTACTAAAAATACAAAAATTAGCCAGGCATGGTGGTACACACCTGTAGTCCCAGCTACTTGGAAGGCTGAGGCAGAAGAATCGCTTGAACCCAGGAGGCGGAGGTTGCAGTGAGCAGAGATCGAGATCGCGCCACTACACTCTAGCCTGGGCGACAGAGTGAGACTCTGTCTCAGAAAAAAAAAAAAAAAAAAAAGGCTAAATTGACCATTTGATCACTGATCCTGTGAATTAACTTTCATCTACTGCAGGGTCCAGGCAGCATCAAAACCCCTGCTGGTCAACCAAATGTACAGCTGGATCAGCACAAATCCACTGTCACCACGTTCTATTTATCAACTTTCCCAACAAATCAACAAATCATATAAGAGCTATCATCCTGAGAGTGTACCAATTATATACCTAAGGCATCCTAAAATAAATGATAATCAAAAAAGAGAAAGTGTAAAATATACTTCAGATGCTAAACTGAAGAAATAAACTATTTTAAAATCTAAGTTCATTTCTATTAAATTAATATTAATCAATATTTATGCTTTAAATTTTAAAATGTCACCACACTAAATTTTGAGTCCCATTGCTAAAACAGAGATTGATAGTAGTAACGTTTTTCTCTTTTCAACTGAAGGAAATGTATAAAATATTTAAAAAGAAAACTGCTGATGCCTTTAACCTTTCAGCTTTAATAATCCTTATCCTTTTACCTTTATATAGCAATTATAACTTAAGAGGAACTTGTACCTTCAAATTACAATAAGAAATCATCTTGCAAAAGAGAGAGAAATCTGTTTATTTTTTATTTCTTACTGGTAATAATTGCAATCCACTTTTCCACCCTCAGTTTCTCTTCTGACCTGCAACTCTTTCCCCATAATATGCTGCACAAGGCAATGGAATTACCACTTCATTCCTTTAGGTTTTGCCTCTACTAGAGATTGTGAAATCCCTCAGAACAGCATTGCTTCCTCCAGTCCTCCTTGGTACCAGCAGTGCACTACAGAGTATAAATTAACTACATGGTATTAATTTCCTCCAAGATCAGCCTCTCCTACTAGGTATGTACCATCCACCCCTCACACAGTTCTAGGCCATAAAAGACTTTCAATTTTAGCGAAAAATTGAGCAAGTGAATCTTTTTTTTTTTTTTTTTTTGATATGTAGTCTCACTCTTATCGCCCAGGCCTGAACCTCTGAATCTTTTCTACCCCACTTGTATCAGCAAAGTACATTACAAGTGGACATTTGTATTTTTTTGTATTAATCTTGCCTACATTCCTTTCCTAGTAGCCATAGTCAACTGCCTCTTTCGAAGGAACAGGTTTATACAGTGGTTCGGGTCATTCTCAAATACAAATGTTGTCTACAAGATAACAGTATGTCTAATCAAACAAAATCTCACTTCCGCGATCAACAATGTGGCCATTACAAAATTTATGAACCTATAAAATTGTAACACCTGTTTTTTAAAATTTACACTAAGACATGAAAATGCTTTCCTATATAGCTAATGTTAAGAAAGGTGCCTCACGCCTATAATCCCAGCACTTTGGGAGGCCGAGGTGGGTGGATGACTTGAAGTCAGGAGTTCGAGACCAGTCTGGTCAACATGGTGAAACCCCATCTTTACTAAAAATACAAAAATTAGCCGGCTGTGGTGGCGGGCGCCTGTAGTCCCAGCTACTCGGGAAGCTGAAGCATGAGAATTGCTCAAACCTAGGAGGCCGAGGTTTCAGTGAGCCGAGATCGCGCCACTGCACTCCAACCTGGACTACAGAACGAGGTTGTGTCTCAAAAAGAAAAGAAAAAAGAAGGATCCCTGGAGAGATGGAGGTGGGAGCAAGAAAAAAGGAAAAAAAAAAAGACTGTGAAGAAACAGTTTAACATATTGCTTCCATTTCCATCTTTATCCCAAGAGAATTTAAACGGGAAAGAAAAAAAATGGAGGCAGAACCCATAATTCAAAATAACCATAAAAAAAAAAGCAAAAGATTTTAGATTTTGCAAACTGTGCCTTTTAACCTGCTATCCTTTCAAGTAATTTTTAAAGAAGGATTTTTTTAATCCACAGAATATTTTGCTTCATCCAGGAGCAGCTGGATCTCATACCATCCGGTATCCCCCGCCTCCATACACACGCCCCTACCACTATCAGCCCTTGAGCCAAACGATCCATCACGGTAAAAAAAAAAAAAAAAAAAAAAAATTAAACCAGGAGGTTCATCTTCCCAATTCTCTCTAAGAAACAGTCATAGTCTGTCCTCCTCCCACCCCCAGGAAAACTGCCTATTCTAACAGAACTAGGAGGGAGGGGGGAATCAGCTCATCATCCTTCTCCATAGGGAAAAAAATGGCATTAACTTCCAACAAGAAACTGCTGCTCTTCTACCGTATCCCCTTTAGAACATAAAATATTAAGAAAGGGTTTCTGAAGCATTCACAGGAACAGAAAACTGAAGCCTGAAGCACTTCACTCTGCAGCAAGATAACCCCTTAAAAATCATCCAGAATTTGGGGGATGGAGGTAACCCGTCAACACCCGCGACACCCCTACCCTAAGGTGGGGAGCAGGATTCCGTCAAACAGAAAATGCCACTCTCCGCCCCCTCCGCCATCCGGAACGCTGACCGGCGCGGAGTGCGGGGGCGGCCGAGGGCGGGAGCGGCGAGGAGGCGGGACGCGACACACGCACCACGCCGAGAACTGCTTCACCGCTTTTTTAAAGGTTTTTAAAATGCAGTTTCTCCAGCCGGAGAATTCCCACCCATTCACCAGCCCCAGCCCTCACCCAGCTCCCCACCCCCATCGGGGGCTCCGCTGGGCCGTGTCCCCGAGGCGGCCTCGGCCCCACGCCCCGAGGCGCGCGGCCCCCGGCGGGGGGGTCCCCGACGCGGCCCAGCTGGGGATGCTTCGCACCTGTATGTAGTTGTTCTCGCAGTAATCGGCCACCCGTTCCAGATTTGTGTAGCTGTCGAAGAGGGCCCGGCGGCCCCCCGGGATTTCCTCTTCCAGCAGCATCTGCAGCTCCGCCATCTTCACATCCTCCTCCTCCTCCTCCTCATACAGGTCGCAGAGGGAGCGGCGGCCGCAGCGCCAAGGAAACCCAGGACCGGGAGAGGAGGAGCGGCGGCGACGGCGGCGGTAACTCGGAAGGAGCGAGAAACAGCCCCAGCGCGCGACAGGGGAGGGGGCGACGGGGGCGGGGCGCGAGCCGACGGACTCCGAGGACGGTCACCGCGGCGACGGCCGGCCGGGCGCGCGCACGCGCGCTCCCTTCCCTCCGCCCCCGGGAGCCCGAAAAAGATTCCCACCCTCGCCCGCGCCGCCGGCCCCTCCCCCACTTCCGGCGTCTCCTAGCGACGGCGGGGGTAGGGGCCGGGATGCGCGCGGGAGTTGGTGGTGCAGTTAACCCTTCCGCCGCCCGCCCGCCGCTGGAGCGGCTGGAGAAGCCCCCACCTCCCGGCGGCCTTTGTTAGCCCGGCGGGAACACACCACCCTGCTCAGCTGGCTTCCTGCCGGCTCCCTCCGGGACTCATCTCGGCTCCGTCCCCATGGAGGTCATCGGCCTAGGGAACTTCTCGAGGCTTTTCTCCCTCTGCTGCTGACGGGAGGCCGAAGGAGGGCACAGCCTCCACTCTTGGGACCCTCCTCTGTGAAAGATCACACCTCAACAGGGCAGGAATAAAACTTCCACGCAGCTTTCAATGCCACCTGACTTCATTTTTCTCAGATTTGACCTCATCCTCTTTGTTGCAGTGAATTGCAGTTTCCTAACCCCAGCTTTCCTGCGCCCCTGCCTCTTTGCACTTCCCCACTAACGCTGTTCTCCCCTGCCAGATTAGCCCCTTTCTCTCCTGGTTTGCGGTGCCGTGGGCCTCAGCTTTTTATGTTTGCCATTTCTATGATTCGCTTCCTCACTCATAACCTTTTCTGTCATTTCTCTAATGCTATCAACTTCGCTGTCCTTTTTCCTATTCATGGATTCAGTATTTAAAATTTTGAAAACGATTTTGCTAGTAGTAATTGCCTTCTTCACAGGGCTGTTACATAGATAAAATCAACGTTTATTGTGAAAATACCTTGAAAAAACATTAAGTGCTACAAAAATTCAAGGCAGATAATTTTCCTCTTGCAGAGTTATAATTCTGTTTTTATTCTCCAGATACTGTGTCTTGTTTTCCTAAATCAGACTACCCCACACAATGTAATCTGGAAAAACTAAAACTCCTGACCATTGCTGAGATATGAAGCCATGACCTTTATTTGTGCTGTGGAAAATCAAAGTTGATTCCAGGCAGTACCATCTTAGACTTGTGTAGTTAGAACAAGATCCATTGTTTCAACACTTTTCTTAATCTGGTGATCTCTTGGCCCTCCTACAGTGAATTTTTTTCATTCAGATGATGAGGAAACTTATACTTTCAAAAAAAAATCACTTTAGGACGGGCGCGGTGGTTCACGCCTGTAATCCCAGCACTTTGGGAGGCCGAGGCGGGCGGATCACGAGGTCAGGAGATCGAGACCATCCTGGCTAACACAGTGAAAACCCGTCTCTACTAAAAATAAAAATAAAAAAATTAGCTGGGCATGGTGGCGGGCGCCTGTAGTCCCAGCTACTCGGGAAGCTGAGGCAGAAGAATGGCGTCATCCTGGGAGAAGAGCTTGCAGTGAGCGGAGATCGTGCCACTGCACTCCAGCCTGGGCGACAGAGCGAGACTCCGTCTCAAAAAAAAAAAAAATCACTTTAATACCATATCATTACAAATATCTGGAGCAAACCCTAATGTTATATTGGCTTCATGATACATACATTAGCAGAATGTATGAGTTTTCACTGTGGAACCTAAATTAAAGGATATTGAAAATGTTGGTCTAGTCCAACTAGTTTTATTCTTAAGCACTTTAACCATCTTCTGTAGTAGTGGTTCTCAAACTTCAGTGTGAGGAGCTTGTTAAAAATGAAAGCTGCAGGGTCACACACACTAAGATTCATTAGTTTGAGAGCATGAGTGATGGAAATGAGTAGTTATTTAAATGACACATCAACTTGCTTCAGTGAATACGACATATGAATAATCAAGTGAATAAAACAAATGTTAGATGAAGCAAACTTTTCTTTCAGACTAAACTTCAATAGATCAAAAAATAATGTTGAAGAAGCTCATCAGGTGAGTTAAATGGTAGACAGACTCTTCCCCTATCATTACTTATTCCCACCCAGCATTTTTTCAACTATGGCTTAGCAATTAGCCTAATAAACAAATTTCCCTCTGGGATGTTTCGTCATTCTAGAAATTACCTAGAAAAGATTCTAGTATTTTCTCTAATTAGTGACAATCTCTTTGGACCTAGTTTCCTTATCAAGAAATCAAAGGGTGAGGCCGGGCACGGTGGCTCTCGCCTGTAATTCCAGCACTTTGGGAGGCCGACACAGGTGGATCAGCTGAGGTCAGGAGTTCGAGACCAGCCTGGCCAACATGGTGAAACCCCGTCTCTACTAAAAATACAAAAATTAGCTGGGTGTGGAAGCGGGTGCCTGTAATCCCAGCTACTCAGAAGGCTGAGGCTGGAGAATCGCTTGAACCAGGGTGGCGTAGGTTGCAGTGAGCCGAGATCGCGCCACTGCACTCCAACCTGGGCGACGGAGGCTCTGTCTCGAAAAAGAAAGAGAAATCAAAGGGTGAAACTCAGGTCAGGAATTCTGAAACTTGAGTGTGGTTTGGAATCACCTGGAGGGCTTTCTAAACCAGATTGCTGGACCACACCTCCAGAGTTCTTTATTCAGTTGGTCTGGCCCAATTTATTAATGTAGGTTTAACAAGTTCCCAGCTGATGCCTATGAAACGGCCCTTCTGGCTCAAAAAGTCTATGATTCCAATTTCTGGCAGCTGGGAAACTCCATCTAGAGAGGTGCTTTGTACACAGCAGAATCTGAGATGCAAGGACATAAACAAAACACTTTGCTGCCACCAAGATTGATTAAGCAAAAAAGGATAACTACAAAATCTGTAAAAGAGTATATAGTTATTAGGTTCAAGGATGAGATTGTGTACCTCATGAAAATCTTCCACTACTTCTCCATTGTTTAAGCTGATGAAGGTAATTGAAATCTGTTCAATTTTACAGTTTTTCAGATGAACTGATATGATAAAAGTGCATTTTCAAGCCCTTAGAGAGTTACAATTATAATAGTTGTACACACTTCACATGAACTTCTTATAAACGTAAATAAGCAAACTCATTGCTCTAAGAAGCCATATTTAAGAGCTTTAGTACAAGAAGATTTTCAAAATTATACAAATCTAATATACCCATGTATGAGGTTGTGAAGTTATAACCCATCTTAAAAAAATATCTTTCTTAAATTTATTCCAGTGTTTTAAAAATTATTAGCCCCTTCTAAGTCCCATGTAATAGAAGCACATCTTACCTTTAAAAACCATAACTTCTAGCAGGACAGGGTGGCTCGTGCCTGGAGTCCTACCTACTCAGGAGACTGAGACAGGAGGATCACTTCAGCCCTGGAGTTTGAGACCAGTATGGGGCAACATAGACTTTTGTCTCTGAAAAAAAAATTAAAAATGCATAAAAACAATTAATTTTGTATATGATTTAATAGGCATCTTTTTTTTTTTACTTTTTTTTATTTTTTATTTTTAGATGAACATCTCACTCTGTCACCCAGGCTGGAGTGCAGTGGTGCAATCTTGGCTCACTGTAATCTCTGCCCCTCAGGTTCAAGCAATTCTCTTGCCTCAGCCTCCCTAGTAACTGGGACTACAGGCACCCGCCACCACGCCAGGCTAATTTTTGTATTTTTGGTAGAGATGGGGTTCCACCATGTTGGCCAGGCTGATCTTGAAATCCTGACCTCAGGTGATCCGCCCACCTCGGCCTCCCAAAGTGCTAAGATTACAGGTATGAGCCACCACACACATTCAGCCTATCTCCTTTATAAGAACATGTTGCTGCTCATTTCAGGCTAAAAATGGGTCAAACAAATATCAAATTACAATATATAATCGTTATATACTGACTGACCTCCCTCATATCTTGGAAAATTCAAAATGTTCACGTATTCATCAGATAAATTCAGGATGGATGCACTATGGAGAAAAGACCAGGGAAACAATGCTCAAGGCAGACACTAGTTTGAGGATTATGAAATCAATCCAGCTAAGAAATGATGGTGATCTCCAGGGAGAGGAGATGCAAAGAAATGGATGGAGTAATAAATATTTAGTAGGTAAAATCAATACAGGTTGGTGAATGGTTAAATATGGAAGTTAATGCAAGACAGGAGTCAATGTTGGTGGTAAGATTGCTGGCTTGGGCACTTGGGTAGTTGGTGGTGCAATTTACATATAAATTACATAATATTTCACATGCCTGGAAAACCTCCAATTTACATTTATTTTCTGTATGTTTCGATCATTGTTATCAATAACACTGGCTTTTAGGACGCTGTATTAAGCTCTGTGTTGATACTATGCTACTGTCGGTAAGTTATTTAATTAAATAAAAGCCTTCAGTAGTATAGCATGTTTTGCCCTCTCAAAAGTCTTTAACAGCTGTGGAGGGAGACGGGGCAAAATTAGAGTAATTAACATGTGTTCAATGCCTACTGTGTGTCAGGCATTCATTCTGCATTTCACATAAATTAATCTTCACAACTAAATGCAAAGTAGGTTTTATGATCCTCATTTCCAGATTCAAAAACCAAGGTTTAGAGAAACAAACTAACCAAATATACTTGGAAATCAGGGAGTTAGCAATTATACCTGGTTTTGATTTTTTTCATGTTTTTCTTTTCCATTATACCATGCTAAATCACACTTCTACTTTAACTCTGTAAGTGCAGTACTTCAATAATGCACATAAACATTAATAATGCCTATTGAACATCCATTACATAACCTCTTTTAATTTAAAAAAAAAAAAAAAGGTTAATTCTGGCCAGGCACAATGGCTCACGCCTGTAATCTCAGTACTTTGGGAGGCTGAGGCGGGAGGATCACCTGAGTTCGGAAGTTTGAGACCAACCTGACCAATGTGGAGAAACCCTGTCTCTACTAAAAATACAAAATTACCCGGGCATGGTGGCACATGCCTGTAATCCCAGCTAGGGAGGCTGAGGCAGGAGAATCACTTGCATCTGGGAAGTGGAGGTTGCAGTGAGCTGAGATTGCGCCATTGCACTCCAGCCTGGGCAACAAGAGCGAAACTCTGTCTCAAAAAAAAAAAAAATTGTTAATTCCTTTCAATAGAACAACTCTTTGATACTTACAGGCATTCACTAAGTATAGGGTTTTTTTTTTTCTTCTCAAAGCTAAACACAACCAATTCTTGTATTCTTCATCAAATATTTCACAGAATTATAGAATGTACAAGTTGGAGGGCATCTTAGAGATTATCTAGGACTTACCCCAACCTTTTACCGATGTGGGAACTTAAACTAAGAAACATTGATTGCCCAAGGATACCTAGTAAGTGTGAAAACCTAAACTCAAAATCAGGAGAAAGGAACAAAATACGTTTTAGATACAAACATTATTTTTGAGCTGTTTCATGACATTTTGATGTAAATTCAGTTCTTATCCTTACAAGTAGCTGCCTCCTTCTGGGGTCTTCACCATCTTGTCAAAATCTTTAAAATGCGAACCCCAAATTGAATTCAGTATTCCATATATGAAGCAAAAATGATACCAGACAACAATCCCAATACAGTTTTTTTGGAACTTGACAACATAATTTTAAAGTTCATGTGTAAAAATAAAAACATAAGAGTATCCAGGACATTTCTGAAAAAGGATAATCCAGAAGAAAACTTGTGGTTCTAATTAATAAAAACACATAAAGTAGCCTGTAATCCCAGCACTTTGGGAGGCCAAGGTGGGCGAATCACCTAAGGTCAGGAGTTCCAGATGAGACTGGCCAACATGGCAAAACCCCGTCTCTACTAAAAATACAACAATTAACTAGGTGTGGTGGTGGGCACTTGTAATCCCAGCTACTCAGGAGGCTGAGGCAGAAGAATCACTTGAACCCGGGAGGTGGAGGTTGCAGTGAGCCAAGATTGCACACTGCACCCCAGCCAAGGTAACAGAGCAAGACTCTGTCTAAAAAAAAAAAAAAAAAAAACCATAAAGTAGAGTAAATGAAAGTATCACCAGAGTAGAATAAAAACTAAAAACTTGGCTGGGCGTGGTGGCTCACGCCTGTAATCCCAGCACTTTGGGAGGCCGAGGCAGGTGGATCATGAGGCCAGGAGATCGAGACCATCCTGACTAACATGGTGAAACCCTGTGGTGGTGGGCACCTGTAGTCCCAGCTACTCGGGAGGCTGAAGCAGGAGAATGGTGTGAACCCAGGAGGCGGAGCTTGCAGTGAGCCGAGATTGTGCCACTGCACTCCAGCCTGGGCGACACAGTGAGACTCCATCTCAAAAAAAAAAAAAAAACACTAAAAACTCAACCCTAGTAAATATAAGAATTAAATATGTGATCAACGTGACATTTCAAATCAAAGGGAAATAAAGAGTACTAGAACAACTAGATAACAGCAAAAAAAATGTTAGATTATGATATAACAATAAATACTGGGCCAGGCACAGTGACTCACACCTGTAATCCCAGCAATTTGGGAGCCCAAGCCAGGTGGATCACTTGAGCTCAAGAGTTTCAGACCAGCCTGGGCAACAGAGTGAGATCCTGTCTCTACAAAAAAAAATAGAAAAATTAGCTGGGCATAGTGGCGCACATCTGTAGTCGCAGCTACTCAGGAGGCTGAGATAGGAGATGGCTTGAGCCTGAGAGGCAGAGGTTGTAGTGAGCCGAGACTGTGCCACTGCACTCCAGCCTGGGCAACACAGCCAGACCCTGTCTCAAAAAATAATAACAAATAAATTCTGACTGAGAGAAGTGGCTCACACCTGTAATCCCAACACTTTGGGAGGCTGAGGCAAGAGAATCACTCGAGCCCAAGAGTCCAAAACCAGCCAGCCAGCCTGGACAACAAAGTAAGACCCCTGTCTCTACAAAAAGAAAAAGAAAAAGAAATTAGCCAGGCATGGTGATACACGCCTGTAGTCCCAGCTACTCGGGGAGCTGAGGTGGGAGGATCTCTTGAGCCCAGGAGGTTGAGGCTGCAGTGAGCCATGGTCTGCACCACTGCACTCCAGCCTGGGCGACAGAGCGAGACTCTGTCTCAAAATAATAATAAATAAATGCAACATAAATTCAAGATTTAAAGTTTTAAAAACACTAATAGAGGCTGAGCACAGTGGCTCACACCTGTAATCCAAGCACTTTGGGAGGCTGAGGCAGGCAGATCACTTGAGGTCAGGAGTTCAAGACCAGCCTGGCCAACATGGTGAAACCTGTCTCTACCAAAAAATACAAAAATTAGCCAGGCATGGTGGTGTGCATCTGTAGTCCCAGATACTCGGGAGACTGAGGTGGGAGAATCGCTTGAACCGGGGAGGTGGAGGCTGCAGTGAGCCGAGATCATGCCACTACACTCCAGGATGGGTGACAGAATGAAACCCTATCTCAAAAAATGAATACAAATACAAATACAAAAACTAGCCAGGCATGGTGGCACATTCCTGTAAGCCCAGCTACTAGGGTGGCTGAGGCATGATAATTTCTTGAACCCAGGAGGTAGAGGTTGCATTAAGTTGAGATTTCACCACTGCATTCCAGCCTGGGCAACAGAGCAAGATTCTGTCTCAAAAAAACTAAAAGAAAATAAAGGTAAATATATGACATTGGAAGGGAGAGGACTTTTCTAAATTATATTTTTAAAAAAAGGAAAATAAAAATGTTACACTTTCATATAATTTAAAATAGCACAAATAATTTAAAAAAGACAATCAGGAAAATGTCTGATGTTTATGATGAAGGGTTAATGTTTTTACTATATAAAGAATACATAAGAAGCTCTTAGAAATCAACAAGACAAATACCCAATAGAAAAAGGACATAAACAGGCAAATTTACGGTGGCTCACGCCGGTAAACCCAGCACTTTGGGAGGCTGAGGGGAGCGGATCACAAGGTCAGGATTTGAGACCAGCCTGACCAACATGGTGAAACCCCATCTCTACTAAAAATACAAAAATTCACGGTGGCACACGCCTGTAATCCCAGCTACTCAGGAAGCTGAGGCAGGAGAATCACTTGAACCCGGGAGGTTGCAGTGAGCCAAGATCGCACCACTGCACTCCAGGCTAGGCGACAGAGCAAGACTCCGTCTCAAAAAAACAAACAAACAAGCAAAAGGCAAATTTACAAAATAAGAAATACAAATAGTCAGTAAATGTAACTAAAAAAGGTTTGATACCCCAATTATCAAAGAAATGCAAGTAAAATAAAAAGATAACATTTCTCACCTATCAGATTGACAAAGATTACAAAGAATGACAATTATGACAATACCAACCATATATATTCATGAATTTGATATAACCTTTCTGAAAGGCAATTTGTAAATGTATAGTGTGTGTGCGTATAATCTGAACGGCCGAATTGTAGGGGTTTTTTAGTTTTACTCATCTTAATTTCTCTAAAATGAACGTAAATTATTTTTCTACAAGTCCAGTGAGACTTTTATCTCCCCAAATTAGAAAGGATTTCTTTCTTTTTTTTTTTTTTTTTTGTGAGACGGAGACCCACTCTGTCGCCAGGCTGGAGTGCAGTGGCGCAATCTCGGCTCACTGCAATCTCCGCCTCCTAGATTCAAGCAATTCTCCTGCCTCAGCCTCCCGAGTAGCTGGGACTACAGGCTATGCACCACCACAGCCAGCTAATTTCTTTCTTTCTTTTCTTTTTTTTTTTTTTTGAGATGGAGGCTCGTTCCGTTGCCAGTCCGGAGTGGAGTGGCACGATCTTGGCTCACTATAACCTCCACTTCCCAGGTTCAACTGATTCTCCTGCCTCAGCCTCCCAAGTAGCTGGGATTACAGGTGCCTGCCACCACGCCCGGCTAATTTTTTGTATTTTTAATAGAGACGGGGTTTCCCCATGTTAGCCAGGATGGTCTCGATCTCCTGATCTCGTCATCTGTCCACCTCGGCCTCCCAAAGTCCTGGGATTACAGGCGCGAGCCACCGTGCCCAGCCAGAAAGGATACTTTTATTAATGCAACCCAAGATGACTTTTTTTTTTTTAGTAATTTTATCATCAACTTGATTTAAGTTATCTGTTAGCTATTACACAGTACTCAGGATAAATGCACACAGAGCTTTTTATTAAAAGATGATGTGATTGGCCAGGTGCGGTGGCTCATGCCTGTAATCCCAGCACTTTGGGAGGCCAATGCAAGCAGATTCCTTGAGCTCAGGAGTTTGAGAAGCCCTAGCAACATAGTGAGACTCCGTCTCTACATAAAATAGAAAATTAGCCAGGTGTGGTGGTGCATGCCTCTAGTCCCCACTACTAGGGAGGCTGAGATGGCAGGATCACTTGAATCCAGAAGTTTGAGGCTGCAGTGAGCTATGATCATGCCACTGCCCTCCAACCTGGGCAACAGTGAGATCCTGTCTCTTAAAAAAAAAAAAAAAAGACCAAATTACTTAAAAAAAAAAATCCTTACTCTGCAATACAGCTGTGCAATACAGGATTCCATGCTTTATAGCTGTGTGAATTCAATTTGTTTTTGCAGGAAGGGTTTCTTTTTTTTTTTTTTTTTTTTTGAGACAGAGTCTCACCCTGTTGCCCAGGCTGGAGCCACGATCTTGGCGCACTGCAACCTTCACTTCCCAGATTCAAGTGATTCTCATGCCTCAGCCTCCCCTAGTAGCCAGGATTACGGGTGTGCACCACCACACCTGGCTAATTTTTGTATTTTTAGTACAGATGGGGTTTCACCATTATGGCCAGGCTCGTCTCAAACTCCTGAACCCAGGTGATCTGCCCACCTCAGCCTCCCAAAGTCCTGGGATTACAGGCATAAGCCACCGTGCCCAGCCACGATATTTTTGTTTTATGAGTCAAGGTCTCACTTTGTCACCCAGGCTGGAGGACAGCGGCCTGATCTTGGCTCAGTGCAGCCTTGACCTTTCGGCCTCAAGTGATCCTCCAATCTAAGCCTCCTAAGTAGCTGGCACTACAGGCGCGCATCTGTATTTTTGCAGAGACAGACTCTCGCTATGTTGCCCAGGATTCTCAAACTCCTGAGCTCAAGTGATCCTCCCACCTTGGCCTCCCAAAGGGCCGGGATTACAGGTGTGAGCCACCACACCCGGCCTTTTCTCTTTATTATGAAAGTACAAACATACAAGTATGGAGAATGATATAATGAATAAACATTAATTTGTGACATGTGACAATGTCTTCCATTTTTACCTTACCTTCTCATCTTATTCTTATGCTAAAGAATTTTAAAGATAATTACAGTAATCAGGACATTTAACCACTACATCCTTTAGTACATATCTCTAAAAAACAAGGATATTTTGCTACGTAATCACAATATCTTTTTTTTTTTTTTGAGATGGAGTCTTGCTTTGTAGCTCAGGCTGGAGTGCAGTGGCGTGATCTTGGCTCACTGCAACCTCTGCCTCCTGGGTTCAAGCGATTCTCCTGCCTCAGCCTCCCGAGTAGCTGGGATTACAGGCACACACTACCATGCCCAGCTAATTTTTATATTTTTAGTAGAGATGGGGTTTCGCCATGTTGGCCAGGCTGGTCTCAAACTTCTGACCTCAGATGATCCGCCCGCCTCTGATTCCCAGAGTGTTGCGATCACAGGCGTGAGCCACCGTGCCTGGCCACAATATCATTTTTATATCCAACAAAACCAACTATAATTCCCTCATATTATCCACTACCACAATAGAAGACATTTTTCAAGAAGAAACTACTCTTTTTGGAAAAAGATAACAATTGTTATCTCACACAGTTTCTGAGAATCAGGAATCTGGGAGCAGCTCCTCTGGGTGGTGTGGCTCCAAGTCTCTCATAAGGGTGTAACTGCAACCTCCACTTCCTGGGCTCAAGCTATTCTCCCTCCTCAGCCTCCTGATTACAGGGATTACACGGTGCATGCCATCATCCCTGGCTAATTTTTGTATTTTTTCTTTTGGTAGAGATGGAGTCTATGTTGCGCAGGTTGGTCTCGAACTCCTGACCTCAAGTGACCAGCCCACCTCGTCCTCCCAAAGTGTTGGAATTATAAGCGTGAGCTACCACACCCGGCCGAAAATTACTCTTATAAAGAAGAGAGTACAGGCACGGTGGCTCACGAGGGGGACAGATCCATTGATCTCAGGAGTTTTTAAGACCAGCCTGGACAACATGGCAAAACCCTTTCTGTACAAAAAATACAAAAATTAGCCAGGCATTGGTGGCTTGGATCTGTAGTCTCAGCAACTCGGGAGGCTGAGGCGGGAGGATCACTTGAGCTGGATAAATTGAGGCTGCAGTGAGCCATGATCCTGATGGAGCCACTGCTCTCCAGCCTGGCAACACAGCAAGACCTTGTCTCAAAACAAAAAACAAAAAACAAAAAAGGCCTGGCGCGGTGGTTCACGCCTATAATCCCAGCACTTTGGGAGGCTGAGGCACGCAGATCATGAGGTCAGGAGATCGAGACCATCCTAGCTAACATAGTGAAACCCTGTCTCTACTAAAAATACAAAAAAATTAGCTGGGCGTGGTGGTGTGCACCTGTAGTCTCAGCTACTCGGGAGGCTGAGGCAGGAGAATGGCGTGAACCTGGGAGGCAGAGCTTGCAGTGAACTGAGATCGTGCCACTGTTCTCCAGCCTGGGCGACAAAGCGAGACTCTGTCTCAAAAAAAAAAAAAGAGAGAGAAGACACACTGTATACCCAGAACACAACCTGAAGGGATTATATTGTAATATTTTGTAATCTATAGTGGTTTCCTTATCAGCAATGCCAAAATAAAGAGCTCCCTTCTTTGTAAACGATAAAGAGACTAAAATTTTTTAAACATGAAACCATAAGAGAGTGGACAGTGTAAATTTTAAATTATGCACCATAATGTAGTTCTATGTATAGCAATGGGGTAGGCTGGGTGCTGTGTCTCACGCCTGTAATCCCAGCACTTTGGGAGGCAGAGGCGGGTGGATCACTTCAGGTCAGGATTCGAGACCAGCCTAACCAACATGGTGAAACCTTGTCTCCACTGAAAATACATTAAAAAAAAAAGAAAAGAAAGAAAGAAAATTAGCTGGGTGTGGTGGCTCACGCTTGTAATCCCACCTTCTCAGGAGGCTGAGGCAAGAGAATTGCTTGAACCCGGGAAGTGGAGGTTGTGGTGAGCCGAGATTGCGCCACCACACTCCAATCTGGGTGACAGAGGAAGACTCCATCTCAAAAAAAAGAATGGGGTAGCTAGCTGGGTGCGGTAGCTCAGGCCTGTAACCCTAACACTTTGGGAGACAGACTGGGGAGGATCACTTGAGTCCAGGAGTTTGAGACCAGCCTGGGTAATAGAGTGAGACCCCAGTCTCTACAAAAAATAAAAAAATTAGGCAGGCTTGGTGGCATGTGCCTGTTGTCTCTGTTACTGGGGAGGCTGAAGCAGGAGGATCACTTGAACCCAGGGAGTTGAGGCACTGCAGTGAGCCATGATCCCACCTCTGGGCGGCAGAAAAAGACCCCATCTCAAAAAAAGAAAAAGAAAACGAGAGGCCCGTGGATCTCATCGAAGATGGCAGCGCAATCTGTGTCCGGCATTACCAGAAAAGTCTTCATGTGGACAGTCTCAGGGGCACCACATACAGAATTTTGGTCTCGATCCAGAAAATAGAAAGAGCCAGTGGTTGCTGAGACAGTACAAGAGGTGAAAAAGGAATCTATCCTCAGTGTGTCTACCCTCACAAAGCCGAGCATACACACAACCTGAAGATCTCCAGAGTTGTTTGGAATCTTATGTTAAAGAAGTTTTTGGTTCATCTCTTTCTAGTAATTGGCAAGACATCTCCCTGGAAGATGGTCATCTACGGTTCAATCTCTTGGCACATTTAGCTGATGGCTTGGGTCATGTAGTCCCTAACTCCAGACTCCACCAGATATGCAGGGTTAGAGATGTTCTTGATTTTCTATAATGTCCCTATTCAAGATAGATCTAAATTTGATGAACTCAGTGCCAGTAATCTGCCCCCCAATTTGAAAATCACTTGGAGTTACTAAGCAATTTGGAAGAGAAACACATTAACATCACTTTTTTTTCCCTGAGCAAGGGGGCTACTTATTAGACCTTTTGATACTTCACCATGTGAAATACTACCAGAACTGTTCTCTAAACCCACTTTTTCTATGGAGGAATGTATCATCTCTTTTTTTTCTCATATTATGAGTGGACAAATAACAGGACTTTCTATTTTCATATTTGCTGAAACCTTTTTTTATTTTTATTTTTGAGACAGAGTCTTGCTCTGTCGCCCAGGCTGGAGTGCAGTGGTGCGATCTCAGCTCACTGCAACCTTTGCCCCCTGGGTTCACGCCATTCTCCCGCCTCAGCCTCCCAAGTAGCTGGGAGTACAGGTGCCCACAACCACACCCAGCTAATTTTATTTTTGTATTTTTAGTAGAGACAGGGTTTCACTGTGTTAGCCAGGATGGTCTTGCTCTCCTGACCTCGTGATCCGCCTGCCTCAGCCTCCCAAAGTGCTGGGATTACAGGCGTGAGCCATCGTGCTCAGCCTGCTGAAACTATTTTTTAAATGAAATTAGGTCATTAATAATTTATGAAAAGTTTTGAGAGGACACTGTCATTAACTTGGGTTTAAGACAGGAGGACATTGCAAGCTCACACCCTTCATAGGCATAAAGTAGTAGTTGCAAGAAAATATTTTTATCCTGTTAGGACTCATATCTAAGATAGAGTTATTATACATTGCACATATACAAATAAGCTTGTATTAGATACCTATAAAAGAAACATAAAAGTATGTTGTATATTACTGACCATCCTAGATTAATTTCTTTTGGAATTAAAGTAGATTTGTTAAAGTGAAAAAAAAGAAAGAAAAGAAAAGAAAAAAGAATAGGATAGAAAATGTATCTTTCAAAAATAGTTTATTTATATTTAAATTTGTATTTATTTATTTTTTTAGAGACAGGGTCTTGCTCTGTCTCCCAGGCTAGAGTGTAGTGGTGCCATTTTAGCTCACTGCAGCCTCAAGCTCCTGGGTGATCCACCCACCTCATTCTCCTGCCCTAGCCTCCCAAGTAGCTGGGTCTGCAGGCACGAGCCACTGTGTCTAGCCTATTCATATTTTTGTTTTAAATTATGTTGAAGATTTTCTTAAACTTCAAGCTTCAAAATGTATTAACTGGGTTTTTATTACTGAAAAGTATACTAACCTTCATTTAATAATATGAATTACAGAGTTTGAAATGTAATAGTTTTTCTGATTACACATTAATACCATTAGAACCTGATGCTAAATATTAACTGACCTATCAAATTTATAATTTTCAAACCTTGCTAATTTTTTAAAAAACAATTTGTTTCTTGTCCATTGCAATAATATTGCAAACAAAGAGATTATACTTTGACAAAATTGCTAACTGAATACTATGATGCTTGGTAATAATGTCTCATTTATGTAGTGCAAGGTTGATAAGAATAAGGGTATTCTTGGCCACCAATTGCTATTTTCATGAAATAGAATACAGAAGAGGTTAACAGCAAACAAAAACTGATTCATGATTTTATCAAAGTTATTTCATGTATCCTCTTGGAAGGAAAGGAGTAGAACAGAATAATCTTGATATTTTAAAATGGCAGGGAACACTGAATTTAACTACAATTAAAATATTTCAGTAGGATTTCTTCCTTCCTCCTCCACAGGAATTAACAATATATATTTCTCACAGATTTCTGTTAACTACTTCTATTATCTAAATGTCTACCCATATGACTAAGTGAATGATTCATATCACTGAAATATTTCATAGGGTTTTATAATGATATTTCAGGGGAAAACATCATTTTAACTTCCAGCAGAAAATTTTCTGGCAATTATGGTTAATATACAGGAAAGTAAGAGTTTCATGAGTGAAATGGTTTAAGAAAAGAGATTTTTAGTGTATTAGAATTCTTTTGTCAGGGTGTGGTGGCTCACACCTGTAATCCCAGCACTTTGGGAGGCCAAGGCGGGGGGATAGCTTGAATCCAGGAGTTCCAGACCAGCCTGGACAACATGGTGAAACACTGTCTCTACAAAAAATACAAAAACTAGCCAGGCATGGTGGCTTGAGCCTGTAGTCCCAGCTACTCAGGAGGCTGAGGTGGGAGGATCACTTGAGCCCTGGAGGTTGAGGCTGCAGTGAGCAATGATCATGCTACTGCACTCCAGCCTAGGCGACAGAGTGAGAGACCATGTTTCAAAATATATATATATATATATATATATATATATATATATATACTTTTGCAAGTTTAATAAATGTGTATTATGAAATTGTTTTTTTCTTTTTTTACAAAAAGATTGGCATCTATTCATTGCCTATTTTGTAAAGAATTGTAAGACATTCTAGAGAGATTTAAACCACTTAAAAGAAAAATCGTGAATGAGACATTTATGGATATTTGCAAGAACAACTAGCATACAACCAAGAAGGATAGCCCTCAGAAACCACCGAGTCACAAGTACCATGCCCTCTAAAGTCAGACATGTCCGGGGGCCAATTATACTCCAATCAACATAGTTGCTCAAATTCCACTTCTCAGAGGGACACTGTGCTTGGGGTTTAATGCTTTGGGGGCACTGTCTTTAAATTTTTTTTTTTTTTTTTTTGGACAGAGTCTTGCTCTGTCGCCCAGGCTGGAGTGCAGTGGCTGATCTCAGCTCACTGCAAGCTCCGCCTCCCGGGTTCAAGCAATTCTCTTGCCTCAGCCTCCCAAGTAGCTGGGATTATAGGCATGCACCACCACGCCTAGTTAATTTTTTTATTTTTAGTAGAGACGGGGTTTCACCATGTTGGCCAGGCTGGTCTTGAACTCCTGACCTCATGATCTGCTCACCTCAGCCTCCCAAAGTGCTAGGATTACAGGCATGAGCCACCACACCCGGCCGGCTTTAAATTCTTAATAATTTCATTTTTGAATTTGTGTTTTGTAAGTGAAGTCCAATGGGACCATGGAGCATGCACCAGGGACTCGGAGCCCACCTGCATGCCTTCCCCTACAGGTTCTCAGTGACTAGCTGCCTGCTCCTTGGTGCCCTGATCCCCACCCAGCCTTCCTCTCCCCAGCTCTGCTCACTACTACAACCACTATTGCCTTCTGCTCTGAGCAGTCATTGGATTACATTGGCAGGAGAGTGGAGGGGAGGCTCACTTTTCCCTGTGGTCACCCTCAGCCTCCGGTGGGGATCTGGGTGAAGTTTGGAGGGGGCCCACAAGCAGTCTGTTTTGGAGAATTTTCAGGAAAGGCAAGGAAACATCTGCTTTGGGCTGGCAGCACCACAGCATGTTCACCATGTGACTGGCAGGGCTCTTTAGACCACCCCAGTCAGTAAAGTGTCCCAGTGCAGGAGATTTCAGTTCCTTGGGGTTGCATACACCAAAGGTTGAAAAGGCAGGGCCATGAGAAGAGGAGATTTCCTCCTCGACTAGGTCTCACAAATTATATAGCCAGTAGTGATTGTGCCTCTTACAATAAAAATGAACTCAAAAACCTTTATAAACATCATAACATGGACTGTGGGACATCTTTCAAGTGTTTTGTTTGAAGGCTGGGCATGGAAATTGTGTAAAAGGAAGTGAAGAGGTATACCCGGAGTGTTTGCTGGATTGGGGCTTAGGCCGGAAGCTGCTTCTGGATGATCTCTGTGCACATGCATGCCATTGCAGAGAAGGGTCTTGTGGTTCTGAGACATCCTATGGTATCAGCTACTGATTAGATTGAGAAGAGCCCAAGGTAGCTGGATCAGTTTTAGGGCTAACCAAGAGAGTTGGTCCAGAATGTACCAAACTTCCTAAGATCACCCTGTGAATCTTCTAGATATGAAAAAAGAGAAACAGAACAGATTCACAGTTCTACTTCAATCCCAAATTTCATCTTGGGTTTGAAACCAGAAAAACCTCTGATCACAGAGAGAACAAGATGACATTTATCTTTGTGGCATCACTGTGCTATAGGACTGCCCTATTGCTTGATTTGCATTTTCTAATATTACATAATTTCTACAGGGCACCATCCAGATAGAAATATACCACAGAGCTCAATTCTTGTAATTAGACCCTGTACTGGAAAATATAAAAACCTCAAAGAGACAGAGATAAAATTTATACACACATTAAGAAAGGTTGTCATGGCAACTTTGCTTGAAGATATGTATTTTTAAATCTAAGTAAATTTGGCATTCAGAACATTTGCATCTCCCTCAAAGGTTCTGTATCAAGAATATTTTTTAAAATTGTTTTCAAATTTCTTCTGAATCTACGCTTCCTTGAAAGCTTAAAAAATCCTATGAATATAATAGCATCATAGACTTAAGCACATATTTGCAGAAGGCCCTATATGAGAAAAATCCAAAGTGAAAGGGTAAAAACGTTACTTTTCTACCCCCAGAATCCCTAGGCTTCTCCCTTTAAAATGTTAAATTGTGAGCAGGCTATGCCCATATAATCTCTACAAGGTCCTTTCATGCTCTAAAAATCAATTAGCTATTAGTTGATGACCTTGCAATATATGCAACAAATTATGGAAACTCAACACACCTAGTGCTGCAGTGTAAGTAAGCAACAATTAATACAGACCACTACAATAAATACTGCCCGGTAACTTAGCCAAACCAATTCCTAGCTTTGTTTCTTCTTACTTTGAAAGTTCTCCAGTATTCCTAATCAGCATCAATGTTGAAAGCATTCCTTGATCAGATACCTAGTTTAATCATCTTGCTCATACATTGAAAATAAAGTGATGAGACCAGCCGTGGTGGCTCATGCCTGTAATCCCAGAACTTTGGGAGGCCAAGGTGGGTGGATCACAAGGTCAAGAGATGGAGACCATCCTGGCCAACATGGCGAAACCCAATCTCTACAAAAATACAAAAATTACCTGGGGGTGGTGGCACTCACCTGTAGTCCCAGCTACTCAGGAGCCTGAGGCAGGAGAATTGCTTGAACCCAGAAGCTGGAGCTTGCAGTGAACCAAGATTATGCCACTGCACTCCAGCCTGGCGACAGAGTGAGACTCCATCTCAAAAAAGAAAAGAAGAGAAAAGAAAAGAAAAGTGACAGGTCCATGCCTGTAATCCCAGCACTTTGGGAGACCAAGGTGTAAGGATCACTTGAGTCCAGGAGTTTGAGAGCAGCCCTGGCAACAGAGTGAGACCCCATCTCTACAAAAAAATTAAAAAGTTAGCCAAGTGTGGAGATGCATATCTGTAGTCTGAATTACACAGGAAGCTGAGGTAGGAGGATTGTTTGAGCCTGGGAGGCAGAGGGTGCAGTGAGCTGAGATGGCACCACTGCACTCCAACCTGGGCAACAGAGTGAGACCCTGTCATAGAAAGAAGAGAAGGAAGGAAGGAAAGAAGGAAAGGAGGGAGGGAGGGAGGGAGGGAAAAGAAAGACTGGAAAAAAAAGAAAGGAGAAAGACAGTACAGTGATGGTTTCACTTCCAGCAGTTCCTTGTGCTTCTTCCCCAATTATAGCCTATGACAGAAGCCTGTTGTGACCTTCGTCATGTAGTTATCTCCAAGTTCCTTCCTATGTTCCTCTCAGCCACTAACCTAAAATGTCCTTGAGCTATGTATTAGTTCGTTTTCACACTGCTTATAAAGAGATACCTGAGACTGGGCAATTTACAAAAGAAAGAGGTTTAATGGACTTACAGTTCCACATGGCTGGGGAGGCCTCACAATCATGGCAGAAGGTGAAAGGCACATCTCACATGTTGGCAGACAAGAGAAGAGAGCTTGTTCAGGGAAACTCCCATTTTTTAAAACCCATCAGATCTCATGAGACTTATTCACTATCACAAGAACAGAATGGGAAAGACCTACTCCCATGATTCAATTAACTCCCACCACCCAGTCCCTCCCACAACATGTGGGAATTCGAGATGAGATTTGGGTGGGGAAACAGCCAAACCATATCATTCCACTGTTGGCCTCTCCCAAATCTTATGTCCTCATATTTCAAAACCAATTATGCCTTCCCAACAGTCCTCCCAAAGTCTTAACTCATTTCAGCATTAACTCAAAAGTCCACAGTCCAAAGTCTCAACTGAGACAAGGCAAGTACCTCTGCTTATGAGCCTGTAAAATCAAAAGCAAGTTAGTTTCTTCCTAGATACAATGGGGATACAGGCATTGAGTAAATACAGCCATTCCACATGTGAGAAATTGGCCAAAACAAAGGGGCTACAGGCCAGAAGCAAGTCCGAAATCCAGTGGGGCAGTCAAATCTTAAAGCTCCAAAATTATCTCCTTTGACTCCATGTCTCACATCCGAGTCATGCTGATGCAGAAAGTGGGTTCACATGGCCTTGGGCGACTCTGTCCCTGTGGCTTTGTAGGGTACAGCCTCCCTCTCAGCGGCTTTCATGGGCTGGCATTGAGTGTCTGTGGCTTTTCCAGGTGCACAGTGCAAGCTGTGGGTGGATCTACCATGCTGGGGTCTCGAGTATGATGGCCCTCTTCTCATACCTCCACTAGGCAGTGCCCCAATGAGGACTCTGTGTGGGGGCTCTGACCCCACATTTCCCTTCTGCGCTGTCCTAGCAGAGGTTCTCCATGAGTGCCCTGCCCCTGTAGCGACCTTCTTCCTGGACATCCAGGCATTTCCATACATCCTCTGAAATCTAGGCGGAGGTTCTCAAACTCCAATTCTTGACTTATGTGCACTTGCAGGCTCAACACCATGTGGAAGCTGCCAAGACTTGGGGCTTGGACTCTCTGAAGCCACAGTCTGAGCTCTATGTTGGTCCCTTTCACCCATGGCTGGAGTGGCTGGGACACAGGACACCAAGTCCCTAGGCTGTACACAGCACAGGGACCCTGGGCCCAGTCCACAAAACCACTTTTTCCTCCTAGGCTTCCGGGCCTGTGATGGGAGGGGCTGCTGTGAAGACCTCTGACATGCCCTGGAGACATTTTCTCCACTGTCTTGGGGATTAACATTTGGCTCCTCATTGCTTATGCAAATTTCTGCAGCCAGCTTGAATTTCTCCTCAGAAAATGGGATTTTCTTTTCTATCGCATTGTCAGGGGCAAATTTTCCAAAGCTCTGCTTCCCTTGTAAAACTGAATGCCTTTAACAGCACCCAAGTCAACTCTTAAATGCTTTGCTGCTTAAAAACTTCTTCCACCAGATACCCTAAATCATCTCTCTCAAGTTCAAAGTTCCACAAATCTCTAGGGCAGGGGCAAACACCACCAGTCTCTTTGCTAAGACATAGCAAGAGTCACCTTTGCTCCAGTTCCCAACAAGTTCCTCATCTCCATCTGAGACCATCTCAGACTGGATTTCATTGTCCATATCATCATCAGCATTTTGGTCAAAGCCATTTAACAAGTATCTAGGGAGTTCCAAACTTTCCTACATTTTCCTATCTTCTTCTGAGCCCTCCAAACTGTTCCAACCTCTGCCTGTTACCCAGTTCCAAAGTTGCTTCCACATTTTTGGGTATCTTTTCAGCAGTGCCCCACTCTACTGGTACCAATTTACTGTATCAGTTTGTTTTCACACTGCTGATAAAGACATACCTGAGACTGGGCAATTTACAAAATAAAGAGGCTCATTGGACTTACAATTCCATGTGGCTGGGGAGGCCTTAAAATCATGGTGGAAGGCAAGGAGGAGTAAGTTACATCTTACGTGGTTGGAAGCAGGCAAAGAGAGAGCTTGTGCAGGGAAACTCCCGGTTTAAAAACCATCAGATCTCATGAGACCCATTCACTATCAGGAGAACAGCACAGGAAAGACCCGCCCCCATGATTCAATCATCTCCCACTGGGTCCCTCCCACAACACCTGGGAATTATGGGAGCTACAAGATGAGATTTGGGGGGTGACAGAGCCAAACCATATCAAGCTGCTTCCCAACCCAGTACCTGGAGAGCTCTGGGTGCTAGAAGATTCAAGGTGGTAAAGCTCTAGGACATGAGACTGTGGGGTTCTCCCTCCTGGGGTGAAACACAGGAAAAGACAGAGAACACAGTAATAATGCCATGTATGTTTTGTTTACTGCTATATCCCCAGTGTGTAGCATAAGATCTGGCACACATGGTCAATAAGCAACTGTTGTATGACAAATGGGTTCCATATCTTTGGGTGGGAATGGAAAAATCAGGACAGGGATAGGAGTCAGTGGAGCTAGAGGACACACTGGGCTCTGGCAGAAGAGAGGTGGAGGTAAGGGAGAGAATATGGTATTCAGGTGGTTCACTTTTAAGGCTATGGTCATTCTTAGACTAGAGAATCTCTGGACCATATATAGTTTAAGGAATTTGTCTCTAGATCATGTCAGGCAAAATGAGTTCTGTTTTATAAGAGACTACTTCTATGAAATCTGGATTTTACAGGAACTGGTTTCATAGATGTTATTGGAAAAAAAGAGTACCTTCATCAAATACATTTGGAACATTCAGAGTTTAACCAAGTTAAAGTAGTTTTCTTTCTTTTTTTTTTTTTTTTTTAAGACAGAGTCTCGCATTTTCACCCAGGCTGGAGTGCAGTGGCACAATCTCGGCTCACTGCAAGCTCTGCCTCCCGGGTTCACACCATTCTCCCGCCTCAGCCTCCCAAGTAGCTGGGACTACAGGCGCCCGCCACCACGCCTGGCTAATTTTTTGTATTTTTAGTAGAGACGGGGTTTCACCGTGTTAGCCAGGATCGTCTCAATCTCTTGACCTCGTGATCCACCCACCTCGGCCTCCCAAAGTACTGGGATTACAGGCGTGAGCCACCATGCCTGGCCTAAAGTAGGTTCCTTTACAGTAGGACTTTTCAGCTCTTCCAATATTAATATATATATTATAAATATCTGAGAAAGAATATAGTATGGAGAATCTGAGAATGAATATCAAGGAAACTTCTCATAGTATCTTACAGGATGGTGTTTCATGAGACATTGTGGGAAATAATGCTCTCACTAACCTTGTAAAAAACCCTTATCTTTAAACATTTCTTGGTTCAATGATCATCTAGTAATAAGATATAGAAGGAACAGGATGGGGTCGGGCGCAGTGGCTCACGCCTGTAATCCCAGCACTTTGGGAGGCTGAGGAGGGCAGATCACCTGAGGTTGGGAGTTTGAGACCAGCCTGGCCAACATGGAGAAACCCCGTCTGTACTAAAAATACAAAAAACAAACAAACAAACAAAAAAATTTAGCCGGGCATGGTGGTGCGTGCCTGTAATTCCAGTTACTCAGGAGGCTGAAGCAGGAGAATTGCTTGAACCCGGGAGGCGGAAGTTGCAGTGAGCTGAGATTGCACCATTGCACTCCAGCCTTGGCGGCAAGAGCAAAACTCCATCTCAAAAAAAAAAGAAAAAGAGAAAAAAGATATAGAAGGAACAAATGACTACTTGGTTACCAACTATTTTAGTTGTATTTTGTATAGTACTATATTATAAATCTATGTTCACATCTAACACAGGCATGAGTGGAAGGCAGGCATACAACATCCTCTTAAACACTTCTATTAATGGAGTATTCAGCACATCACAAAGTAGCTTTATGGATAGCTTGGCTTCTGAATTTTTTTAAACTATTAAGTAACATTAATAATTTCCTTTATTCTATGTGCACAGAACACCGGCAATAAAGATTTCATTCATTTACTCAAAAATATTTACTGGTTGCCTTTTTGGGGACAGGTACTTTATGACTTTATGACATAGTTACAATGGTAAAGTAACAAAATTTCATTTCATACCATCAAGTGTTTAAAATTAAAATAAGTATTTTAGATGTAGATAAATATGTTTTTCTAAAAATCACCAAACAGGATATAAGTAATTTATTTGATCATGGCATTTTATCACATACTATAACAAGATCTATTTATCACATACTATAACAAGATCTATTCCCAGTATCTAGAAAGCAAGCCAACGGGCCGGGCGCAGTGGCTCACGTCTGTAATCCGAGCACTTTGGGAGGCCGAGGTAGGTAGATTATGAGCACAAGAGATCGAGACCATCCTGGCAAACATGGTGAAATCCTGTCTCTACTAAAAATAAAAAAATTAGCTGGGGGTGGTTGGCGTGCGACTGTAGTCCCAGCTACTCGGCAGGCTGAGGCAGGAGAATTACTTGAACCTGAGAGGGGGAGGTTGCAGTGAGCTGAGATTGCACCACTGCACTCCAGCCTGGTGACAGAGGGAGACTCGGTCTCAAAAAAAAAAAAAAAAAAAAAAAAAGACAGCCACCGAACTGTAAACCAATTAAATTGGGAGTAGAACTGGAAGAGTGTGATTTATTACCTTGTTTATAGCCTGAATGTCTTAAAAAATGGGTCCCAACTCAAACTTTACAATTATCCATTTAGTGTCATAAAATTCTATAAGTCAAATATTAAAATTGATCTATAAGTCTATTCCCTTTAAAAAAGCCTATTCCCTGAAGCTCTTACAAAAATGAAGTAATAAAGGTATATGTTTAACATGTATTTATTTATTTATTTGAGGGTTGTGCTTTGTCACCTAGGCTGGAGTGCAGTGGCATGATCATGGCTCACTGCAACCTCTACCTCCTGGGCTCAAGCAATCCTCCCACCTCAGCCTCCTGAGTAGTTGGGACTACAGGTGTGCGCCAGCACACCTGGCTAATTTTTGTATTTTTTGTAGAGATGCAGTTTCGCCATGTTGCCTAGGCTAGTCTCAAACACCTGGACTCACCCAATAAGCCTGACTTGGCCTCTCCAAGTGTTGGGATTACAGGCATGAGCCACCACACCCAGCTGGAAAATGTTTAAAATTTATTAAGTGAAAAGTAACTCATGCTGCAATGAACGTACTATGTAAAAATGTATGTATGTGGAACAGGGAAAAATATAAACAGTCACAGAAATGTGTTTAGGTTGGTAGCATTCTTTTTCCTCTTAAAAATTCCTTTTTTTGGCCGGGCGCTGTGGCTCACACCTGTAATCCCAGCACTTTGGGAAGCCGCGGTGGACAGATCACAAGGTCAGGAGATCAAGACCATCCTGGCTAACATGGTGAAACCCCGTCTCTACTAAAAATACAAAAAATTAGCTGGGCATGGAGGCACTCGCCTGTAGTCGCAGCTACTCGGGAGGCTGAGGCAGGAGAATCGCTTGAACTGGGGAGATGGAGGTTGTAGTGAGCCCAGATCATGCCACTGCACTCAAGCCTGGGCTGAGACCTCCAGAGTCTGGCTGAGACCTATGGAGTCTCACTCTGTCACCTAGGCTGGAGTACAGTGGTGCGATCTCGGCACACTGCAACCTCCACCTCCCAGACATTCTCCTGCCTCAGCCTCTCAACTAGCTGGGATTACATTCGCCCGCCTCCACACCCACTAATTTTTGTATTTTTAGTAGAGATGCGGTTTCCCCATGTTGGCCAGGCTGTTCTTGAACTCCTGACCTCAAGTTATACGCCCACTTTGGACTCCCAAAGTGCTGGGATTACAGGTGTGAGCCACGGCACCAGCCAAAAATTTCTTTAAATATTAGTGGTATATTATTCTCTCAATAAGTTTTTTTTTTTTTTTTTTTTGAGACAGTCTTGTTTTATTGCCTAAGCTGGAGTGCAGTGGCACAATCTCAACTCACTGCAACCTCCACCTCCCAGGTTTATTTTTTTTCTCATGCCTCAGCCTCCCAAGAAGCTGGGATTACAGGCATGTGCCCCAAAGGCCAGTTAAGTTTTCTTTTTCTTTTTTTCTTTTTTCTTGGTTGAGACGGATTTTCGCTCGTCACCCACACTGGAGTGCAATGGCGCGATCTCGGCTCACTGCAACCTCCGACTCTTGGGTTCAAGCGATTCTCCTGCCTCAGCCTCCCGAGTAGCTGGGATTAGAGGCACCTGTCACCACGCCCGCTACTTTTGGTATTTTTAGTAGAGATGGAGTTTCACCACGTTGGCCAGGCTGATCTCAAACTCCTGGCCTCAAGTGATTCACCTGCCTTGGCCTCCCAAAGTGCTGGAATTACAGGCCCGGCCTATTTTTGCAATAATTATGAATAGCACACCATTTAAACCTGTTGATTGAGCCCTCCTTAAATAACTAAATACACTACTGGCCAACATGGTGAAAACCTGTCTCCACTAAAAACACAAAAAAATGGCCGGGCACAGTGGCTCATGCCTGTAATCCCAGCACTTCAGGAGGCCAAGGGGTGTGAATCACCTGAGGTTAGGAGTTCAAGACCAGCCTGGCCAACATGGTGAAACCCTGTCTCTACTAAAAAAAAATACAAAAATTAGCTGAGTGTAGTGGCACATACCCGTAGTCTCAGCTACTCAGGAGGCTGAGGCAGGAGAATTGCTTGAACCTGGGAGGCAGGGGTTGCAGTGAGCCAAGATCGTGCCACCACACTCCAGCCTGGGTGACACAGCGAGACTCCATCTCAAAATAAATAAATAAATAAAAAGAAAGGGACCGAGCGCGGTGGCTCATGCTTGTAATCCCAGCACTCTGGGAGGCTGAGTTGGGCAGATCACAAGGTCAAGAGTTCAGGACCAGCCTGACCAACACGGTAAAACCCCATCTCTACTAAAAATACAAAAATGAGCTGGGTGTGATGGCACGCGCCTGTAACCCCAGTTACTCAAAAGGCTGAGGCAAGAGAATCGCTTGAACCTGGGAGGCAGAGGTTGCAGTGAGCCGAGATCACGCCACTGCATTCCAGCCTGGTGACAGTGAGACTCTGTCACACACACACAAAAAAGATAAAGAATGACAAAAATCTGTGCCTACATTCAGAGTGACAAGAATACTAATGTTCTGCTTGTAGAAAAGACTATTGGTTCAGAATATGTTAAATGCAAATAATATTTTGTATAATATATATAAATTACATATGCATAAAAAGAGTATCTATATTAGAATCTTTTGAGACAGGGTCTTGCTCTGTCAACCATGAGGGAGTGCAGTGGCACTACCACAGCTCACTGTAGCCTTGACTTCCTGAGCTCAAGCCATCCTCTCGCCTCAGCCTCCTGAATAGTTGGGACTGCAGGTGGTGCCACCAAGGCTGGCTAAGTTTTTATATTTTTTTATAGAAACAAGCTTTTGCCACGTTGCCCAGGCTGGTCTCAAACTTCTAAAAGCTCAAGCAATCTGGCCGCCTTGAACTCCCAAAGTGCTTGAGTTATAGGCATGAGTCACTGTGCCCGGCCTACATTAGAATCTTAACAGTGGGGCTGGGCATGGTGCCCCATGCCTGTAATCCCAGCACTTTGGGAGGTCAAGGTGGGCAGACTACTTGAGGTTGAGGAGTTCGAGGCCAGCCTGGCCAACATGGTGAAACCCCATCTGTACTAAAAACACAAAAATTAGCCAGGTGTGGTGGCACATGTTTGCAATCCCAGCTACTTGGGAGGCTGAGGCGGGAGGATCACTTGAACCTGGGAAGCAGAGGTTGCAGTGAGCCGAGATGGTGCCATGGCACTCCAGCCTGGGCAATAGACAGCGGGACTCAGTCTCAAAACAAAAAAAAAAAAAAAAAAAAAAGAATCTTAACAGTGGTTAACTTCAAATAGTGAAACTATGACTGTTAACTGAGTTTGACATTTTTGTGTTTTCCTAGATTTTTCTACAATAAACATTATTATTTCATAATAAAGCAGTAAAGACTTTTTATACAAACTATTTTAAGATAAACAAATTTTGACATAGGGGTTATAAGTTAGGTAGAATCTATTTATATAAAAAATGGAACTGTACTTTTGTGGGCCAAATAAGCACTATGTAAGTTTTTTTAATTTTCCCAAACACATGCACAGAATTAATATTGCCTTAAATTTTGTTAGCACAAGTTTGAGAGAGCTCTTTAGTTCATAAAAAAATGTTTTATGGACCAGGTGCCGTGGCTCACACCTGCAATCTCAACACTTTGGGAGGCCCAGGTGGGAGGATCGCTTGAGCCTAGGAGTTTGAGACAAGACTGGGCGACGCAGGGAGACCCTGTCTCAAAAAAACAAAACCAAAAACAAGCAAACAAAAAAACAGCTGGGCATGGTGGCATGCATATGTAGTCCCAGCTATTCTAGAGGCTGAGGTGAGATCGCTGGAGCCCAGGAGGTGGAGGCTACAGTAAGCTGTGATCATGCCAATGCACTCCAGCTTGGTCAACAAAGCAAGACTGTGCCTCAAAAAAAAAAAAGAAAAGAAAAGAAAGAAAGAAAAGAAAAAGAAAAAAAGTTATGTACGTATGGTTTTTTTTTTTTTTTGGATAGAGTTTCACTCTTCTTGCCCAGGCTGGAGTGCAATGGTGCAATCTTGGCTCACCACAACCTTCCCCTACTGGGTTCAAGCGATTCTCCTGTTTCAGCCTCCCCAGTAGCTGGGATTAAAGGCATGTGCCACCACGCCCGGCTAATTTTGTATTTTTAGTAGAGATGAAGTTTCTCCATGTTGGTCAGGCTGGTCTTGAACTCCTGACTTCAGGTGATCTGCCCGCCTCAGCCTCCCAAAGTGCTGGGATTACAGGTGTGAGCCACCTCGCCTGGCCGTTTTTTTTTTTTTTTTTTTTTTCTGAGACGGAGTTTTGCTCTTATTGCCCAGGCTGGAGTGCAATGGCACGATCTCGGCTCATCGCAACCTCTGCCTCACGGGTTCAAGCAATTTTCCTGCCTCAGCGTCTCAAGTAGCTAGGATTACAGGGATGCTCCATCATGCCCGGCTAATTTTGTATTTTTGGTAGAGACAGGGTTTCTCCATGTTGGTCAGGCTGGTCTCAAACTCCCAACCTCAGGTGATTTACCCGCCTTGGCCTCCCAAAGAGCTGGGATTACAGGTGTGAGCCACTGTGCCCGGCCATGCTTATGTTTTTTAACAATACACTTCTGAACTATCAAAAAGAATATAAATCAAAATCACTGAAGTAGTTTTTAAAAACTCCAAAAGCTACAAAACTTACTTACTTCAATATCAATTAAAAACCCATTTGATAGTTCAATAACTTGAGTCCTGCTAGAATCATTCTATAAGCCATCAGTGACAGTGAAGTGGCCAAAATTTGAGTCACTTGATAAGTACAAAGAACACAGATTTTTGTCATTCTTACTGTGAAGAAAAACAGTGAATGAATAACTTAGTTTATATATTAACAGTACTTTTATTTAAAAAATTATCTAGAGAATAACTTCTTTTTAATCATTTGTTAGTCATGTAACTATGGATAAAACATACTAATTTAGCTGATTCCTCTATGCTCTCTTTTCCTTGATTCCAATCATTATTAGTTATTCTACACTGCCTCATTTATTGGCAGTTATGCCAACTGGCTGACTCTGGTTCAACTGCCCTATTTTTGCTTTCATCATTGTTTATCATATCTCACTTGCTTTAAACTCCACCTCTTTCATCTCATCTGATCTGACACTTGGTTTACATATCAATTGGCTACTCTAACCTTCTACCGCCAGTTTCCAACCCATTCGAGGTACTTGGGTAACAAAGGAAGATGCTCTATACACACAAAACCACAGAAAATAAGTGGGAAGGGATAATAAATTTCACTTAAAGTTTTAGAATTTTTCTTTTTTTTTTGAGACGGAGTTTCACTCTTGTTGCCCAGGCTGGAGTGCAATGGCGCGATCTTGGCTCACCGCAACCTCTGCCTCCCAGGTTCAAGCAGTTCTCCTGCTTCAGCCTCCCGAGTAGCTGGTATTACAGGCATGCACCACCAAGCCTGGCTAATTTTGTATTTTTAGTAGAGACGGGGTTTCTCCATGTTGGTCAGGCTGGTCTTGAACGCCTGACCTCAGGTGATCTGCCTGCCTCGGCCTCCCAAAGTGCTGGGATTACAGGCATGAGCCATCACGCCCGGCCAAAGTTTTAGAATTTAAGTTATTCCAAAAAAAATTTTTTTTTTCAAAAATACAGACTGCATCCAATTAAATTCTATGTTAACTGGTAATGACTAGGTCTAAAATGTTAGGTATTTACCAATAAATGACATAAAATAACTCAACAACAAAGGGATTTTTTTTTTTAAGAGATAGGGTCTCACTTTATCACTCAGGTTTGGCTGAGGGCAGTGGTGTGATCACAGCTCACTGAAGCCTCCAACTCCTGGGCTCAAGTGATCCTCCCGCCTCAGTCTACCAGAGTATATTCTTGAAAGTAAAATTACAAATGAAATTCAGCAGTGTTAAAAATAAGCCCACTTGCAGACAATTATCATTTTTCTTCCTTTCTTTCCTCACTATCTGTACTTGGCATATTTCCTACAGTGGCTGTCTTAAAGAAAAAAAGGAATCCTTCACAAATAGTGTAGCCAAAAAAGTTGGACTAATATACAATGCTATCAGTAAAGTATTATATATAAAATTTATAAGTGCTAAAGTGTAATTTTGAAAGACACTTAAGATACTCCTTTTTTTTTTGAGACAAGGTCTCAGCCCTGTCGCCCAGGCTGGAGTGCACTAGCACAACATCAGCTCACTGCAACCTCCGCCTCCCAGGTTCAAGCGATTCTCCTGCCTCAGCCTCCCAAGTAGCTGAGACTACAGGCGCACGCCAGCATGTCCAGATAATTTTTTGTATTTTTAGTAGAGATGGGGTTTCACCATGTTGGCCAGGATGGTCTCAAATCTCTTGACCTCGTGATCTGCCCATGTCGGCTTCCCAAAGTGTTAGGATAACAGGCATGAGCTACCGTGCCCAGCCTACTTAAAATATTCTTGAAATAGCTCTCCCCACCTCCTTTTTTTTTTTTTTTTGAGAATGAGTTTCACTCGACACCCAGGCTGGAGTGCAGTGGTGCGATCTTGGCTCACTGCAACCTCTGCCTCCCAGGTTCAAGCGATTATCCTGCCTCAGCCTCCTGAGTAGCTGGGATTACAAATGTGCACCACCACATCTGGCTAATTTTTTTTTTTTTTTTTTGTATTTTTAGTAGAGACGGGGTTTCACCAAGTTGGCCTGGCTGGTCTCGAACACCTGACCTCAATTGATCCACCTGCCTCGGCCTCCCAAAGTATTATAGGCATGAGCCACCGAGCCCGGCCTTTTTTGTTTTTTGTTTTTTTAAAGGCAGGGTTTTGCTCTGTTGCCCAGGCTGGAGTGCAGTGGTGTGATCACAGATCACTGCAGCCTTGACCTCTCCTGGTCTCAAGTGATCCTCCCACCTCAGCCTTCAGAACAGCTGGGACTACAGGTGTGTGTCACCATGCCCAGTAATTTTTTTGTATATTTGTAGAGGCAGGGTCTCCCAATGTTGCCTGGGCTGGTCTCAAACTCCTGGGCTCAAGCAATCCACCAGCTTTGGCCTTCCAAAGTTCTAGGATTATACGCATGAGCCACTGTGCCCTGCCCCAATATTTTGTTACTTACTAGTGAGACTAAACACTTTTCTAAAAGTTTGTTAGCCATACTATCCTATAAAAGCTGTTTGTTCATGTCTTTTGTCCATTTATCTTTTTTTTTGTTTTTCTTGAGACAGAGTCTTGCTCTGTGGCCCAGGCTGGAGTGCAGGGGTGCAATCTCGGCTCACTGCAAGCTCCGCCTCCCAGGTTCAAATGATTCTCCTGCCTCAGCCTCCTGAGTAGCTGGGATTACAGGCATGTGCCACCATGCCCAGCTAATTTTTTTGTGTGTGTTTTTCAGTAGAGATGGGGTTTCACCATGTTGGCCAGGCTGATCTCGAATTCCTGACCTCAGGTGCTCCACCCGCCTCAGCCTCCCAAAGTACTGGGATTACAGGGGTGAGCCACCGCACCCGGCCAATTTTCTGTATTTTTAATAGAGACAGGGTTTCATCCTGTTGGCCAGGCTGGCCTCGAACTTCGGACCTCAGGTGATCCACCCGCCTCGACCTCCCAAAGTGCTGGGATTACAGGTGTGGGCCACCACACCCAGCCAATTTTTTTGTATTTTTAGTAGAGACAGGGTTTCATCATGTTGGCCAGGCTGGTCGCAAACTCCTGACCTCAGGTGATCCACCCGCCTCAGCATCCCAAAGTGCTGGGATTACAGGCATGAGCCACCACTCCCGGCCAATGTTTTGTATTTTTAGTAGAGATGGGGTTTCATCATGTTGGCCAGACTGGTCTCAAACTCTGGACCTCAGGTGATCCACCTGCCTCAGCCTCCCAAAGTGTAGGGATTACAGGTGTGAGCCACCGCGCCCAGCCTATGTTTCTATTTTATACATATTCAACAAACATGATTCCCCAACTTCTGCAAAATAATTTCTTTTTCAAGAACATTGATTTTAGAGCTCACACTAAGAAAAAGAATACAAAAATAATGGCATAGAAAGTGAAAAAACAAAAATAAAAAGTAGAAAGCTAAAGTTTCCCATTAAAATGATCAATATACTGTGCAGTAAGTCAAATGTGTACAATGAATTAAGAAAATATGATATATAAAAATCCAAATTTACAAAATTAAGTACAAATAGGTGTTTATATTACAAAGTGATACTGGTTTATAAAAGGATTCAACATAGATTTTTTTTAAATGGTTGTTTTCCTCAATCAATTTAACAATGATTTTAAATGTATAAAATTTTAATATCTCTTTGAGACAGTGATCCAAGCTTCTTCCCTTGATGATGTTACCAGTTCATACTTTGTTTCAATAACCTGTCCCTCCACAGAAAGTAGGTGCAGTCTCTTCACCAATACACTAAGAAGTACTGTGGTCACCATATATGCAAACCTAGTCAGGAAGAAAGTCAATTAGTTACTAAAGATTAAAAATTATACTTTAAACCTGCACGTTCTGCACATGAACCCCAGAACTTAAAGTACAATAATAATAAAAAAATAATACTTTAATCATACAGATTGCCCATTCTCATCAACAGTGATCATCAAAATTCTAAGAACAGAGTCTGGCATTCTATTATTCACCTCAACTCTGGACACTCCTGTGTGCCTGAGAATCCAAGTGAGGAAAAAGTTTTCATTACTAATTCATCATCAAACCGATCTGGATCAAACCTACAAAGAAAATTTGAGGTTAATCACAATATAGCTCCACTGGCATCTTACATGTTGACACTAAAAGAACACAAGTATGTAACAAAGTTAAAAATCAACTGAAAATAGAAAGTGCTCTTACATTATATTTAAATGCCACTTATTTTTATGTTCCCAAATTATTTAACATATATTTAGTCTATTGCTGTTTCTTACTATATTCCATTTTTTGAGACAGGGTCTCGCTCTGTCACCCAGGCTGGAGGGCAATGGTGCAATCAAGGCTCACTGCAGCCTCGACCTCCTGGACTTAAACTATCCTTCTACCTCAGCTTCCTGAGTAGCTGTGACTATAAGCACATGCCACCAGGCCCAGCTACTTTTAACAGTTTTTTGTACAGACAGGTTCTCCCTAGGTTGCCCAGGCTGATCTTGAACTCCTAGGCTCAAGTGATCCTCCTGCCTCAATCTCTCGAAGTGCTGGGATTATAGGTGTGTGAACCACCACGACTGGCACTTTATTATTTCTCTTTTTTTTTCTTTTTTTGAGACGGAGTCTTGTTCTGTCACCAGGCTGGAGTGCAGTAGCGTGATCTCGGCTCATTGCAACCACCACATCCCAGGTTCAAGCAATTCTCCTGTCTCAGCCTCCCAAGTAGCTGGGACTACAGGTGCACACCACCACACCCAGCTAATTTTTTTATTTTTAGTAGAGACGGGGTTTCACCATGTTGGCCAGGATGGTCTCGATCTCTTGACCTCGTCGTGATCCACCTGCCTTGGCCTCCCAAAGTGCTGGGATTATAGGTATGAGCCACGGCACCCGGCCTACTTTATTATTTCTAAATGATAGATGCAAAATATATTTCTCGAGAAAACCAAGGTATAAGATTGTTACACCAGTTTATATTATTTTGTGAAATATAAGGATAAATCATAGAAAATCATATAATGAATTTTTAAATAAATTTAAGACCTGTTACATGAGACCACCTTATCAATATGTAAGACATTTTATATTGCCTCTTCAACTGAAATTTATGTCTTAAAATTGGAGGCTCCAGCCTTAAAATTATATTTATCAATTATATTACATCCAGATTTATTAATAGGTGAGAGAGGCTGGACACAGTGGCTCACGCCTGTAATCCTAGCACTTTGTGACGCCAAGGTGGGAGGATTGCTTGAGCCCAGGAATTCGAGACCAGCCTGGGCAACATAGCGAGACCTCATCTCTATTAAAAATTTTTGGCCAGGCGCGGTGGCTCACGCCTGTAATCCCAGCACTTTGGGAGGCCGAGGCAGGCGGATCACGAAGTCAGGAGATTGAGACCACGGTGAAACCCCATCTCTACTAAAAATACAAAAAAAAAAATTAGCTGGGCACAGTGGCGGGTGCCTGTAGTCCCAGCTACTAGGGAGGCTGAGGCAGGAGAATGGCATGAACCCGGGAGGCGGAGCTTGCAGTGAGCCGGGATCGCGCCACTGTACTCCAGCCTGGGCGACAGAGTGAGACTCTGTCTCAAAAAAAAAAAAAAAAAAAAAAAAAAAAATTTTTTTAAAGGCTGGGCACAGTGGCTCAAGGCTGTAATCCCAGCACTTTGGGAAGCAGAGGCAGGTGATCACGAGGTCAAAAGATTGAGACCATCCTGGGCAACATGGTGAAACCCCGTCTCTACTAAAAACATAAAAATTAGCTGGGCGTGGTGGTGCATGCCTGTAGTCTCAGCTACTTGGGAGGCTGAGGCAGGAGAATCGCTTGAACCCGGGAGGCGGAGGTTGCAGTGAGCCAAGATTGCACCACTGCACTCCAGCCTGGCAACAGATTGAGACTCCGTCCAAAAAAAAAAGATACACGTTGCTTCTCTTAAGCCACTGAATTCTAGGAGGGTATCTGGATTAAAGCGAATGAAAAGCGTACTCTATATATGTGTGATTATTATCATTATTTTTTATTTTATTTTTTATTTTTTTGAGATGGAGTTTCATTCTTGTTGCCCAGGCTGGGGTGCAATGACATGACCTCGGCTCACTGCAACCTCCACCTCTCCTGCCTCAGCCTCCCGAGTAGCTGGGATTACAGGCATGCGCCACCACACCTGGCTAATTTTGCATTTTTAGTAGAGAAGGGGTTTCTCCATGTTGGTCAGGCTGGTCTCAAACCCCCGACCTCAGGTGATCTGCCCGCCTCGGCCTCCCAAAGTGCTGGGATTACAGGTTATTGTGCCCAGCCCATTATTTTTCATAGTTGGCGTCTTGCTTATTCCAAGACCAGCCTGGCAATAGAGCGAGATTCTGTCTCGAAAAAAATAAAAATAAAAATAAATTAAAAATTAAAAAAAATTAGCCAGGCATGGTAGCGTATACCTATAGTTCCAGTTACTCTGGAGGGTGAGGTAGGAGCATTACTTGAGCCCAGGAGGTTGAGGCTGCAGTGAGCCTGTGTTTACATCACTGCACTCCAGCCTGGGTGACAGAGCATGACCCTGTCTCTGTCCCTAAAGAAACAATAAAAATAAAAAATAAAGTCAGGGAAATGAAGGGCCTAAGAAACATTTTTTGTTCTATAGAATTTCACTCTGTAAAGTCATTGAAGAAATGCATATATTAAAAACAAAACAAATAACCCACGTACCACAGAACAAAAAAATTCCTTGCAAAAACAAGTATTTTTAAACGACTTAAACTCTGAATTTTTAAAAAAGGGAAATTCTTGGGAGCTAAGGTATGAGGACGTAAAGACATAAGAATGATACAATGGACTTTAGGGACTTGGGGGAAACGGTGGGGCGATGAGGGATAGAAGACTACACATTGGGTACAGTGTACACTGCTTGGGTGACGGTTGCACCAAAATCTCAGAAATCACCACCAAAGAAATACCACCTGTTCCCCAAAAACCTATTGAAATAAAAAATAAATTTAAAAAAAGCAAAAAGAGAAGCAATAAAGAACAGAAAAATGCACTGGGGAAAAAAAAAAAAAAGAGGCCGGGCGCAGTGGCTGTAATCCTGCACTTTGGGAGGCTGAGGCGGGTGGATCATGAGGTCAGGAGATCGAGACCATCCTGGCTAACATGGTGAAACCCTGTCTCTACTAAAACTACACAAAATTAGCTGGGCGTGGTGGCGGGTGCCTGTAGTCCCAGCTACTGAGGCGGCTGAGGCAGGAGAATTATTTGAACCTGGGAGGCGGAGCTTGCAGTGACACTAGATCATACCACTGCACTCCAGCCTGGGCGACAGAGCGAGACTCCATCTCAAAAAAAAAAAAAAAAAGAGAGAGAAATTCTGCTTTTTTAAAAATTTTTTTTGAGACGGAGTCTTGTGTCTTGCTCTTGTTGCCCAGGCTGGAGTGCAATGGCATGATCTTGGCTCACTGCAACCTCTGCCTCCCAGGTTCAAGTGATTCTCCTGCCTCAGCCTCCCGAGTAGCTGGCATTACAGGCATGCGCCACCATGCCCAGCTAATTTTTGTATTTTTATTAGAGACAGGGTTTCGCTATGTTAGCCAGGCTGGTCTTGAACTCATGACCTTGTGATCCGCCCGCCTCAGCCTCCCAAAGTGCTGGGATTACAGGCATGAGCCACGGTGCCCGGCCTGCTTTAATTTTCTTAAAACAGATGTTAATTACTTTTCACTTAGTATAAAAGTGGTAATAAAAGAGACAAAGAGTAGCAAATAGCAGATTCACATAAGAGAAAAAGCAGTCAACAGAAGATATAATGGGGATGCAGGTCAGGCTTGGTGGTTCATGCCTGTAATCCCACCACTTTGGGAGGCAGAGGTGGGAGGATGGCTTGAGCTCAGGAGTTCAAGACCAGCCTGGGCAACATGGTGAAACCCCATCTGTACAAAAAGTACAAAAATGAACCAGGCGTGGCAGCACGCGCCTGTGGTCCTAGCTACTTAGGTGGCTGACGCAGAAGGATGGCTTGAGTCAGAGAGGTCGAAGCTGCAGTGAGAAGTGATTGCACTATTACATTCCAGCCTGGATGACAGAGTGAGACCCTGTCTCAAAAGAAAGAGAAGAAAAGGGGATTCACTAGTTTTCTTTTGTTGTATCATTGCTACATATTGAGTTTTCTACTCAACAGTTAGGAAAGGAATGCAAAACGTGCAAACACAAAAACTGACAGTCACAAATACAATGACAAATATTTCATACTTGTGTGGAGATGGCCAAGTATTAGGATCCTGAAGTACCACACCAAGGGCATAAAGGACGAGGGTCTGTGAAAAAAAAAAATCCAATTAGTCAAGGACTAACAGAGATAAAATGACTCCTAGAAAGTCAACTTATTCCAAACTTCTTTTAATATAGATATTGAATACAAAATAATAATTTAAAAATAATGCAAGAAACCACAAGTGATTATTTTGGTGATCTTACAATGAGGAAGGCCTCCCTAAGCATGTCACAAAATCTAGAAACCATAAAGGAATAACAGACTTAACTACATGAAAATTTAAAATCTGCATCCAGAGTTCATGTCCTTTGTAGGGACATGGATGAAGCTGGAAACCATCATTCTCAGCAAACTATCGCAAGGACAAAAAACCAAACACCGCATGTTCTCACTCATAGGTGGGAAGTGAACAATGAGAACACATGGACACAAGAAGGGGAACATCACACACCGGGGCCTGTTGTGGCGTGGAGGGAGCGGGGAGGGATAGCATTAGGAGATATACCTAATGTTAAATGTCGAGTTAATGGGTGCAGCACACCAACATGGCACATGTATACATATGTAACAAACCTGCACGTTGTACACATGTACCCTAAAACTTAAAGTATAAAAAAAAAATCTGCATCCAGTTAAAAAACAATAACAAAAAAAAATGTAAGCAACAGTAAAAGTTATTTGCTATATAATTGACAGAATTTGTATAATATACAAATATATATAAGCTCACTAGAAAAATGAGTGAAAGTTATAAAGACAGAATTAACAAAAGAAAAACACAAACTGTTAATATATGTATGAAAATTTGTTCTATCTCTCCAATGATCAGAGAAAAGCAAGATTCATAAAATATACATAAGACTCAAATTCAGAGGCAGTGAGGATTTGGAAAGAAAAAACATTCTCATACATTGTTGCTAGAAGTATAAAATGCCTTTTAGAGAACATTTTAAATTTAACGTACACATGGCCCAGTGCAGTGGCTAATGCCTATAATCTCACCACTTTGGGAGGCTGAGGTAGGAGGATCACTTGAGCCCAGGAGTTCCATATCAGCCTGGACAACATAGTGAGACTCTGTCTTTATAAAAAATAAAAAAATTTAGTCCAGCTACTTGGGAAGCTGAGGTGGCAGGATCACTTAAGCCTGGGAGGTCGAGGCTGCAATCACACCACTGCACTCCAGCCTAGGTAACAGAGCAAGACCCTGTCTAAAAATAATAATAACTGAACATATACATGGACTTTGACACAAAAACTCCGTGTCTCAGACTCTACTCAACACCTGTACCAGTATATAATTAAAAAAAATAATGTCAATCATAATTTCCACTAGCGGGGGCTGCTTAAATAAATTATGCTAGATGGGCATGGTGGCTCATGCCTGTAATCCCAGCATGTTGAGAGGTGGAGGCAGGTGGATCACTTGAGGCCAAGAGTTCGAGACCAGCCTGGCCAACATGGTGAAACCCCATCTCTACTAAAAATATAAAAATCAGCCAGGCCTTGTGGCACAAGCCTGTAATCCCAGCTACTCAGGAGGCTGAGGCAGGAGAATCACTTGAACTCGGGAGGCGGAGGTTGCAGTGAGCCAAGATTGCACAACTGCACTCCAGGATGGGTGACAGAGTGATACTCTGTCTCAAAAAATTAAATTAAAAAATAAATCATGGTACATTCACACAATGGAATATTATGCAGCCATTAATAATAATGAGTCAAATCTGTATCAAGTGCTAGGTATACTAATAGCCATGATACATTCAATAAAAGAAAATTAAAGAACAATATAGAAAGAGTAACTTTTCACATATAAATTGTTTAATACATATGTATATGTGTGTTTCTATACATATATACACAGAGTAATATACATACACAGAAATAGGTCTATAAAAATACATACTAAACTGCTAACAGTAGTACCTTTTGGGAAGGAAGACTTTTATATTGCTTGAACTTTAAAACAAGCACATATTATTTTGTAACTAAAATAATTGTGTCTTTTATTTAATAATGGGTAGCATTTATTTGCCACTTTAAACAAATTTAAAATACACACCAGGCTGGGTGCAGTGGCTCATGTGTGTAATCCCAGCACTTTGGGAGGCCAAGGTTGGCAGATCACCTGAGGTCAGGAGTTCAAGACCAGCTTGGCCAAGATGGTGAAACCCCGTCTCTACTAAAAATACAAAAATTAGCTGGCCATGGTGGCGGGCGCCTGTAATCCCCGCTACTCGGGAGGCTGAGACAGGAGAATCCCTTGAACCTGGGAGGTGGAGGTTGCAGTGAGCCAAGATCGCGCCATTGCACTCCAGCCTGGGTGACAAGAGCAAACCTCTGTCTAAAATATATATATATATACACACACACACACCAAAAGAGTTGAGAATAGCTGAATGAATTAAACATATTAAAGGTTTTCTACCTCTCTAGGAATAATAAATCGGTCAATTTTTCCTTCAATATCTTGAAGCTGGGCAGAAACTGGAGTCAGTTTGGCAGTTCGAACAGTTTCACAAAGCACATGCTGACAATATCTGTTTTAAAAAAATTTTTTTTGAAGATGTTTATTTTGGGAGGCAGTTAGAAATGTACATACATTTAAAAAACGTTCTTCAACAACTGCTCAAACATTCCCAACTTGAAATAGTCCCATCATAATTCTTATCTGCTTAAAGATATGTTATATATTAGAAGTACATAAAGATTAACAATTTTATAAATTTTAAAATAAATACATTTTTATAAGATTTGTTATAAATCTGTATATAACTCTAGGTAGATAAAGATTTCAACAAATAAAAACACTTTTAAAAGTACCAGAAGAAAACTCAAAATAATGTTTCTACAATTTTTAAAAAGTTTATTTTTAGCACGAAGCTGACAGAAAATTATAAAGAAAAATATACATAACCTAACTAGAGAAACATTTTGTTTACATATTTCTAAAGATAACTAGGAAAAATATTTTCAGTAAATATATCTTTCATGTATAAAACCTCTTTAAAAGTAATTAAAATAATCCAACAATCCCATAGAAACAGGGACGGAGAATACAAAAAGCAATTCACAAAAACTTACAAATGGCCTGAAGACATATGAAATGATACTCAACTTAATTAACAACTTAAAGATTGCCAATCATAGCATTTTTTTTACTTGCCAGATTGACAAAGATGAAAAAGAATGAGAGCAGATATTACTAGAAAAAGATGGAGAAAAAGACATTCTCATATCCAATTGGTGGAAGTATAAACTGGTAAAACCTTTCAGAAGCATAATTTGGCAATATATATCAAACTCTTAAGTGTACATCACAACGAGAATAAAAACTAAAATGTATTGCAATCTTGCTATGAGTCAGTTCACTTAAATGCTCTATATACAGGATCTTATCGAATCCTTACAAGAAACCCATGGGTACTATTATTATTCTAATTTTACAGATTAAAATCAGAGGCAGTTATTTAAGATCACACAGCAGGTAAGTTGTGTGTCACAGGATTCAAATCTTAACCACTGTCCTACTGCATACATCCTTCAACTAGAAGCTCACTTCTAGGACCTTATTATACAGAAATATTTGGAAATATTAGTAAAGATGTAAGCACAGAAGTGTTAATTGTTTGTAACATCAAAAACAACAAAATCAAAAGGGGAAACATTCTTCCTTCCTTTCCTCTGTATAAATATTTATTGCGTACCTGCTGCATGTGAAGCACTGTGCTAGATACTGAGCTACAACAATAAACAAGAGATACATCATCAAAGGGGTTCAGAATCTAGTTGGCAGTGGGGAGGCAGATTGGATAGGACATAAAGGATGAACAATTAAGTATAGCACATGTTATAAAGGAAGTTCAGGGTATTACTGGAATATAAGGTAGGAGCAGCTACTCTAGGGAAAGGGCTTTGTAGAGAAATAAACACAGGCTGGGCTGGGCGTGGTGGCACATGTCTGTAATCCCAGCATTTTGGGAGCCAGAGGCGGGTGGATCACTTGAGGCCAGGAGTTCGAGACCAGCCTGGCCAACATGGTAAAACCCTGTGTCTACTAAAAATACAAAAAATAGCTAGGTGTGGTGGTGCATGCCTGTAATTCCAACTACTTGGAAAGCTGCGGCATGAGAATCGTTTGAACCCAGGAGGTGGAGGGTGCAGTGAGCTGAGATTGCGCCACTGCAATCCTGCCTGGGTGACAGAAAGGGACTGCATCTGAAAAAAAAAAAAAAAAAAAAAAGAGAGAGAGAAATAAACACAGGCTGAAACCTGCAAACAACAACAACAACATTAAAAAAAAAAGAAAAGAAAAACTCAAACCACCACCGACGATAAAAAAACACTCCACCCCAAAACCAAAAACCAAAACCCGGACTTAACTAAAGAAGAGACGAAAAGAGAATCTATACAGAGGAGTAGTTTGTGCAAAAGCCAGGACAGGAGATAAGAAACTAAAGACTTTGAGTAGAGCTAAACTGAAAGCTATGAAGAGGCACAAGTGAGGATAAGGTGGGAGTACACAAGGCCCAGCTTTTGAAATGCTTCATAAGCTATATTAGAGCTTAAACTTTTAAAAATTATTTATTTACTTATTTTTAAGAGATAGGTTCTTGCTCTGTTGCCCAGGCTGGAGTGCAGTGACACTCTATCATGCTGCAGCCTCAACCTCCCAGGCCCAAGTGATCCTCCCACCTCAGCCTCCCTAGTAGTTGTAACCATAGGCACATGCCTTTATGTCTGGCTAATTTTTAAATATTTTGTAGAGACAGGCTCCCACTATGTTGCCGTGAATGGTCTCAAACTCCTGGGCTCAAGCAATCCTCCAGCCTCAGCCTCCCAAATTATTGGGATTATAAGCATGAGTCACTGCGCCTAGCCCAACTGTTACGGGCTTAAGGGCACATTTACAAAGGAACCTCACCTTCTACTTCATACACTTCGGTATGATAAAAACTTCAAAAGACAACTAGTATTACTTTTAAAATAATAGTTACAGTCAATGTAATAAATAAAACTTCCAACATTTAAAAGCCTCCTAGTTCTTTCCAGTGGTTATCTTTTCTTTTTTTTTTTTTTTTTTTTTTTTGAGATAGGGTCTCACTGTCACCAGGATGGAGTGTAGTGGTGTGATCGTAGCTCACTCCAGCCTGGACTTCCTGGGCTCAGGTGATTCTCCTATATCAGCCTCCTGAGTAGCTAGGACTACAGCCATGCACCACCATCCCTGGCTAATTTTTTGTATTTTTTTTTTAGAGATAGGGTTTTGCCATGTTGCTCTGGCTGGTCTTGCACTCCTGGGCTCAGGTGATCCTCTTACCTTGGCCTCCCAAATTGGTGGGATTACAGGTGTGGGCCACTGCGCCCAGCCACTCTATCTTTTCTATAGTTGATTTTATGCTCCAAGATAGGGTTGCTTGCTACCCAGTCTCAGACTTCTAACCCAGAAGCAATCACAGTTGCAATTAAAAAAAAATTAAATTAAGGTATAGTTATATGCAATAAAATTAACCCATTTTACCTGTACGGTTTGAATTTTAGTAATTGTATACAATTGCGTAACTACAACCACAAGTAATATATGATAGTTTCATTTTCTTCATGCCCCTTTGTAGTTGATCCCCATTCCTAGCCTCCAACAGTATGCTTTTTATCACCACAGTTTGCCTTTTCTAGAATTTCACACAAAGGAAATCATATAGTAGCCAGTATTTTATGTTTCACTTCTTTCCCTTAAATCACTAAGATTCATCTGTGTTGTTGTGTGTATTGATACGGTGTTCCTTTTTATTACTTGGTAGTATTCTATGGTATGGTAATACCACAATTTGTTTATCTATTTACCAGTTGAACATTTGAACTACTTCCAATTTGCTATGAATATATGCAAACAGGACTTTGTGTAGTCATGTTTTCATTTATCTTGAATGAAATTCCAAGGAGTGGAACTGCTGGGTCATATAAGTGTATGTTGAACTTTTTAAGAGCCTATCATATTGTTTTCTATTGTTTTCTTTTCTTTTGAGACAGGGTCTTGCTCTGTAACCCAGGCTGGAGTGCAGTGATGCAATCACTGTAGCCTCGACCTCCTGAGCTGAGGTGATCCTCCCACCTAAGCCTCCTGAGTAGCTTGGACTACAGGCACGTCCCAGCACATCTGGCCAATATTTTGCATTTCCGTGTTGCCCAAGCTGGCCTTGAACTACTAGGCTTAAGTGATCCACTTACCTTGGCCTCCCAAAGTGCTGGGATTACAGGTGTGAGCCACCACGCCCGGTCAAGCCTACTATATTATTATCTAATGTGGCTGTCTATTTTTTATGACCATCAACAAAGTATGAGTGTCATACTTGCTTGACTTCATTAGTACTATTTCACAGGCTAAGTTAAACATTTCCCACACAACCTTATGATTTTAAAAAGCAGATTCATTTACCTAATAAAATCTACATATAAATACTTTAAGTCCTATAAAAATATGTAGCTTTCCTAGATAGCAACAATAGCTTTAAATTAGATAAACCAGTTCAAATTTACCTTTTAATAATCTCCTCTTTTTATTGTGTTCTTACCTGAGCTGCTCAATTTTCTCTGGAGTAACAGGACCATTTCCAAAAACTTGGTTTATCTCTTCATATAATTTTTTTTGAACTTCTTCAGAGGTGGTTAAAAAACAGATTGCCCAGGTACACACTAGGTCAAACATTATATGAATAACAATGAAAATAGCTAACTCATGGCTTGGGTATAGAATAAGAAAAAAACTACTTATTTAGGGTGGGATTTTTGTATTTGCTTTTTTTCTCCCATGATATAGAAGATATATAAGTGCTACTAAAAAGTAAAATTCTTCACAGGGTTTATATTATATGGAACATCAATATTTACAGAATGCCCTCCAACAGACATAGTGCAATCTGGATGCCTTCTTTCTTAAAACTGGTAAGTAACTGGAGCCACTTAATTTTACCTTAGGTAAAATAGTTATGATAATAAATAAATATCATATCTGTAGGAGTGCTCAATGTTGGCTGTTGCAATGGATTATCTCATGCACTCAACCTTATTAGGCCGATTTATCAGTTCACTTAGGAGCACTAATGAAATAATTCAGACAAATCAAGCTAGCAGATTTATCGATAAATCAATATTCTAAAATATTTACTTGTGATGGTAAATACACTGGCTCAAAATTTGTGAGTGGTTATTGCTTAGAACAGTTCTCAACCAGACGTGGTGGCTCACACCTGTAACCCCAGCACTTCGGGAGGGGATCACACGGAGGGGATCACTTTGGGAGGGAATCTGAAGCTGGGGGATTGCGTAGGCTCAGGAGTTCAAGACTAGTCTGGGCAACATGGCAAAACCCCATCTCTACAAAAAACTCAAAAATCAGCTGGGTGTGGTGGTGTGTGCCTATAGTCCCAGCTACTTGGGAGACTGAGATGGGATGATCACTTGAGCCCAGGAGGTTGAGGCTGCAGTGAGCTGTGACCGTGCCACTGCACTCCACCCTGGGCAATCAAGTGAGATCCTGTCTCAAAAAAAAAAAAAAAAAAAAAAAAAAGCAGTGGTTCTCAAAAACCACCTGGGAGATGGCTGATGCTATAACCTCACATTCACAAATTCTGGTTCAGTAGGTTTGTGGTAATGTCCAAACATCTGTACTTTTAACAAATGGAATATCGAATTTATCTCAACGCCAAAATGGGAAGATCACTGGCTCATGGCTTACTTTAGCTTAAACTGGTTTATGGATTGTATTCACTGAGGAAATGAAAATGTAAAGAAATTACATGTTGAGAAAAAAACCAGAAGAAATGAAAATGTAAAGAAATTACATGTTGAGAAAAAAACAGAGGAAAAAGAGTAGTTATATTTCCTTTAGTAATACACTGGGATTATAACTATTAAAAGAATGGAAACTTCTGAACATATATACTACCTCTTTCCCTAGAATATGTTTGAGCTGACACCATCTGTAGCTCTATTGTTCCTGTGTCAAATACTTTTTAATATCCTTCTAGTAACTTGTACTTTACTTACCAATGATCTCTTTCCTGCGCTAAGGGTTAACTTAAACTTATCTCAAAGTTAATTTATAAAAAAAAGTTTGCCTGATTCACCTTATTACCAATATTGTTACCATTAAAATCAGTAGTAACCTGGTACTCAATTACTCTGATTAGTTTTCTTATATCTAGAGTTCACAAAAAACATGAGTGACTGCCTGTCCTTAACTTTTCCCTACATATGCCTCTTCATTATGGCTTCTGAGTGAACTGTAGAATTGCTATTTTACAAGTGATGTGAAAACTTGTGCAGTGTACAATATGTATGTCACACAATTTTACAACATAGAGTAATATACAACTGAAGGAGTCACCACAAAGATTTGCACACAGTGGTCAATCCTGTACTCTGCTTGACTATATTATCACTTAAAATTAATATAACAGGCCGGATGCAGTGGCTCACACCTGTAATCCCAGCACTTTGGGAGGCCGAGGCGGGCAGATCACAAGGTCAAGAGAACGAGACCATCCTGGCCAACATGGTGAAACCCTGTCTCTACTAAAAATACAAAAATTAGCTGGGCATGGTGGCACGCGCCTCTAGTCCCAGCTACTTGGAAGGCTGAGGCAGGAGAATTGCTTGAACCCGGGAGGCAGAGGTTGCAGTGAGCCGAGATGGCGCCACTGCACTCCAGCCTGGTGACAGAGCAAGACTCAGTCTCAAAAAAAAAAAAAAAAATTAATATAACAATATGAATTTAATAATCTCACATTGGCTGGGTGTGGTGGCTCACGCCTGTAATCTCAGCACTTTGGGAGGCCAAGGCGGGCAGATCACGAGGTCAGGAGTTCGAGATCAGCCTGGCCAACACAGTGAAACCTCGTCTCTACTAAAAATACAAAAAATTAGCCAGGTGTGGTAGTGGGCGCCTGTAGTCCCAGCTACTTGGGAGGCTGAGGCAGGAGAATCGCTTGAACTTGGGAGGTGGAGGTTGCAGTGAGCCGAGATTGCACCACTGCACTCCAGCCTGGGCGACAGAGTGAGACTCTGCCTCAAAAAAAAAAAAAAAAAAAAAAATTCTCACATTGACTTTTGGTTTGTGGGTTTTTTTTTAGATAGGGTCACACTCTGTCACCCAGGCTGGAGTGCAGTGGTAGTGATCACAGCTCACTTGAGGCCTTGATCTCCTGGCTAAATTGATCCTCCCACCTCAGCTTCCCAAGTAGCTGGGACTACAGGCACATGCCACCATGCACAGCTAACTACAATTTATTATTTTTTTTGTAGAGATTGTGTCCCACTATATTGCCCAGCCTGTCACACTGGTTCCTTTGTAGGACTCTTAAAAATGATGACTGAAAATAGCTTTAAAATGTGATTTTAAGCCACTTAATGTGTTTTAAATACAATACTGAATCAGACACAATTTCATAGCTTAGAGATAACTTGGAAGGTCATCTGGAGCTAAACTCCTATTTTAGAAAAGGAGGAAAATGCAGAGATAAGTATCTTGCCCAAGGCTAATAAGGGGCAGAGTAAGGACTTATTAAGGTTTCTTATTTATCTACTCTCTCAAAAACTTCGGAGGAGACTTAAAAAACCACTAACCTACATCCAAATACATAGCAATACTCCTAAAATCTCCCTAAAAACTGAAAATAAGATTAAAATATTAATTCAACCTTGGAAATAGTCACTTTTCTTGGTGTCCGGAGCACAAGTGATTTAGATTTTTAAAGGTCTTTAGCAAAGACATATTAGGTTTAATGTAATGCGTTTTAAAAACAAGGATTTTAAATCTATTTTTATACTAATTTTTTTTAAGCTGGGGTCTTGTTTTATTGCCCAAGTTAGGCAAACTCCTGGGGCTCACGCAATCCTCCCACCTCAGCCTCCAACGTAGCTGGGACAAGTGTGCACCACTGGACCAAACAAATAGGCATTTTTAAAAAAAGGTTGAATAAGGCAGGACGTGGTGGCTCACGACTGTAATCCTAGCACCTTGGGAGGCCGAGGCAGGTGGAGCACCTGAGGTCAGTTCAAGACCAGCTTGGCCAACATGGTCTCTACTTAAAATACAAAAATTAGCCAAGCATAGTTGCAGGCGCCTGTAATCCCAGCTACTCAGGGGGCTAAGGCAGGAGAATCACTTGAATCGAGGAGGTGGAGGTTGCAGTGACCTGAAATCGCGCAATTGCACTACAGCCTGGGTGACAAGAGCAAAACTCCGTCTCAAAAAAAAAAAAAAAAAAAGGTTGAATACATTATTTTTGACATATGCTTACCTAAATTCAATTTAGTCATCTATAGTATCTGGACATTTCTATATGTTAAAGAAGAAAAATTTATGGGACGTTTACATTTGTATCCTTTTAAAGAAAGCTTCCTTAAACATTGAGGGATATAAATGAAATCCTTCAAGTGAACACAAATTTTCTAAAATTTAAATTCATGTCCTAATACTTCCTTTTGTTTTTTGTTTTTTTTTGAGACAGAGTGTCGCTCTGTCACCCAGGCTGGAGTGCAGTGGTGCGATCTCAGCTCACTGTAACCTCTGCCTCTGGGGTTCAAGCGATTCTTTTGCCTCAGCCTCCTCAGTAGCTGAGATTACAGGCATGTGCCCCCACACTTGGCTAATTTTTGTATTTTTAGTAGAGACAGGGTTTCACCATGTTGGTCAGGCTGGTCTCGAACTCCTGACCTTGTGATCTGCCCACCTCAGCCTCCCATAGTGCTGGGATTACAGGCATGAGTCACCATGCCTGGCCTCCTTTTGTTTTTTGACAGGGTCTCACTCTGTCACCCAGGCTGCAGTCCAGTGGTGCAATCATGGCTCACTGCAACCTCAACCTCCTGGGCTTAGGTGATCCTCCCACCTTAGCCTTCCTTACATAACTGGGATTACAAGTGTGTGCCACCAGGCCTGGCTAATTTTTGAATTTTTTATAGAGATGGGTTTCCGCTGTGTTGCCCAGGCTGGTCCCAAATTTCTGGGCTCCAGTGATTCATCCACCTCGGCCTCCCAGAGTGCTGGCATTATAGCTGTGAGCCACCTTGCCTGGTCCCCTAATACTTCCTTTAAGTATTTTTATCTTAGTGTATTTTTATGCCTATTGAAGTATTTTTTATAAATACTGTATAAATAAATGGTACTCCACCAATCTAAAAACCAAGTGAGGAAACTTAGAAACATATCAAATATTTTACAATTTTACATAAAAATCACCTTCAATTCCAACGAGAGGAGTTCTTTTAAATCGTGATTTCTGTGGCCTATATACTCTTGTTGGTAGACCTTAGTAATAGCAGACTAGCTTGGAGTCAAAGTGGAAAGCAGCAGCAGGAAATGAAAAGCTCACTGTTTTGGTTGGAAAGGTGTCAACAGCAGTTCATTTTAAAGGCACTAACAAGAATTCACAATCCATAAAATGTGTCAAGAAATTTATGGCAATTTTCAGAGGTGGCTTTAAGCACTTGGGGTTAAGAAAAAAAGCACTTATGTGAGTCAGCCCTTTAAAACAAGACTAAAAAAGAGGGAAAAATTATAAAGAAGTCCTCTAAACAGTGTTTTATTTTTGTTTGTTTGTTTTGAGACAGTCTTGCTCTGTTGCCCAGGCTGGAATGCAATAGTGTGACCATCACTCACTGCAGCTTCAATCTCTTGGGCTCAAGTGATGATCCTGCCTCAGCTTCCCGAGTGGCTGCAACCACAGGCATGCGCCACCACACCCAGCTAATTGTTATTTTTAGCAGAGACGAGGTCTCACTATGTTGCCCAGACTGGTCTCGAACTCCTGGGCTCAAGTGATCCTCCTGCCCTGGCCTCCCAAAAAGTGCTGGGATTACAGGTGTGAGTTGCCATGCCTGGCCTTGTTTTTTTTGAGACAGGGTCTCACTCTGTTTTCAGGCTGGAGTGCACAATCACAGTTCACTGTAGCCTCCATCCTCGTGATTCATCCTCTTGAGCAGCTGAGACTACAGGCACGGGCCATCATGCTCAGTTAACTTATTTTTTTTGTAGAGAGGGTCTCTGTTTTCTGAGCTGGCCTCCAACTCCTGGCCTCAAGCAATCTCCCACCTCAGCCTCCCCAAGTGTTGGGATTACAGGTGTGAGCCACTGTGCTCAGCCTATATATTTAGTAATTCCTCTGAAAAAGAAATCAATTTATACTTACATTTTGCAGTTATTATGCAACTGGCCAGAGAAAATATCATACTGTCTTCTAGGATCTAGGAAACAAAACTAAGTTTAGAAAGTGTGAAAAATGTAAGGTAGCCTATATTAGGCCCTGCTAAAATAATCTACAGCATAAAATTAGTGTCAATGAAAAAAAAAGTATATTATTTCATTTTGATGTTTTCACTAAAACAAAAAACCAAATCTGTATAATGTGAATACCAACCTAAATACCACACTGCTTTTTAAAAATATTTTTAAAATTGATGAACTATAGTTGTATGTATTTTGGGAGTACAAGTGATTTTCGGTACATGTATACAACATGTAATGATCAAATCAGGGTATTTGTTGTGAGTATTACTGGTTCATGATCTACTTTGGTAAACAAACTCGGTCCTATTTTTCTGGCTTAGCCTAGTAAACAGCAATGAAGCCTCAGAAATAGGACAGAAGATCTCATCCCTGTCCTGGAAGCCAAATTCAATTTCTGCACCAACATATATCAAACTACTTCTGGCTACAAGGACTTGCATGTGTATAGTGAGGCAGAAGATTCCTACAATGAAGAGGTGTGGCAATAACAACTCACCTCACTGGCCTGACAATACCACAAATGCAGTGGTATGTTGGCAGTATTGTCAACAAGCCACACTGCCACACCTGGTCAAGCAGGCAAAGTGATTTAGTCTAATACACCTAACACAAGTCCTTCTCCTCTTTTGTAATTCAAGAATTTTGGCTCAATTTAATAATATTAAATAATATACAGCTGCCTCAAAGAGCTAAATAATAGAGACCAAGTACTTGTACTACCAATGATGTACAATAAAAGATGTACGATGCAGCTGGGTGCAGTGGCTCACACCTGTAATCCCAGCACTTTGGGAGGCCAAGGCGGGTGGATCATGATGTGAAAGAGATAGAGACCATCCTGGCCAACAAGGTGAAACTCCGTCTCTACTAAAAATACAGAAAAATTATCTGGGCGTGGTGGTGCGCGTCTGTAGTCCCAGCTACTTGGGAGGCTGAGGCAGGAGAATCGCTTGAACCCAGGAGGTGGAGGTTGCAGTGAGCAGAGATCGTGCCACTGCACTCCAGCCGGGCGACATAGCGAGACTCCATCTCAAAACAACAACAACAACAAAAAACCCAAAAAAACATGTATGATGCTTCTCTTAAGCCACTGAACTCTAGGAGGGTATCTGGATTAAAGTGAATGAAAAGCACACTGTATATATGTGTGATTATCATTATTTTTTATAGATGGCGTCTTGCTATATTGCCCAAGTTGGCCTTGATCTCTTGGGTTCAAGTGATCCTCCCACCTCACCCTCTCAAGTAGCTGGGACTACAGTCATGAGCCATTGTGCCTGGCTCTGGCTTATTTTTTTACCTGATAAACATTTAACAATTATATCACCTGTTGGTCATTAAGGTTCCCTTGTACTAAGGAGTCAATGAAAATATGTTGACTGAAGTTCCTTCCTTTTCGTTCTTTTATGATGTTCCTTAAAACAGACTCCAGTTGCATGAGGGCTTAGAGAAAAAAACAAAATAATTTTAGAATACAAGCATTAGTGGAGACTGAACTTTAAAAAAATAATTCTGTGCAATGTTACTATATGAAGAAAACCTTCAAAGTTAGTAACCAACAACAAAGAAAGCTAATTTATGTTTAAACTCATCATTTTCTTCCTTTTTTGCCAAATTTAACATACATACAAAAAAGTGCACAAAGCATGTAAGTACAGTTTAAGGAATAATTATAAATCACCACCAACCACCTAGGTCAAGAAGTAGAGCAATGCCAGCACTTGACTTTTTCTTTTATTTTTGAGACACAGTCTTGCTCTGTTGCCCAGGCTGCAGTGTAGTGGTGTGATCTTGGCTTACTGCAGCCTTGACTTCCCAGGCTCAGGTGATTCTCCCATCTCAGCCTCCCAAGTAGCTGGGACTACAGACATGCCACCACGCCCAGCTAATTTTTGTATTTTTGGTAGAGACGGGGTTTCACCATGTTGGCCAGGCCGGTCTCAAACTCCTGGGCTCAAGCAATCCATCCGCCTCGGCCTCTTAAAGTGCTGGGATTACAGGCGTGAGCCACCCGCACCTGGCCTAATACCAGCACTTTAGAGGCCTCCAAACACATAAGCCTTTCTTCTCTGATATCATCCACCTTCCTTCTAAATTCTGTCTTCTTAACTCCATTCCTTCTCCCAAATCAGGAATCACTTATTTAGGGATAGAAACAGATGTGAGATAATCAGAAAAGCAAATTTCTAAAAACCTAAAAGAGGCTGGGCGCAGTGGCTCATGCCTGTAATCCCAGCACTTTGGGAGGCCGAGGCAGGTGAATCACGAGGTCAGGAGTTCAAGACCACCCTGGCCAAGATGGCAAAACCCCATCTCTACTAAAAATACAAAAATTAGGTGGGCTCAGTGGCAGGCACCTGTAATCTCAGTTACTCAGGAGGCTGAGGCAGGAGAATCGCTTGAACCTGGGCAGCAGAGGTTGCAGTGAGCCAAGATTGTGCCACTTCACTCCAGCCTGGGCGAGAGAATAAATAAATAAATATTTTATTTATCTCTAAATAAATAAATATATAAAATAAAAACCTAAAAGATATCAATAACTGATATCCAATGGCCCATAAAATTATACACAAATGTTTCAGTCTTCATCTTACTTGACCTATCATATCACTGATGATGTTGATAACGTATTCTCCAAGAAACACTTTTTCTTTTTCTTTTTTTTTTTGAGACAGAGTGTTCCTCTGTCACCCAGGCTGGGGTGCAGTGGCGCAATCTCAGCTTACTGCAACCTCCACCTCCCGGGTTCAAACGATTCTCCTGCCTCAGCCTCCTGAGTAGCTGGGACTATAGGCGTGTGCCACCACGCCCGGCTAATTTTTTATATTTTTAGTAGAGACGGGGTTTCACCGTGTTAGCCAGGATGGTCTCCATCTCCTGACCTTGTGATCCGCCCATGTCAGCCTTCCAAAGTGCCGGGATTACAGGCATGAGCCACCACGCCCGGCCAAGAAACACTTTTTCATGTGGTTCCCAGGACTATACTCCCCTAGACTCCACACTTCCCTCCCACTTTACTGCCTGCTCATTCTGTCTCCTTTTTTGATTCTTTTTCAATCTCTTGAATTTCTCAGTAATGAAATGCTCAAGGACAGGGCTGTTTTGGGACCTCTTTCCTTTTTCTATCTATATTCACTACCTGGTGATCTCTAATCTCAAGGCTTTCAGTGCAATATATGTACCGTGCACTTCCAAATCTGTATTTCTAGTCAGGACTTCTTTCTCTTCAGCTCCAGACTCATGTATCTAACTCTAATAACAAACTCAACCTCTGCACTTGGTTGTCTGAAGCATACCAAACACTGAACTCTTGAGCTTTCCCCCAAATCCTGGATCTTCCCATAGTCTTCCCCATCTTATTTCCCGACAACCTCCTTTTGCAACTAGGCCAAAAACCTTGGTGTCTCCCTCTCCCTTATACCCTAATTTTAATCTGTCAGCCAGTGTTGGTAGGTCTACCCTCAAAGTACCAAATTATTTTCTTCCTCCTTTTTTTTTTCTTGTTCTATATTTCCTGTTGCCTGCCACTTGGTCCAAGCCACATTATCTCTCATGCCTGGTTTATTGCAGCAGCCTTCTAACTAGTTTCCCTGCTTTTGCTCTGGACCCATACAGTCTATCATACCAGTCAAAGTGATCCTTTTGTAACATAACTCAGATGGTAACTCTGCTCAAAACCTGCCAGTGGCTTCCTACCTCATAGTAACAACCTAGTCACACAATGGTCTGTAAGCCATACAAAACCCATTCCTGTCTCCAGTCTTTCTGACCTCATCTTCTGCTCCTCTTCTCACTCACTTCATTCCAGCCATACTGGCCTTCCTGTTGTACTTCAAATACAGCAGCAGAGTCCTACTTCAAGGACTCTGTAATTACTTTTCCTCTACATGGAATATTCTTCCTTTGAACATCTGGGTATCCACATGTTCTGCATGAGTGGTTTCATCTCTTGCAAGTGTTTACTCAAAAGTCACCTCATCTTGGTGAGGCCTTTCCTAATAATTACTTAAAATTGCAATCTCCCAACCCCCGGCACTCCCTATCCCCTTCTGGTTTTATTTTTGTCTACAGCATTTTTCACCTTTTAATGTACTATTCAGTTTACTTATTTAGATTACTGTCTGTCTCTTCCCACTAGAATGTGGTGCCACAAGGGCAAGAAATTTTGTTTAGGTTCCTCAGCATCTAAAACATGCCAGGATATCACAGATCTACATTAAATATTTATAGAATTGAATCAATATAATACACATTAGTGATTAAAATGAGAAATTATTCCCAGGCACGGTGGCTCACGCCTGTAATCCCAGCACTTTGGGAGGCCGAGGTGGGTGGATCACTTGAAGTCAGGAGTTTGAGACAAGCCTGGCCAACATGGTGAAACCCCGTCTGTACTAAAACTATAAAAATTATTTGAGCACGGCGGCAGGCGTCTGTAATCCCAGCTACTTGGGAGGCTGAGGCCCGAGAATCGTTTGAACCCGGGAGGCAGAGGTTGCAGTGAGCTGAGATTGAGCCACTGCAATCTCACCCAGCCTGGGCAATAGAGCGAGATTCAGTCTCAAAAAAAAACAAAAAAAAAGAAAAGAAAATAAGAAATTATTAACACTATAAAGAAGTTGTTCCCAGGCTTTGCTGCACATTAGAATCACCTGAGAAGTTTTTTCAAACAACAGTAAAGCACAAGTCACACGTCATGTCAATTAAATCTGAATGTTTACAGGTAGGAGTCAGGCTTCAATATTTTTAAAAAGATTCAATGTGTAGCAAAGTTTGGGAACTACTGTTGTACATTCTCAACCCTACAAGTACATTAGAATAATCTGGAGAGCCTTTACAAAAATACCTGATGCCCACGACACCCTGATCTCAGATTCTGAATAAACTGGTCTAGGATAAGGTCTGATCTTCAGGTTTTGTGCTTTAAGTTCTCCAACTGATTCTAATGTGCAAAGCAGGTTGGGAATTAAACAAAGGAAGCTCTGATCCAGTCATGGCATCCCATTTTTATAAATACTAGAACATAATCATTTCTAATAAAAGCTCAAATTTGATTTATGCCCATGTTACAGCCCAAGGAACACATTATGCCAGACAATTTATTTAGGATCAAAGAATATAAATTATTTTCATTTCATGTTAATTTAACCAATATTTCTGAAATACATTTTTTATCAAGGGGAATTAATCCAAACGCATTGATCAAGATAATCATAATGGTCATAAAAACCAGATAGCAGGAAATGTGTCAATTAAACTGGCTTTTTTTTTTCTTTTTTTACTTCTGTTGGACCAAGAAAATCACTAAAACAGTAAGCTAATGAGGACAGGGATTTTTGTCTCCTGTGCACAGAATAGGGCCTAGCACAGCCTCAATAAATGTTTGTTGAAAGGATGAAGAAAGAGAATCCTGTGAAGCAATACTATAATGTATAGAAAACAATCCAGTATTCTAATGCAGCCTCTGTATTTTAATTTATCCTGCATGCTTCCAAAAAAATGAATTGAGGTAGCTTAGAATAAAAGTATTGGCCGGACGTGGTGGCTCACACCTGTAATCCCAGCACTTTGGGAGGCTGAGGCGGGCGGATCACCCAAGGTCAGGAGTTCAAGACCAGTCTGGCCAACATGGCGAAACCCCATCTCTACTGAAAATACAAAAATGAGCCGGGCATGGTGGCAGGCGCTTGTAATCCCAGCTACTCAGGAGGCTGAGGCAGAAGAATCGCTTGAATCCAGGAGGCAGAGGTTGCAGTGAGCCGTGACCGCACCACTGCACTCCAGTCTGGGCAACAGAGTGAGACTCTGTCTCAAAAAAAAAAAAAAATTATTTTAAAAAAAAGTATTAAAGCTTTATAATTATTCAACCACTGACAGAGAATACAGAACAAAAAAATAATAAGGGAGAATAATTAATTTGGGGGTACTACATTACATTAAAATTGCTATTTTTCTGTGTAAATTGTATAAAGTTGAAATCAATGCCAAACAACATTGAAAATATTTTTATTCAATGTTATAATGGCAAGAATTTTTTAGGATGCTAATTTTTTATTTTTTATTTTTTGGAGATAAGAGTCTCACTCTCTCACCAAGGCTGGAGTGCAGTGGCACGATCTCAGCTCACTGCAACTTCTGCCTCCAGGGTTCAAGCGGTTCTCATGCCTCAGCCTTTTGAGTAGCTGGGATTACAAGTGTGCGCTGCTGCACCCGGCTAATGTTTTGTATTTTTTTAGTAGAGGTAGGGTTTCACTATGTTGGCTAGATTGGTCTCGAACTCCTGGCCTCAAGTAATCTGCCTACCTCAGCCTCCCAAAGTGCTGGGATTGCAGGTGTGAGCTACCGCACTGGGCCTATGTTGCTAATTTTTTAAATTTTTTGAGATGGGGTCTCTCACTACATTGCCCAGGCTGGTCTCAAAATCCTGAGCTGAAGTGATCCTCTCATCTCAGCCTCCCAAGTAGCTGGGACTACAGGCATGTGCTGCCATGGCCGCCATTTTTTATAAATATCCGTAATATTTAATCATGTTGACATTTCCCTACTAATTCCTATAATGTTGAACCTTTAGTTTGTTCCTGGTTTTCTACTTGCAGAAACAGTACTACAAAAATATCTTCATGAATATTGTCTTCTTTCATATAATTTCATCCATTATTTATGGTTCTTAGTATGCATTATTAAACTGCTTTCTTAAGATTGTACACTTATACTTTCCATTAATCCTGTAGAGTATACCAGCTCTACAACACTCTCATTCTGCAGTCTGTGCTAGAGTTTCTTTTACTAACTTATTTTTCCTCGCTTCTGTTAAAGAAAACTTTCATTGTAGAAAATATAGAAAAAAGCATAAAGAAAGAAAATAAATATAGGCCGGGCACAGTGGCACATGCCTGTAATCCCAGCACTTTGGGAGGCCGAGGCAGGCAGATCACAAGGTCAAGAGATCGAGACCATCCTGGCCAACAGGGTGACACCCTGTCTCTACTAAAAATACAAAAATTAGCTGGGCGTGGTGGCACCCACCTGTAGTCCCAGCTACTCGGGAGGCTGAGGCAGGAGAATTGCTTGAACCTGGGAGGCGGAGGTTGCTGTGGCCGAGATCGCACCACTGCACTCCAGCCTGGCAACAGAGCGAGACTCTGTCTCAAAAAAAAAAAAAAAGAAAATATAAATGACCTTTAATCTCACTATTCAGAGATTACTTTATTAAAACTGGGGCACATTTATTTTTTGTCCTCACTAAAAATTAAGTGACCAAACTTACCATCTTCATATTGTTTTTTCCGAGTCATGTTTTTATCAAGTGACCCATCTAGAAAGCCTTTTCCAATCTCAGACCAAACCTGAAAATAGGTAAATATACATAACTATTATCTAATAGGTAGAATTTTAAAAATAATACAGAGCAATGTAACCTAATGACTTAGGAACTCTTTAACTCTTTTTTTTTTTTTTTTTTTTTGAGTCAGGGTTCCGGCTCTGTCACCTAGGCTAGAGTGCTGGATTGCAATGGCACGATCATAGCTCACTGCAACCTCCACCTCCCAGGCTCAAGCCATTCTCCCACCTCAGCCTCCCAAGTAGCTGGGACTACAGTTGTGTGCCACCAACGCCAGCTAATTTTTCTATTTTTTGTAGAGACGGGTTTCACCATGTTTCTCAGGCTGTTCTTGAACTCCTGAGCTCAAGTGATCTTCTCATCTCAGTCTCCCAAAGTGTTGGGATTACAGGCGTGAGCCACCTACCCAGCAGGAACTCTCCTCACCAACAAATCTAATAATTAAGCTCTCCCTCTCAACTGGCTGCACAATCCTTTACTCCACAGTTTCAGAGGGGAGGGTACAAATATATTTTGATGACTTCAGTCAAGGCACTTTCAAACTAATAAGAAATGGAAAGTGAAAAATTCCTTTTCTCTAAAAGGAGTAGGGAGAAGAAAAAGGACACAGCAGTAGAGTCAACCCTCATTTTTTCTTCCCCCACGCCGAGACAGAGTCTCACTGTGTTGCCTAGGCTGGAGTGCAGTGGTGTGATCTCGGCTGACTGCAACTTCCACCTCCCGAGTTCAGGCAATTCTCCCAGCCTCAGCCCCCTGAGTAGATGGGATTACAGGTGCCCACCACCATGCCCAGCTAATTTTTGTATTTTTTAGTAGAGATGGGGTTTCCAGACTGGTCTCGAACTCCTGACCTCAGGTGATCCACCCACCTCAGCCTCCCAAAGTGCTGGGATTACATGTGTGAACCACTGCGCCCAGCCCTCATTTTTGTATTATACTGGCATAAGTGTAAAAATAAAATTCACAGGTAATTACAAATTTCTGTTTCACCTGTAATATTGATAAACATTGGCTGAGGTAAAGAAAAAGGTTAAAAGTCTGAGATTTGGATATGATAAGCAGCAGAATAGGCTTCCAAATTTTCACAATTTGGTCAATAGCCCCTGAAAAAACTTTAACCTGATTTTAATTCAAAAGTTCTAAAAAGAATTTAGGGAAAGAACACAACACTTATTAAACAATGGCTAAACACTGTATTTGAAAAACAATAGATTTTTTAAAGTCCTCAATCCTTACCTTAAATGAAAATATTTCAGATTACTTAAATGTTAAAAAATCAAACTATTGGCCAGGTGCGGTGGCTCAAGCCTGTAATCCTAGCACTTTGGGAGGCCGAGGCAGGCGGATCACGAGATCAGGAGTTCAAGACCATCCTGGCCAACATGGTGAAACCCCATCTGTACTAAAAATACAAAAAAATTAGCCGGGCGTGGTGGCGGGCACCTGTAGTCCCAGCTACTTGGGAGGCTGAGGCAGAAGAATGGCGTGAACCCGGGAGGCGGAGCTTGCAGTTAGCCAAGATGGCGCCACTGCACTCCAGCCTGGGGGACAGAGCCAGACTCCGTCTCAAAAAAAAAAAAAAAAAAAAAAATATATATATATATATATATATATATATACACATATACATATATATATATATACACTCAAACTATTAAAACTACTGTAAAAATGAATAGTAGGCCGAGTGGAGTGGCTCACACCCATAATCCCAGCACTTTGGGAGGTCAAGGCGGGCAGATTGCTTGGGCTAAGGAGTTCGAGAACATGGTGAAAACCTGTCTCTACAAAAAATACAAAAAATTAGCCAGGCGTGGTGGTGAGCATCTGTGGTCCCAGCTACTCAGGAGGGTGAGGTGGAAGGATAGCTTGAGTCTGGGAGGTGAAGGCTGCAGTGAGCTGAGACTGAGGCACTGCAGCCTAAAAAAAAAAAAAAAGAAAAAAAAAAGTAAATATTTATATAAGACCCTTAAAGTTCAAAAGCAGTTTCTAAACATGACAGAACACAAGGCACAAATTCACAATGAAAGAGTTAAATTGATTTAGCTACATAAAAACAGTAACATTTGTGATACTGAAAAAGTATCACAAAACTTTTATTTACTATAAATAAATGTAAAAGGAAATGAAAACTGAGATTAGAAATAAAGAGCTGTTCTAGATTAGTAAGAAAAAGCAACACAAAAATAGAAATATAGGCAAAACAGCCAGGTGGGCCTAAAATCCCAGCTATTTGGGAGGCTGAGGTCAGAGGATCCCCTGAGCCCAAAAGTTTGAGACCAGTCTGGGCAACATGGTGATACTGTGTCACAAAAAAGTAAATAAAATAATGAAGAAATATAGGCAGAGGACATAAAAAAAAACCCAAGTGTTTAACAAAAGTATAAAAATATGATTTTTGGTTTTTTGTTTTTAAGACAGGGTCTGGCTCTGTCTCCAAGGCTGGAGCGCCATGGCACAATCATGGCTCACTACAACCTCCACCTTCTGGGCTCAAGCAATCCTCTGGCCTCAGCCTCACAAGCAGTTGGGACTAAAAGAATGTACTACCACATGCAGCAAATTTTCCTGTCGTTTTTTTTTTGGCAAAGATGGGGTTTTGTCATGTTGCCCAGGCTGGTCTTAAACTCCTGGGCTCAAGTAATCCTCCTGCTTTAGCTTCCCAAAGTGCAAGGATTATAGGGGTGAACCACTGCACCAAGGCAAAAAGATGTTTAACCTCACAAGTAATAAAAGAATTACACAACATGGGCATGGTGGCTCACGCCTGTAATCCCAGCACTTTGGGAGGCTGAGGTGGGCAGATCACCTGAGGTCAGGAGTTCGAGACCAGCCTGGCCAACATGGTGAAACCCCATCTCTACTAAAAATACAAAAATTACCTGGGCGTGGTGACAAGCACCTACAATCCCAGCACTTTGGGAGGCCGAGGCAGGTGGATCACTTGAGATCAGGAGTTCGAGACCAGCTGGTCAGCATGGTGAAACCCCATCTCTACTAAAGGTACAAAAATTAGCCAGGCGTGGTGGTGGGCACCTGTAATCCCAGCTACTGGGGAGGCTGAGGCAGGAGAATCGCTTTAACCTGGGAGGTGGAGGTTGCAGTGAGCCGAGATTGCACCACTGCATTCTAGCCTGTGCGATAAGAGCGAAACTCCGTCTCAAAAAAAAAAAAAAGAACTATATATTTCAATCATAAAATGTCATTTTTGGCTTACTGGATAGGCAAAAATTTTGTTTTTTGAGACAGGGTCTCACTCTATCATCCAGGCTGGAGTGCGGTGGTGTGATCCTCCTGGGCTCAAGTGATCCTCCCCTCAGTCTCCTGAGTAGCTGGGACTACAGGCGTGCATGCCACCACACTTCACTAATTAAAAAAAAAAAAAAAAAAAAAATTGGAGACAGGGGTCTCACTGTGTTGCCCAGGCTGGTCTTGAACTTCTAGGCTCAAGTAATCCTCCTGCCTTGGCTTCCCAAAGTGCTAGGATTACAGGCATGAGCTATCGTACCTGGCCTAGAAAGGCAAATATTTAAGGACCAACAATTCTAAATGTTGTCAAAAGTACAGAGTAAGAGCACACTAATATTGGTGGAAAAATACTTGGGACAATGTTTGTAGGGGGCAGTTAGGACATACAATATGCAACTGAAGGAAAGATGTATGTTTTTTCACATTTTAACACCTGTGAAATCAGTATGCATCTTACAACTGATGACATCTCCCAACTGTTTTCATCTAAGTAGCAGTCATGATGCAGTCGTCATTGGCTCTGAATTCACAAATTGGTTATTACTCCTGGTGGCATGACTCGACAATGGCCATCCCTTGGTATTTCAGACATTAAAAGATCATTTCAGGGGTGGGCAGGAGGGTAAGAAATCACTTAATGGGTACAATGTACATTATTTGGGTGATGGATACACTAAAAGCCCTGACTTCACCACTACACAATCTATGCATGTAATAAAATTATACATATAACCCATAAATTTATACAAATAAAAAAAATTCTTTGAAAGGCCACTCTGGTGGCAAGGCTGTGGATGTAAAAAACAAAACAAAACAAACAAAAAAAAAAACAAATAATTTGAGGAAGAATAAGTCCTGTTTATAGTCTGAAAAGTTTCCTTTGACAGCTTTTAGTAATATTAAGAAAACATCACATTCTTGCCAAAAATATGTATTTTGAATCTACTCATGAAATATCAGACAAACTCAAATTGAGGGATAGTCTACAAAATAACTGTCCTGTACTATCCAAAAATGTAAAGGTCTAGAAATGAAGAAAAGCTGAGGAACTGTTCCAGATTAAAGAGATCTGATATCTACAAGTACTGAGTGATCATGAATTGGGTCCTGGAATTGGAGGGGAGGAGACTGAGAATCCACAAGATTATTACTGATACAACCAAAGAAACTTGATAACTATGTTGTCAATACATAAGAGAATATCCTTGCTCGTAGGAAATATCAACTGCAATATTTAGAGGAAAACAGGCAAAATGTTGAATCTACTCTCAAATGGTTTGAGGAAAGGGGGAGGAATGGATGGATAGATAGATAGATGGATAGATAAAGATAGAAGATGAATGACAAAAGCATGTGGAGCAAGATGTAAACAACTGCTGAACCTGGGTGAAGGATATATGGGAGGGAGGGAGTTCCTTGTATTAACTGTAACTTTTCTGGAAGTTTGAAATTATTTCTATTTTGAGGTTATAAGAAAGGAAAGAAAAAAAACATCAGCATAAAAATATGCAGGATAAATATCAGCAACTGGAAGAAAATCCTGGAAACAGCGGTGAGATCGCTCTTTTTTTTTTTTTTTTTGAGATGGACTCTTGCTCTGTAGCCCAGGCTGGAGTGCCAGTGGTGCAATCTCAGCTCACTGCAACCTCCAGCTCCCGGGTTTGGGTGGTTCTCTGCCTCAGCCTCCCAAGTAGCTGGGATTATAGGCTCCTGCCACCACGCCCAGCAAATTTTTGTATTTTTTAGTAGAGACGGGGTTTCACCATCTTGGCCAGTCTGGTCTTGAACTCCTGACCTTGTGATCCACCTGCCTTGGCCTCCCAAAGTGCTGAGATTACAGGCGTGAGCCACCACGCCCGGCCAAGATCTTTCTTTTTTTTTTTTGGAGTGAGACAAGAGTCTCACTCCATCACCCAGAGCTGAAGTGCAGTGGTGCGGTCTTGGCTCACTATAACCTCTGCCACCTGGGTTCAGGCAATTCTGGTGCCTCAGCCTCCCAAGTAGCTTGAATTACAGGTGCAAGCCACCATGCCTGGCTAGTTTTTCTTATTTTCAGTAGAGATGGGGTTTTGCCACATTGGCCAGGCTGGTCTCAAACTCCTCATCTCAAGTGATCTGCCTGCCTCGGCCTCCCAAAGTGCTGGGATTACAGGTGTGAGCCACCACAACCAGCCAAGCCTTGTTCTTGATAGGCAACAACCTGCATTATTAAACTACCCAGTATGATGAAATAATTGTTTAATTTATTATTATTATTTTTTAGAGACAGGGTCTCACTCTTGTCTCCCAGGCTGGAGTGCAGTGCTGCAATGGTAGCTCTCTGTAGCCTTGAACTCCTGGGTTCAAGTAATCAATCCCTCCTGCCTCAGCCTCAGTAGCTGGGACAATAGGCACATGCCACCATGCCTGGCTAATGATGAAAGAATAATTTTATTTATTTATTTGAGACAAAGTCTTACTCTGTCACTGAGGCTGGAGTGCAGTGGCATGATCTTGGCTCACTGTGACCTCCACCTCCCAGGTTCAAGCGATTCTCATGCCTCAGCCTCCTGAGTAGCTGGGATTACAGGCACCCACCACCACACCCAGCTGATTTTTGTATTTTTAGTAGAGACACGTTTTTACCATGTGGGGCAGGCTGGTCTTTAACTCCTGACTGCAGCCTCCCAAAGTGCTGGGATTACAGGTGTGAGCTGCCGTGCCCAGCCTGAAAGAGTAATTTTAAATTTAGCCCCAGACTTACTGTGCCATGATTCTTCTGGAAGCGAATGACTTCCTGATCATCTTCAAATGTACTACCCATTACCATCTGTGTAACAGACTTCATAGCAAAACCAAGCATATGCTGGCTGAGGGGCACGTGCTGGGTCTCTGGGTAGGAGAGCCATTTATCTAATAATTCTTCTGAAAGCTGAAAGAGAACAGAAAAGCACAATGATTACTGTTTCTTCTTTCTAAATCTCAGAAAATGTTACTAAGTAGATTCATTTAATGGCAAACAGTTAAACTCTGTAACCAAAGTCAACATTCAGGTACGAATCTGTCAGACTAACACTAGCTCCACCTATAATTGCATCCTCAATGGTTCAGGTTCAACTTCTGGCAAAGGGCTGATATGTAAAACAAAACAGAACCACTATCACGACAATAAAAACAGAAAATATAAATTAAAAACTCAAAGATAGAAAAAACTTAAACCCAACGGAAATTAAAAGACCATACTCTTGGTATCTAATTAAAAATAATGAAAAGTCTGCCACAGAATGCCTGTGACATAATAATCAATAAACATATGAATATATATAAAAGTCCTAAACATACTTCAGTGACAGAAACCTCTCAGAGTCTCTTTGTCATTCCTTCCTTCACCAAATATTTATTAAATACCTATGGAATAAAAACAGAGTCTAGTAAAAAGATTACAAACAAGCTTTAGGCCGGGCACGGTGGTTCATACCTGTAATCCTAGCACTTTGGGAGGCAAAGGTGGGTGGATCACCTGAGGTCAGGAGTTGAGACCAGCCTGGCCAACATGGTAAAGCCCTATCTCTACTAAAAATACAAAAATTAGTCAGGTGTGGTGGTGCACGCCTGTAATCCCAGCTACTCAGGAGGCTGAAGCAGGAGAATAGCTTGAATCTGGGAGACCGGGGCTGCAATGAGCCAAGATCATGCCACCGCACTCCAGCCTGGGTGAAAGAGCGAGACTCTGTCTCAAAAAACCAACCAAACAAACAAACAAAAAACATTTGTAGATGTAATTAAATTAAGGATCTGTAATGAGATCATCCTGGATTTACGATAGAATCAAAATCCCTTATCTTTATATAAAATAAAGGTAGAAGGAAAATTTAAGACATAGATACACACAGAAAGTAAAGAGCTCTGAAAGAAAGACACAGAAAATGAATAACAGAATGTGGGTGCATGACAAATGAATAATTAGTGTACAAAATCAAAGTATAAAGGTGGGAGAGAGAATATGGAGTTAGTAAGACCCTGGCATTGTTGAGTAATTGGTAAAAGTTATCACTGACATTAGATTATAATAAGCCAAGAATGCCTATTGTAATCTCTAGGGCAGCGGTTCTCAACCAGGGTGATTTTGTCTCCAAAGGACATTCAGAAATGTTTGGAAACATTTTTTGATTGTCACAACTGGGGTAAGGTGCTACTGGCATCTAGAGGTAAAAGCCACAGATGCTACTAAATATCCTACCATGCACAGGATAGCCCTCTACAATAAATAATCACAGGCCTAAGTTTGAATACTGCCAAAAGTGAAAAGTCCTACTCTAAACAAATATTAAAATAGTTAAAATATGTAACTAATAAGCTAACAGAGAAAATGGAATACTCAAAAATATTTTATTATTTCTAAAGAAGGCATGAAAGAGGTCAGGCGCAGTGGCTCACGCCTGTAATCTCAGCACTTTGGGAGGCCGAGGTGGGCAGATCACAAGGTCAGGAGATCAAGACCATCCTGGCTAACGTGGTGAAACCCCATCTCTACTAAAAATACCAAAAATTAGCCGGGTGTGGTGGCAAGCATCTGTAGTCCCAGCTACTTGGGAGGCTGAGGCAGGAGAATGGCATGAACCCAGGAGGCAGAGCTTGCAGTGAGCTGAGATTGCACCACTGCACTCCAGCCTGGGCGACAGAGTGAGACTCCGTCTAAAAAACGAAAGAAAGGAAATATAAAAAAAATATAAAAGTATAAAAGAGGTAGCTCAAATAGAAAACAAGTAGCAAATGGTATACAAAGAGTAAAATTTAAACCCATGTGCATCAGAAATTTCATTAGCTATAAATGAACAGAATATTTCAATTAAAAGATTAAAATAGGCTGGATTAAAAAAATACAACTATATACTAGTCCCAGGAGAAATCCTCCAATTATGATGACAGAGAGGTTGAAAGTAAAATAATGAAAAACAATAAAACATTAAACACTAACTGAAAGAAAGCTAGTGGAGTTAATATCAGGAAAAATAAACTTTAAGGCAAGAAATATTACTAGAGATAAAGAGGGATATTTCATAACGACAAAGTAGTCAGTACCAAGAATATATAATAAGACTAAGTTGGAAAACATTCAATGTCCTAACTTCCAAACATATAAACCAAAAACTGACAGAGGCTAGACACGGTGGCTCATGCCTGTAATCCCAGAGCTTTAGGAGGCTAAAGTGGGAGGACTGTTTGAGGCCAGGAGTTTGAGACAAACCTGGGCAACACAGTGATACCTCAACTCTACAAAAAAAATTAAAAGTTAGCTAGGCATGGGGTGCACACCTGTACCAGCTACTTGGGAGGATCGCTTGAGTCCAGGTGTTCAAGGCTGCACTGAGCCATGATCACACCACTGCATTCCAGCCTGGGTGACAGAGCAAGAAATGTCTCTAAAACAAAAACAAAACACCCACGCCCCCCACACAAAAACCTGACAGAGCTCAACAGAGCTAAAATAAAAAATACACAAATCCACAATTACAGAGGAAGAAAACTCCTCTCAGCAGCTAAAAAGAACAAGCGTATAAAAAAGATCAACAACAGTAACAGAGCACACCATTTTATTTACCAAAAACAACCATATGCAGGGACACAGAGCAAGTCTCAAAGACATTTCAAAGGATTGAAATCATTGGTTCTCTGCCATTAGTGCAATTAAGCTAGAAATCAATACAAAACAGATAACTAGAAAAATTCTACCTTTCTGGAATTTAAGCACTATACTTGTAGATAACCCTTAAGCTAAAGAAGAAAGCACAATGGAAATTAGAAACTATTTTGAACTAAATGATAATGGAAATATAGCACATCAAAACTTGCATACGGGCCGGGAGCGGTGGCTCACGCCGGTAATTCCAGCATTTTGGGGGGCCGAGGCGGGCAGATCATGAGGTCAGGACATCGAGGCCATCCTGGCCAACATGGTGAAACCCATTCTCTACTGAAAATACAAAAATTAGCCAGGCCTGGTGGCAGGCGCCTGTAATCCCAGCTACTCGGGAGGCTGAGGCAGGAGAATCACTTGAACCACGGAGTTGGAGGTTGCAGTGAGCCGAGATCGCGCCACAACACTCCAGCCTGGCGACAGAGGGAGACTCCGCCTAAAATTTAAAAAAAAAAAAAAAGCCAGGCGCAGTGGCTCACGCCTGTAATCCCAGCACTTTGGGAGGCCGAGGTGGGCTGATCACCTGAGGTCAGGAGTTCGAGACCAGCCTGGCCAACGTGGTGAAATCCCGTCTCTACTAAAAATACAAAAATTATCCGGGCATAGTGGCAGGAGCCTGTAATCCCAGCTACTAGGGCGGCTGAGGCAGGAGAACTGCTTGAACCCAGGAGGCGGAGGTTGCAGTGAGCCGCGCCACTGCACTCCAGCCTGGGGGACAAGAGCAAGACTTCGTCTCAAAAAAAAACAAAAAACAGAAAACAAAAAGCACTTGCCGGGCACAGTGGCTCACGCCTGTAATTCCAGCACTTTGTGAGGTCGAGGCGGGCGGATCACGAGGTCAGGAGATTGAGACCATCCTGGCTAACATGGTGAAACCCCATCTCTACTAAAAATAGCAGGGCGTGGTGGCAGGCACCTGTAGTCCCAGCTACTCACGAGGCTGAGGCAGGAGAATGGCGTGAACCCGGGAGGCGGAGCTTGCAGTGAGCCGAGATCGCGCCAGTGCACTCCAGCCTGGACGAGAGTAAGACTCCGTCTCAAAAAAAAACAAAAAACAAACAACAACAACAACAACAAAAACTTGTATATGACAGAAATATAGAGGGAAATGTATAGACTTAAATTCATATATTGGGAGGGAAAGCACTGTTTATTAACGATCTAAGCAATCATCTCAAGAAACTAGAAAAAGAATAGCAAGTTAACCAATGAAAGCAGAAGGAAGGAAATAAACATAAGAGCATAAACAAAATTAGAAAACAAATATATAGAAAAAAAAGTTGGTTCATGTAAAAAAATTTAACAAAATTCGAAGACACTATATCAGTTACAAATGTATTGCCCCGACCTATAAATTCATTCTTTCTGCCTCGCTGTTAATAGACTTGCAGGTCTGGCATGGTGGTGTACATCTGTAATCCCAGCACTTTGAGGGGCTGAGGCAGGAGGATCACTTGAGGCCAGGAGTTTGAGGCCAGACTTGGCAACATAGTGAGACCACCATCTCTAATTTAAAAATAAATAATAAAATAAAATAATATAAAAATCGACTTGGGTCCTTTACATATTTTTCCTTTGCCACCTGGCATGATGTTAAGCTTTCTCAGTATAAGGTGCTAGAAAGGCATTTGTAAGAAGAGTTTTGCTTCTTTGTTCCCCTGCTTGTCACAGAGCAGGCCACTGTGATGTCTGAAGCTTTCCAGTGTCAGGGTCCTGCAGTGCACTGGAAAGCAGTCAGCAGCTTCCCCCATCAGCCCTCCCCTTGGATGCTTTTGTAAGAGATGTCCTCCAACCCTGCAGCACCTCCTGCAGCATGGAGTGGCCAGCAGCTTGCCCTGCCAACTCCCCGAAAACAGTTGTGCCTCAGGTGAGACACCTCTCCACGAACAGCTTTCCCCACCACCCTAGAGGACAGCATACTAGAGGACAAATTTCCAACCAGGTCCAAAGGGCAGATTTGCAACAAGTTTTGCTAATATGGCACCATAGCAACCCCTCTGCCATTCATAGCAGCTGTGGCTCCTCCAAGAAGCCTGAATCTGAGTCCTGAGGAAGAGGAGTCTTTTTAGTGCCCTCTGTCTTGGCTCTGGGGTTTGTGACTGTTCCATATATCTGCTATTCCTTTTTTTTTTTTTTTTTTTTAGGTGACAAAGGAGCCCAGGAGCTACAGGATGCAGTGCGCAGTGATCATGCCACTGCACTCCAGGCCAGGCTGGAGTGATCACTGAGCACTGCATCCTGTAGCTCCTGGGCTCAAGGGATCCTCCCATCCTCCTGCCTTGCCTCCTGAGTAGCTGGAACTATAGGCATGCACTACCATACCCAGCTAATATATATTTTTAAATTTTTCTTTGTAGAGACAGGGTCTTGCCATTTTGCCCAGGATGGTCTTAAACTTCTGAACTCAAGCAATCCTCCCACCTCAGCCTCTCCAAGTGCTGGGATTATAAGCATAAGTTACTGTGCCCAGCTGTATTCCTATATTCTTTAGAGTTCTCCTTAGAGTAGCCCCTATTATAATTCTTTATTTTTTTTTATTTTTGTAGAGGTGGGGTCTCACTATGTTGCCCAGGCGGGTCTTGAACTCCTGGACTCAGGCAATCCTCCCACCTTGGCCTCCCACAGTGCTGGGATTACAGATGTGAGCCACCATGCTCAGCCTATAATTCTTAATATAAAACTTTCTCTGTTCAAATAATTATATGCCTTCTCTCTCCCAATGGACCCATACAGATAAAGACCTCTGGAAACACTAATCAAGAAAAAAGAGAAAAAAAGAATAAGAAAAAAGAGAGAGAGAGAAAGCACTATGAATCTTAAAGACATTAAATATATAATGGAATGTTTGGCAATAAAGCAGGAAAACAAACTAAAAATCTTAAAGTTGGAAAAAAGGAAATAAATTATCATTAATCTCAGATACCAGCTGGGCTTGGTAGCCCATGCTAGTAATCCTAGGTCTTTGGGAGGCCAAGGACAGATGATGGCTTGAAGTCAGGAGTTCAAGGCCAGGGTGGGCAACAAAATGAGACCCTCTCTCTACCAAAAACAAAATTTAAAAATTAGCTGGCCATGGTGGCACACACCTGTAATCCTAGCTACTTGGGAGGCTGAGGCTGGAGGATCACTTGAGCCGAGGTGCAGGAAGGTGTATTAAGGTATGACTGTGCCACTGCACTCCAGTCTGGGTGACAAAGCGAGACCCTGTCTCTAAAAATTAAAAACAGGCCAGACGCGGTGGCTCACGCCTGTAATCCCAGCATTTTGGGAGGCCGAAGCGGATGGATCACCTGAGGTCAGGAGTTCAAGACCAGCCTGGCCAACATGGTGAAACTCCGTCTCTACTAAAAATATAAAATTAGCCGGGCGTCGTGGCACACGCCTATACTTCCAGCTACTTGGGAGGCTGAGGCACAAGAACTGCTTGAACCCGCGAGGTGGAGGTTGTGATGAGCAGAAATTGCGCCACTGCACTCCGGCCTGGACGACAGAGTGACACTGTCTCAAAAAATAAATAAATAGGCTGGGCACAGTGGCTCACATCTGCAATCCCAGCACTTTGGGAGGCCAAGGCATGTGGCTCACCTGAGGTCAGGAGTTCAAGACCAGCCTGACCAACATGGTGAAACCCTGTCTCTACTAAAAATACAAAATTTAGCTGGGCATGGTGGTCGGTGCCTGTAATCCCAGCTACTCAGGAAGCTGAGGCTGAAGAATCACTTGAACTTGGGAGGTGGAGGTTGCAGTGAGCTGAGATAGTGCCACTGCACTCCAGCCTGGATGACAGAGTGAGACTCTGTCTCAAAAAAAAATAAAAAGATATGCCTGTAATCCCAGCACTTTGGGAGGCTGAGGTGGGCAGATCACGAGGTCAGGAGTTCGAGACCAGCTTGGCCAACATGGTGAAACCCCGTCTCTACTAAAAATACAAAAATTAGCCAGGTTCAAGCGATTCTTCTGCCTCAGCCTCCCAAGTAGCTGGGACTACAGGCATGTGCCACCACGCCTGGCTAATTTTTGTATTTTTTGTAGAGATGGGGTTTCACCATATTGGCCAGGCTGGTCTCGAACTCCTGACCTCGTGATCTGCCCGCCTTGGCCTCCCAAAGTGCTGGGATTACAGGCAAAAGCCACTGTGCCCGGCTGCGACTGGGTAATTTATAAAGAACGCATGGTGCCAGGTGCCTACCTGGCTTCTGATGAGGCCTCAGGAAGCTTATAATCATGGCAGAAGGCAAAGGGGAGGTAGCAGGTCACATGGCAAAAGCAGGAGCAAGAGAGAGGGGGGAAGGTGCCACACACTTTTAAACAACATCTCACAAGAATTCACTACCGTGAGGATAGCACCAAGCCATGAGGACTCCACTCCCATGATCCAATCACCTTCCACCAAGCCCCACCCCCAACACTGGGGATTACAATTCAACATGAGATTTGCGCAGGGACAAATATTCAAACTATATCACTGACTAATGCCTAAATTAAGTACCTGGCTTGTGCTATGGGGTTGACAATACAAAACTAAAGTAAATTTCTCACATAACGACATAGTCTACAAACCAAAACTTAAAAAACCACCTTAATTTGCCTCTGAATGAGTAGGAGGAGAAAACAATGGAATATGGAACAACAGAAAAGACTGAAAGTTTGGAGAACAGAGCCTGTGATAAAAGATTAAGGAAGTCAGAATTACTTAGTTTGAAGCAGAGAAGACAAAATAATTAAGGCTTTTAACAATAATATTATTGAAAAGAAAAAGGTGCTTCTATCATGATTGAAAGCAAGGCAAAGAGAAATGGGCAAAATTCCTGGGGATACACAATTAAATACAAAATTATTTCTTACTGACAAATGTTGGGTATTTAAGCAGAATAGGAAGATTCTGACTGGTGAGTGCTTAAATAGAGGCAACATAACTGCCTCCAGGGAGGAAAATGAGAGGTAACAGGAACAGCTATGGCAAACAAAAAGCAGGCAGCCTGAGAGCTTCAAAGAACACGACGTATGTACAACCAATACAGAACCTTGAGATACAAAACAGGAATGGTAACAATGAGAGAATGGGAATTTGGGTGCACAAGCCTCCTGATAGCCCTGAGAATACTGGCTATCAGTTACAGATGAAAGCTGGAAAAGATAGAAACTAATCAGCAGCAACCACAGGCAAAGGAAGGTCTTGTTCAGTTTGTTTTTAGAAGCAGAAGTGTGCAGAGTAGAACCAATGTATTAATTAATGCTTACAGTGGACTGAGAAAGTCAGTCTCAAGTCTTAAATGGAAAGTGTGAGTTTCAGCTAGAACTTCCATATGGGAAAAATGGCATTCAACATTTACTAACCGTTTTTTTTTTTTTTTTTTTTAAACATAGGGTCCTGCTATGTTGCCCAGGCAGGAGTGCAGGGGCTATTCACAGGCACAATTATCACTCACAATACCCTTGAACTCCTGGGCTGATGCGATCCTTCCTCCTGAGTAGTTGGGAATACAGGCATGTGCCACTATGCCCAGCTTCCAAATGTAATTTTTAAAAGTGGATACTGTAAAGGCCTGAGGCACAGTGGCTCACACCTGTAATCCTAGTGCTTCGGGAGCCCGAGGCAGGAGGATCACTTGAGACCAGGATTTTAAGAGTAGCATAGGAAATATAGTGTGACCGCATCTCTACATAAAAATACAAAAATTAGCTGGGCAGGGTGGCACGTGCCTGTGGTCCTAGTTACTCAGGAGGCTGAGGCAGGAGGATCCCTTCAGCCCAGGAATTCGATGCTCCAGTGAGCTATAATTGTGCCACTGCACTTGAGCCCAGGCAACAGTGCGAGACCTTGACTGAAAAAAATAAAAAAAGATACCTGATTTACCCTAATGTGATTATTACACATTGTATGTCTGTATCAAAATACCTCATGTACCCCATAAATATATACACCTACTAAGTAACCACATTTTTTTTTTTCTTTTTGAGATGGAGTCCATGCACTGTTGCCTGGGCTGGTGTGCAGTGGAGCGATCTCAGCTTGCTGCAACCTCTGCCTCCTGGGTTCAAGCAATTCTCCTGCCTCAGCCTCCTGAGTAGCTGGGATTACAGGCGCCTGCCACCACGCCCAGCTAATTTTTTGTATTTTTAGTAGAGACGGAGTTTCACTTTGTTGGCCAGGCTGGTCTTGAACTCCTGACCTTGTGATCCACCTGCGTCGGCCCCCCAAAGTGCTGGGATTATAGGCGTGAGCCACTGAGACCGGCAAAAAAAAAATTTTTTAATGGATATTTTTAAATTTAATAAGGCATACTCTTAAGAGAACTACCAGATATTTAAATACAAAAATGCTTACAATGTGTAGTCAGAACATTTTTAGGAAGAATAAACAAAGTTATAGAAGAGGGAAAGGAAAATAAACCCAAACTGACCAAATGGAATTTTTTTTTTTTTTTTTGAGACAGTGTCTCACAGTCGCCTAGGCTAGAGTGCAGTGGCGCAACCTTGGCTCACTGCAACCTCTGCCTCCCAGGCTCAAGCGATCCTCCCGCCTCATAGACTCTCGATTAGCTGGGACCACAGGCATACACCACCATGCTCAGCTAATTTTTCTCTTTTTTTTTTTGTAGAGACAGGGTCTCATCACGGGAGGCCAAAGTGAGTGGACTGCTTGAGCCCAGGAGTTTGAGACCAGCCTGGGCGACATGGTGAGACCCCAACTGTATGTGAAAATTTTAAAAAATAATAAAAAACAAAAAAAAATCTTAATTTTATGTAAATATATCCAGTTGTTATGGAAGTTTAGAGATGGTACATGGAGGGAAGCATATTTAACTAAACTGGAGGCTGGAGTAGAAGTTAGCCATGCAAGGCTGGGAAAAATGTTTCAGAGGAGAAAAAAGACAGACCTATGGAAGTAAGAGAGGAGTCAAATAATTTAGGAACATTAAGTTATCAGTATTCATTCACTGATGTAATAAATATTGACTGAGGGCCTGCTCTATAACAAGAGCCAAGTATACAGCAGTAATCAAAATAAAATAGTCCCTACCTTCACGGAGCACACACTTAAGTGAGGGAGACAGACACTCAAAGGATTACAAAAAATAGAATTACTGGTGGGTGCGGTGGCTCACGCCTGTAATCCCAGCACTTTGGGAGGCTGAGGCAGGCGGATCACCTGAGGCTAGGAGTTTGAGACCAAACTGACTAACATGGCGAAACCCTGCCTCTACTAAAAATACAAAAATTACCGGGCGTTGTGGCATGCACCTGTAATGCCAGCTACTAGGGAGGTTAAGGAAGGAGAATTGCTTGAACCCGGGAGGCAGAGGTTGCAGTATGCCAAGATTGCACCACTGCACTCCAGCCTGGCAGACAGAGCGAGACTCCATCTCAAAAAGAAAATAAAAATAAAAATAAATAAATAAAACAGAATTATAAACCGGGAAAAGTGTTGTAAAGGAAAGGCACGGGGTGTTATGATAGCATCTAAAAGGGGAAACTGGCCGGGTGCAGTGGCTCATGCTTGCAATCCCAGCACTTTGCGAGATGAAGGTGGGAGGAACACTTGAGGCCACGAGTTCAAGACCAGCCTAGGAAACATAATGAGACACACGTCTTTACAAAAAATTTTAAAAACAACTAGCCAGGCATGGTGGCACATGCCTGTAATCCCAGCTACTCAGGCGGCTGGGGTGGGAGGATCCCGTGGGCCCAGGAATTTGAGGCTACAGTGAGCTATGATCAGGTCATTGCACTACAGCCTAGGCAACACAGCAAGACTCTGTCTTAAAAAATTAAAACAAAATAAATAAAAGGGGACCTATCCAGCAATGTGGGATGATCAGAGATAGCGTCCCTGGGGAAGTGACATTTAAACTAGGAGCTGAAAAATGAACACACATTAGCTTGGTGTGTGGATGACTGGAGGTGCATTCCACGCAATGGGAATAGCATAGACAGGCCCTGAGATAGGAGGGAACAGGGTACATCTGAAGACTTAAAAGAAAACAAGTATGGCTAGACTATAAGCCAAATGAGAATGTGGGAAACCAGGCTGGAAAAGTAGCCAGGCTAAATCATAAAAAGTCCTGAAGACTACATTAAAAATTTGGAGTTTGTCCCAAGAACAAAGGGGTTTTCAAACTAGAGTCCACAGATACCAAAGGGTCTGTTCATGGAATCCAGTGCAGTCCATGAACTTGGATCAGGGGAAAAAACAATCTTTCTTTTTAACTAACCTCTGAATGAAACTTAGCATTTCCTTCAATTGTGAGTATAGGCTCTGACTTTTTAAACCAATACAAATCTCAAAATATGTTCCGATTATAAATACTGGAAAAATCTCATAATAATAATTTTGGCCCTTGCATCACTACTTTAAAATCATGGAAGTTTCTGGAAGGATTATTAGATCTTGCTATTTAATACGTTAACAAAGAGGCAAATATAATATCATAGTTTTTTTAAAAAGTATTAATATTTTGTAACTATATTGGTTTGCTTTAGCTATGCATTTAAAAATGTTATTCTCAGGAGTTGAAGGTTTCATCAGACTGCCAAGAGGTATCTGTCAACTGCAAAGCACGGGAAAATACATGGGAAGGAAAGGGGAAAGAGAAATAAGCAATCCAGGTAAGATCATGGAAATCTAAACCAGGGTGATGGCAATGCTGGTGGGAGAGAAGTAGATCAATTAGAAAGGCATTTAGAAGGTAAAATTGACATTAGAGATTCTTTTCAAATGTGATTTTCTTTTCTTTTTTCCTCTTTTTTTTTTTGGAGACGGAGTCTCACTCTGTTACCCAGGCTGGAGTGCAGTGGCGCAATCTTGGCTCACTGCAACCTCCGCCTCCCAGGTTCAAGTGATTCTCATGCCTCAACATCCTAAGTAGCTGGGACTACAGACACGTGCCACCACGCCCGGCTAATTTTTCTGTATTTTTAGTAGAGATGGACTTTCACCATGGTGGCCAGGCTGGTCTGGAACTCCTGCCCTCAAACGATCCACCCACCTCAGCCTCTCAAAGTGCTGAGATTACAGGTGTGAGCCACTACACCCAGATCAAATGTGATTTTCAAAGAATACTAAGTGCTATAAAAATGCTTACAATACAATGGTAAATAAAAAACACAAAGACTATCCACGCAGTATAATCTGATTACATTAAAATTCTATTGTGCACACAAAACACCGGAATGATAACAATTTTTTTTTTTTTTTTGAGACGAGTCTAGCTCTGTCGCCCAGACTGGAGTGCAGTGAGTGGCATGATCTTGGCTCACTGCAACCTTCACCTCCTTGGTTCACATGATGCTTCTGCCTCAGCCTCCCGAGTAGCTAGGACTACAGGCATGTGCTACCACACGCAGCTAATTTTTGTATTTTTAGTAAAGATAGGGTTTCATCATATTAGGCAGGCCAGTCTCGAACTCCTGACCTCAAGTTGAGGCAGAAATTTAAAAATAAATATGCATTCATTCACTCTAAGTAACAGGGAAGGCAAGGGTTAAAAATAAAAGAACAAGGCCGGGCACGGTGGCTCATGCCTGTAATCCCAGCACTTTGGGAGGCTGAGGTGGTGGATCACAAGGTCAGGAGTTCAAGACCAGCCTGGCCAAGATGGTGAAACCCCATCTCTACTAAAAATACAAAAAATGAGCTGGGCATGGTGGCAGGCGCCTGTAATCCCAGCTACTCGGGAGGCTGAGGCAGAGAATTGCTTGAACCCAGGAGGCGGAAGTTGCAGTGAGCCGAGATCACGCCACTGCATTCCAGCCTGGGCGACAGAGTGAGACTCTGTATCAAAAAAAAAGAAAAAAAGAAAGAAAAGAACAAGTTTTCCTCTGCCTAGCAAGCTCACTTCAAGGACAGTTATAAGATAACACTGTCCAGAAAGCCAAGGCCAAAGGAATAGGCTCCAAACACCACCACCCCCATCCAGAGCAAGGTTAAAGGAAAAAAAAAAAGAAAAAGAAAAAGACAAATTTTTTTACTGTTACTCCTTTCCTTGGCTTCTTAAGCATGATTATGTATTACAAATGTCTGTATTTAACCAGTTCTTGTTTTTCTTTCAATGCAGCTACAAGCTCACCAGCTATGCAAGGCCACAACTTATGTTATGCTATAGATTATGTGACCTGTCACTGTATGATTAACTGCTTTTGTTTTGCTTCTGTAAATCTGCTTATAAAAACCACGTTCTGTCTTTGTTCAATGTTTAGTTTTTTGGATGTGAATCCACTGAGCCGGTGCGTACCTTAAAATAAACAATCCTCCTGTTCTCCATATCAGTCTCTCTGGTCCTCAGTTCCCCACAACATTTTTGGTGACCATGAAAGGACCCGAGATGGCAGGCTTACTGTCTCCTTTGCCTCTGGAGGATGGAGCCCGGAGCCCTGGGCCAGGGGAGACCTGTCACCCCAGGCACTGCCGGGAGAACTTCAGCCCATAGGGGAGATCAGCTCTCCCCTGACCTGGCGCCCCTACCCAGCAGCACAACAGAACCTAAAGAGGGGCTATAGGACAATTTCAGAAACAGTGCGCTTCAGGAACCGCAGTAAGGTTTTGGGGCCCAAGGCAGGACCCGTGGGGACAGAAGGGGAGCCTGATCACCTCCTGGGGTGTGCCGAATAGTCTGACCCAGAGGGGCTTGGGGTGACAAGAGTGGCTCGTCAATTCATATGAAACTCACACCCGAACCAACACAGGACGTGAGAGTGGCTCGCTAAGACAGTTACAAAAAGGAAACTGGAGGTGGCAAGAGTGGCTCGCCACCCCAACTAGGAAACTGGAGGTGACGAAAATGGCTCGCCACCCCAACTGGGAAACTGGGTGGCCACTCTCACCACCCCAATTACGAACATAGGAACTAGGAGTGGGGAAGTGTGTGAAAGTGTGTGAATGGAGGGCCCTAATTAGGCTCATCAACCGCGAAGTGGGGAGTCACAGATCTCTTAGCGTGGACTGTGTGCTCCGAGAAAGTGTGGGGCCAACTAAGACTAGTGGCAATCTGCATACGGCTAATAGGAGCTGCCCTACAGCTCAGAGGTGTAGTGGGAATAAGGAACTCTCCAAAGCCAAGCAGCATCTGAAAACTCCTATCATGGAGCACTTTGGGAGGCAGAGGTGGGTAGACCACTTGAGGTCAGGAGTTTGAGACCAGCCTGGCCAACATGGTGAAACCCTGCCTCTACTAAAAATACAAAAATTAGCCCGGTGTGATGGTGCGCACCTGTAATCCCAGCTACTAGGGAGGCTGAGGCACGAGAATTGCTTAAACCTAAGAGGCGGAGGTTGCAGTGAGCCGAGATCACACCACTGTACTCCAGCCTGGGTGACAGAGTGAGACTCTGTCTCAACAACAATAACAACAACAAAATATATATATATATATACACATACATACATACAGAAACTTCTTCAGGTGCTCTCTACTCTCATCATTCCAACTTATACAGTGAGTCTGGATGTTAAGATTTTTGTTTTCTTTTCTTTTGTGTGTGTGTGTTTTGTTATTGTTGTCGTTTTTAATTTCAGAATAAAATTAGCTTAGAGGGACAGGAAAGAAAAGAGTAACAAAGATAGTACACACCAATACTCAAAAAATAAATACTATTATTTATGTTGTAGAACACTAGACCAAACTACTTATCACCTTACCTTTAGGAGGAGGGCAAAGTTACTCTTCAGAGAATCAGTCACACCATTTTCATACAATTTTTTCCTCATGTGGTTTTCACTCACACTGCCACCACCAGATTGATACCTTAATAATGACTTCAGCATGGTTTCAAAAGGGTCCGCTGAAACAGACAAATTAAATATTTCTGTATCAAAATAATCACTCAAAAAGATACCCTGTAAGAGAACAAGAGATCAGGGAGGTAAAGAATTGTAGCTGAAAGCATGGCAACTGTTTTTCATAATTCCCTTGTTTTTATTTTTTATTTTTTATATATATATATATATATATATACACATATATATATAGTTTTCTTTTGAGACAGAGTTTCACTCTTCTCGCCTAGGCTGGAGTGCAATGTCATGATCTCGGCTCACTGCAACCTCCGCCTCCGAGTTTCAAGCAATTCTCCTGCCTCAGCCTCCCAAGTAGCTAGGATTACAGGCGTGTGCCAACACTCCTGGCTAATTTTGTACTTCTAGTAGAGACGGGGTTTCAACATGTTGGCCAGGCTGGTCTCGAACTCCTGATCCCAAGTGATCCGCCTGCCTCAGCCTCCCAAAGTGCTGAGATTACAGGCATGAGCTGCCGCACCCAGCAAACTGTTTTTAAAATATGAACAATTTAAGAGTCAGTGAAAATTGGCAAGAACACAATATCCTGACTGGGAATTCCACTGTTAAGTCATTAATACAGACATAAATTTTCTACCTACATAACTATAATGTCTTCAAATTTTTTTAAAAAAAGCACATTCCCCTGATTTTAAAGCAAAATGGATAAGTTTGTGATTTGTGGTTATCAAGTATTACAGTAAAATTATTTAGCTGGATTCAAAAATTTATTTTCTCCAATTCTTGTTTCTTTAATGACTATTGTTTTCACACGCATACAAAGATACACTGTCATTGTAAAAACAATTCAAACAATACAGAAAAGACAGCAAAATGCATCCGAGATACTGTTAACATTTTAGACATTTTTCACAGCTGTTATCATCTCTTTTTTTTTTTTTTTTTTTTTTGAGACAGAATCTCGCTCTGTCCCCCAGGCTGGAGTGCAGTGGCGCAATCTTGGCTCACCGCAAGCTCCGCCTCCCGGGTTCACGCCATTCTCCTGCCTCAGCCTCCCGAGTAGCTGGGACTACAGGCTCCTGCCAGCATGCCCGGCTAATTTTTTGTATTTTTAGTGGAGATGGGGTTTCACCGTGTTAGCCAGGATGGTCTCGATCTCCTGACCTCGTGATCCGCCCGCCTCGGCCTCCCAAAGCGCTGGGATTACAGGCGTGAGCCACCGCACCCGGCCTAGCTGTTATCATTTCTTAACAGAGAGAGAGACAGAAAAATCTGTCAGATTTCACAAAGAACTACATTCTCCTCTTTCAGAGCACTTCTCTCAGTTCATTAGTGTGATAATTTGAATGTTTACATACTTCCCTCACTCTCCAACATTAGCCTAGAAACTCCATAGGAGCAGAGACCATTCTGGTTTTCCTCATTATATTCCCTGACAGAGCCATCTTTTCATGTTGTATAAAGCCTAGTAATTAAAAGCACAATCTTTTTTTTTTCTTCCTCAGAGATCCTTGTTCTACAAAAGCACAATCTTGAACCAGATTGCCTGACTTCAAGTCCTAGCTCCATCACTAATTAGCTGTGACCTTAGGCAAGTAACTTAACCTCTCTGTACCTCAGGTTTCTCTTCCACAAAAAAGGGATAACCATAATACCTTCTTCATGAAGTTGTTCTGAGAATTAAATGAGTTAATATTTGTAAAGGGCTTGGAATAGTGCTGAGATATCATAATTGCTATATAAGTATCTGATAAAATCAATCTACATCATCGTATTCAGGCCTGAAAGTATTCATTTATTCAGCCATTGATATTTAGGTTGCTTCAAATTTTTTTTTATAAACAATGCTAATATAAATATTTTCTCACATCTGTGATGATCAATTTATGGATCAACTCCTTAAGATATTATTGTTAGGTCAATGGTTACTGTCAACTTTTTCTCCAGAGAGCTTGTATAGTACATGTACACCACATGATTTCCCATTCCCTCATCAACAGTGTGTTCTGCCAGTATTCTTCATCTCTTCTAGGGAGATAAGTAAAATTTCTCATTTTTATTTGTACCCAGCTGAGTATTAGTGAGGCTGAAATCTTTAAATTTGTTTACTCCTTTCTTAATGAGCTTGTTTTTGCCCATTTTTCTAAAAGGGCATTTTTTTTCTTTTTTGAGATGGAGTCTCGATCTGTCATCCAGGTTGGAGTGCAATGGCTTGATCTCGGCTTACCACAACCTCCACCTCACAGGTTCAAGCGATTTTCATGCCTCAGCCTCTCCAGTAGCTGGGATTACAGGTATCTGCCACCATGCTCAGCTAATTTTTGTATTTTTAGTAGAGACGGGGTTTCACCATGTTGGCCAGGCTGGTCTCGAACTCCTGACCTCAGGTGATCTGCCCACCTCAGCCTCCCAAAGTGCTGGGATTACAGGCGTGAGCCACCATGCCTGGCCTATTTTTTCTTATTAGTTTTTAAGGACTATATATATTTAACATATTGGTGGTAAATTACTTTTCCATTTCTCTTTTAAATTTTGTCATGGTGCCTTTTTATTTAACAAAAATATGGTAATCAATTACTACACATCAGGTGTAGCAATGTGTGGCCAACATTTTACCATCTCTCTTTCTTCCTTTCTCAAGGTGATTTTGACTTTGTTTTTAATTTAGAGACAGTCTCAATGTGTCTCCCAGACTGGTCTTCAACTCTTGGGTTCAAGCGATCTTCGCACCTCGGCTTCCTGAGTAGCTGGGACTACAGCTATGTGCTACCGCATCCATTCAAGATGTTTGTTATTGTACTAAAATTTTTCATTTTTATGTAGACAGATTTATCTAACTTGTGTTTTATAGCTTCTAGATCTTGTACCATTGTAAGAGGTTTATCTACATTCTCTCCAACCAAAGAGAAAAAATTTAATATTTAACCATGTTTTCTTGTATTACCTTTATGACCTGATATTTTAATCATCTAGAATTTATTTTTATATAAGAAATAAGGCAGAGGCCAGGTGAAGTGGCTCACACCTATAATCCCAGCATTTTGGAGGGCAGAGGTGGGAGAATCGCTTGAGTCTAGGAGTTGGAGGCCAGCCTGGGCAACGTAGCAAGACCTCATCTCCACTAAAAAGTAAATAAATTAGCCAGGCATGGTGGTGCATGCCTATAGTCTCACCTACTCAGGAGGCTGAGGTGGGAGGATTGCTTGAGCCCAGGAGTTGTAGGTTATACAGAGAGCTATGATAGCACTGCTGCACTCTAGCCTGGGCAAAAGCTGGGCGGGGCGGGGGGAATAGAATAAGGCAGGGATTGAGATTTATTTTTTACAAATAGCTAACCAATATTCCCCAAAACATTTATTACTTTTCCCTTTTGTCATAAAATGCTATCTTTATCATACATATTTGGTTTGTCTTCTGAACTCTCTACTCTTTTACATCTGTTTGCCTAGCTTGACCACAGTATGAGAGTCTTTTTTTTTTGAGATGGAGTCTCCCTCTGTCACCCAGGCTGGAGCGCAGTGGTATGATCTCAGCTCACTGCAACCTCTGCCTCCCGGGTTCAAGAGATTATCCTGCCTCAGTCTCCCAAGTAGCTGGGATTACAGGCGCACATCACCAGGCCTGGCTAATTTTTGTATTTTTAGTAGCGACAGGGTTTTACCATGTTGGCCAGGCTGGTCTCGAAATCCTGACCTCATGTGATCTGCCTGCCTTGGCCTCCCAAAGTGCTGGGACACCAGGCAGGAGCCATCACGCCCGGCCAGGAGATTCTTTTTTTTCAAGAGACAGGTTCTTGCCCTGTCCCCTGGCTGCCTGGCTGGAGTAGAGTGGCGCAACCTTGGCTCACTGAAGCCTCAACCTCCCGAACTCAAGCAATCCTCCCACCTCAGCCTCCCAAGTAGCTAGGTCTACAGGCACATGTATCACATCTGGCTAATTTTTGTATTTTTTGTAGCAATGGGGTCTCACTATGTTGCCCAGACTGGTCTTGAACTCCTGGGCTCAAGTGATCCTCCCACCTTGGCCTCCTAAAATGTTGGGATTACAGGTGTGAGCCACTATGCCTGGCCAATACAAGATTCTTTAATCTAGCTTTATAATACTCTATACTAACTGATGGTACAAGTATTTCCCTCATTAATATTCTGTGTTTTTTGGAGATGGAATCTTACTCTGTTGCCCAGGCTGGAGTGCAGTGGTGCGATCTCAGCTCACTGCAACCTCTGCCTCCCAGGTTCAAGCAATTCTCTTGCCTCAGCCTCCCGAGTAGCTGGGACTACAGGCACACCTCACCACGCTCAGCTAATTTTTGTATTTTTAGTAAAGACAGGGTTTCACCATGTTGGCTAGGATGGTCTCGATCTCCTGACCTCATGATCCACCTGCTTCGGCCTCCCAAAGTGCTGAGATTACAGGTGTGAGCCACCATGCCCAGCCCATTAATACTCTTTTTAGGATTGTTTCCTGGTTGCTCATGTACATTTACTCTTTACTCTTCCAGATATACCTTGGAACTATTTTTTCAGGGTCCCAAAAAAATCCTGTTGGAATTTACACTGAGATTTTATCATATATGCTTATAAATTAAGGAAAAACACAATTATTTAAAATACTATCTTAAATTAGGCAATAAGACATCAGCACAGTGCCTAGCACATAGTACAAAGCATTCAATAAATGTTGGCTATTCCTATCCAAGAACAATATATATATACAGTTTTTATTTATAAACATTAATTCTTTTTTTATTTTTTTGAGACAGTCTCGCTCTGTCGCCCAGGCTGGAGTACAGTGGCACAATCTTGGCTCACTGCAGCCTC